>NC_000011.10:75298120-75601150 GCF_000001405.40 Homo sapiens
TTAGGAGAAATATCTAATGTAAATGACGAGTTGATGGGTGCAGCAAACCAACATGGCACATGTATACATATGTAACAAACCTGCACGTTGTGCACATGTACCCTAGAACTTAAAGTATAATTAAAAAAAAAAAAAAAAGAAACCCACTGAATGGAGCAAATATTTTCAAATCATTTATCTGATCAGGTCCTAATAGCCAGGATATATAAAGAACTATTACAACTCAACAACAAACAGGTGAATCACCCATTTTTAAATGGGCAATGGATTTGTTTGAATAGGCATTTGTCCAAAGAAGATATTCAAGTGGCCACTAAACACATGAAAAGATGTTCAGCATCATCAGTCATCAGTCAAAACTACAATGATACACTTCACACCCATTAAGATGGCTATACTCAAAAGGAAGGATAATAAGTGTGGACAGGAGTGTGGAGAAACTGGAAACTTCATACATCGCTGGTGGGAATGGAAAGTGGGGCCGTCACTTTGAAAAACAGTTTGGCAGTTCCTTTAAAAGTTAAACCGAGAGTTAACATATGACCCAGTAAGTCCCCTCCTGGGTATACACCCAAAGTAACTGAAAATGTCCACACAAAAAACTTATGCATAAATGTTTGTAGCAGCATTATTCAAAATAGCCAAAAAGAGTGAAAAAAAAAATCTATCAATGAATACATGTATTTTTTTAAAATTCAGTCTATACATACAATGGAATAGTACATAGGCATAAAATGGGATGAAGTACTGATTCATGCTACAACATAATGAACCTTGAAAACATTATGTTAAGTAAATTAACATAATGTTAATTATGTTAATTTAACATAATTAACATAATTCTGTTAACAGAAGGCTGCATATTATATGATTCCACTTGCATTAAATGTTCAGAGTAGGCAAATTGATAGAGACAGAAGGTAAATTAGTGGTTGCCAAGGGTTGATGGGAGTGGGAAATGGGGAGTGACTGCTAATTGGTACAGAGTTCTTTGGGAGGTGATGAAAATGTTCTGGAATTGGATAGTGGTGATGGTTATACAAACTTGTGAATATATACAAAAACCACTGAATTTTACCCTAAAAGTGTGAATATTATGGTATATTACATCTCAATTAAAAAAAAAAACAACTAAAAAAAGACAGAGAGAATGAAAAAAAGGAAATGTGCCTAAATACTGACAGGAGTTGAAGAAGACTCCGCCCACCCACACGCTTCTTTATACCTATAATTTTTCTGTTATACAATGAGCATAAAGTACTTTATAAAGATGCTTGGATTTCCCTAACAAGATATGTCTCAAGTCTTGGAGAAAGGAGAATCTAGGAAAAAAAAAAAAAAGTAAGTGAAGTAGGGAAAATCTGGACCCTAAACTCTGAATGCTTTGATGTAAGAGTCTCTGGTTCTGTGATTTTACAATCCAGGATCCATGTTTCTGTGAATCCTGAGATCCCTCCCCAGGCCTAATGTATCGTATACTCAGCTATCCTTTTTCCAGGAAGCCTTCCCTGACTACCCTCTAAGTCTGGGTTAGGAGCCCCTCAGCTCCACATCCAGTGTGTCCCCATTCATAGCACTTACCATACTTTGTAATGGTCTGATAACACCCTCTGCTTCACTTTTATAGCAACAATGAAAGTAGAGATATTATTTGTGTTATATTCACTGTATTTCTGGGGCATAGCATGGTACCTAGGATATAGTAGGTGCTCAATAAATAAATATAGGATGACTATGGTTAAATGAATGCCCTAAGAGAATTATTCAAGTATGAGGATGGATGAAGTTTAAAAAGATGGTGGTAGGACAGGCGCAGTGGCTGACGCCTGTAATCCCAGCACTTTAGGAGGCCGAGGGGGGCAGATCACGAGGTCAGGAGTTTGAGACCAGCCTGGCCAACATGGTGAAACCCTGTCTCTACTAAAAATACAAAAATTAGCCGGGTGTGGTGGCACGTGCCTGTAATCCCAACTACTCAGGAGGCTGAGGCAGGAGAAACACTGAACCCAGGAGGCGAGGTTGCAGTGAGCTGAGATTGCACCACTGCACTCCAGCCTGGGCAACACAGTGAGACTCTGTCTCAAAAAAAAAAAAAAAAAAAAGAAAGAAAGAAAGAAAAGAAAGCTTATCCAGGTTATCCAGGAGAGAAACCAGGTCCAGTTACTGCTGTAAGTGAGTTACAAATATTAACTCACTTATTTCTCCAACAACTCTATAATAAGTGTTACTATCATCCCATTTCACAGATGAGAAAACTGAGGCACAGGGAGGTTAAGTAATTTGCCTAGGGTCACACAGCAAGTAAGCAACAGAGCTAGATATCAGAGCCCAGATACTCCAGCTCCAGAGACCACACTTTTAATCACTCACAATACTGCCTGAGAGGTGGGATTATGTGGTTCTGTCTGGGGAGTCAAAAAAGCCTTCAGGGCTGGCCGCTGTGGTTCACACCTTTAATCCCAGCACTTTGGGAGGCCGAGGTGGGCGGATCATGTGGTCAAGAGATTGAGACCATCCTGGCCAATATGGTGAAACCCCATCTCGACTAAAAATACAAAAATTAGGGCCGGGCGCGGTGGCTCACGCCTGTAATCCCAGCACTTTGGGAGGCCGAGGCGGGCGGATCACGAGGTCAGGAGATCGAGACCATCCTGGCTAACACAGTGAAACCCCGTCTCTACTAAAAAACACAAAAAAATTAGCCGGGCGTGGTGGCGGGCGCCTGTAGTCCCAGCTGCGCGGGAGGCTGAGGCAGGAGAATGGCGTGAACCCGGGAGGCGGAGCTTGCAGTGAGCCGAGATCGCGCCACTGCACTCCAGCCTGGGCGACAGAGCGAGACTCCGTCTCAAAAAAAAAAAAAAAAAAATACAAAAATTAGCTAGGCATGGTCGTGGGCGCCTGTAGTCCCAGCTACTCTGGAGGCTGAGACAGGAGAATCGCTTGAACCCAGGAGGAGGAAGTGGCAGTGAGCCAATATCATGCCACTGCACTCCAGCCTGGCAACAGAGCGAGACTCCATCTCAAAAAAAAAAAAAAAGCCTTCAAGGGAGGAGGTAGCAATGAGGAAGATCTTGAAGGACACACAAGGTGCAGAAGGTGACCACACTGCAGGCAGAGGCCTGGAGAGGGCAACTGAATCCACCAGGTGCTCAGGAGACAGCGAGCCTCTGGTGTGGCTGGAGTGTGCCCCAAGTGCCTGGGAGGAGCCCCAGGGGAAGAGGCTGGGCTGGAGAATGGTCCGTTTGCTCCACAGAGAATCACGGAGCACCTCTATGTGAGGGCCTTCGGCTAGGAGGGTAGGGCTGTGAAGGGCCTTGAGTGCCGGGCTAAGGAACTTGGACCTTATCCAGAAGGCAATAGGGAGCCATGCACATTTGAGGGGAGGGAGAATGACTGGCCAGGGCCATATTTTGGACCCAGAGATGCCCTCAATCCCATACGTTCCCCCATCCCTGTCCAATAGCAGCCATGGCTCAGCTGGGTAGGGTGGGGAGACGCAAGGGGGCATTCACTCAGACGCAGCCACCCTACATTCTGACCCACTTTCCTCAGTGTGAGAGCAGCCATCAGGGAGCAGGGAGGTGCGGGGAGCAGGTGGCAGCGGCTGCAGAGAGGTTCCTAGGCCCTTATCGCATTCTCCCTGGTAGCAGAGTTATTTGTGTACCGGCTCGTCTGCTCTGCCAGAATTTCCCAGCCCTCCCTGTGTCAGAGTGTGGCCCTTCTGTTTACCCACCATCAGTGCACCTGCTTCTCAGGACAGCCCAGGAGGGGGAAGGAGGCAGGAAGGCAAGAAATGTCACCCCATTTCAGAGATTTCCGGAGCCTGAGGGAGCACAGTCCCACCTGCTTCATTTCCCAGAGGGAGAAATCAAAGCCCGAGTGAGAGAAGAGTCTCACACCAGGGCCAGGAAGCTTGGGCTCAGGGAGACTCGCTAGTGTGCCCAGAGTCAGACTGGGATGGGGACCGCCGGCTTCTGTGGTTCCCGTCTCCTGTCACATCCCTGCTCAAATCTGCCATAGCTCCCAGGGCACAGGGCAGTGCCTGGCAGGCCAGAGGGGTCAGGGGTGGTGGCTGGGGAGTGAGGGGTTCTGGCCAAGTCAGACTCCTGGGCTGCAGACTTCCCACAGACTTCTAGGCCGACAGCAATTCCCCAAGCCTCCTGCCGCATTCACGGGTTCACTTCTTTGGCCATGAAGCATATTTTTGAAAATTCTCAGGTGGTGCAGAGTGAGGAAAGAGGGGGCCATGGACAGAGGGGAGAGTTTCTTAAAAGAGCTTGGCTTATTTTCTGTTAACCCATGAAGCTGGAGATCTGAAAATCAAGGGCTAATCAAAATTTCCCCAGGCGGGCTGGCAGCTGGATACCAAAGAGCCCACAGACTGCGCCTGAGCGCTGCCCAGCCTTCCTGGGGCTGAGATGCAGGAAGAGAAGGTTGCTGGCAGCCAAAAGGGCCCAGAGGCTGAAGCAGACAGTCCCTGCCTGAGTCTCTGCTTGAGCCCAGTGTGACCTCAGGCCCATTTCCTATCCTCTGGAAGGCTCAGCTTCCTTCGCCTAGAGAATGGGGATAATATCCACCCCATAGGCTGGGGATAGGTGTAAAAACTTGATCCCCAGTAGTGACTCAACACAGGGAAGCTGACATTGTGCTATGATACTATGAAATTGTCATCATCATTATCCTGGCCAGTGTCCTGCCCCCACCCCCTGCTCAGGGAGAGTTCTCCCCCAAGTGTCCCTCAGGTGAGAAAGCCTTGCGGGTGGGAGGAGATGGTCATGTTACTCCTGCTGGGACAGGGAAATGTTTAAACTGTCTGTCTCCCTACAGTCTTGGGTAGAAAACACAATTTATGATGTTTTTCCCCCAGATTATTATTATCATTATTATTATTATTATTTGGAGATGGAGTCTCGCTCTGTCACCCAGGCTGGAGTGGAGTGGCATGATCTTGGCTCACTGCAACCTCCGCCTCCTGGGCTCAAGCAATTCTCCTGCCTCAGCCTCCAGAGTAGCTGGGATTACAGGTGCACACCACCACACCCGGCTAATTATTGTGTTTTTAGTAGAGACAGGGTTTCACCATGTTGGCCAGGCTGGTCTCAAACTCCTGACCTCAAGTGATCCGCCCATCTCAGCCTCCCAAAGTGTTGGGATTACAGGTGTGAGCCACTGTGCCCCACTTTTTCCCAGTGTAGACATCCACATTCCAGAAATTTCCAGGTGCGTGCCCTGCTCTTCCCTCTTCCTGTACTATCCTTTGCATCAGTTCTACCAACTGCAGCCCCTTCCCATCCTTCACACAGTCCCAGCGTCACCTCACCCAAGAAGCCCTCCTTGACTGCCTTGGCTTAAAGTGCTCTTGCCCTGACTCCTCTGCCCTTGCTCCCTCCTTTGCTTCCTTCCATTCGTCTTTCTTATTTCCCTCCTTTCTTTTCTTCCCTTTATTTTTCAAATCTCTGGGCCTGGGGCTGTTTTTACCTGCAGAAGGTACAGGCCCCGGTGTCGGTGTTGTTTCCCCAGAGCACCTACAGGGCAGCGGAAGGCAGACACTCAGTGAACAAGCAAGCCCTCCCTCAAAAGCACAGTGGGAGGGTGGGAGGAGGTGCATGTGTGATGTGCCCAGTTCCGTTCCAGGCACCACCAGGCACCCAGCACACATGTGCATCTTTCCCTCCCTCTCCTGCTGGCCCCTGAGCATCCAAACAGGGCCTGCACATGGCTGCTCCTGAGTGGATGCCACGGAACTGAAATGATGGCAAACCCCAGGGAACAGAAACTGCGACTTCAGTCACTTATGTTCCTTGGTACATAGTAGGTGCTTAATAAAGATTTTGAATGAATAAACAAGAGCCAAGCCCTGAGCTTGAGGCTGGGAAAAAATAGGACCTGGGCCAAGAAGCGGCAGCCTTGCCATCTGGATGAGCACCATGGATGCGCAGTCTTGGCGGGAACCCATTAGCTATAGGGCACTCCTGACACAAGACAGGCCATTATTTTCCCAGCGGAAAGATTTTATTTAAAGGGGGTTTTTGTTTGGTTTGTTTGTTTTGCCAATTTCAACATGCAAACTTTTAAGGATATAGAATAACATATGTTAAAATAAGATATTAATTCAAAAACATCATTAATTTCTTCCTATTCTCACATTTCATAAAATGTCACAACAGATCCACTATGGCAGCATATCTCTGACTCTGTGTCCACTGCTCTGTGGATCAGTCAGTAAGCCGAGAGGGTTCTCTGTGGTCAGGGACTCCATACAGACTGAAATCTAAGGCCTAAGGTGCCAGCTTTTTCCAGGGAAATAGTTGTGGGGGAAAAAAACTGCCTTATATTTATCTGGATGGGGTGCCCACGGTGTGCTGAGCTGGCTTGTACAGGCTCATAAGAGCCAAGTGTCACATTTTTAAGAATTTTGTGAGGTAGTTGTTAAACACAGCCAGTACCGTTGGTTCTCAGCCGGGGGCGAATTTGCACCCCAGGGGACACCTGGCAATGTCTGGAGACATTGTGGGCTGTCATGATTTGGGGAAGAGGTGCTACTAACATCTAGTAGGTAGAGGCCAAGGATGCTGCCTGCATAATGCACATGTCAGTCCCCCCAAACCCCCCGCAAAGGATCTCCAGACCAAAATGTTATGGTGCTGATGCTGAGAAACCCTGCTTGGAGCAGTGGCTCATGCCTGCAATCCCAGCACTCTGGGAGGCTGAAGTGGGAGGATCGCTTGAACCCAGGAGTTTGAGACCAGGCTGGGCAACAACCTGTCTTTAAAAAGAGAGAGGAAAAAAAAAAGTTTAAAAAAAAGAAAAATAGAAATCCTAATGTGAACTTACAATTAAATAAACTCTATTAAAAGCAAAGGGAATGCATTTTCTTTTCTTTTCTTTTCTTTCTTTCTTTTTTTTTTTTTTTTTTTTTTGAGACAAGAGTCTTGCTCTGTTGCCCAGGCTAGAATGTGGAATGCAGTGACATGATCTCGGCTCACTGCAACCTCCACCTCCTGGGTTCATGCAATTCTCGTGACTCAGCCTCCCAAGTAGCTGGGATTACAGGTAATGTGCCACCACGCCCACCCAGCTAATTTTTGTATTTTTTTTTTTTTTGGTAGAGACGGAGTTTCACCATGTTGGCCAGGCTGGTCTTGAACTCCTGACCTCAAGTGATCCTCCAGCTTCTGCCTCCCAGAGTGCTGGAATTACAGGCATAAGAAACCATGCCTGGCCCAGGAATGCATTTTCAAAACTGATTACATACTAATTATTTTACTGTTGTTACTATCATACCCTCAAGGGTATTTATGCCTACTATACCTGTATGGTGGAAATGCTATACAATGGTGTCTACTGTTCATCTCTTCCCAACTGCACATTCAGTGACTTCACACTGGTAGAGTGAAATCTGAAGTCAGAGTATTTACATCACAGAAATTGGCAGATGCTAAAATCCCCCACCCTTCTTTTTTTCTGGAGGGCCAGTTGTTACCAGCACACTGTTGGGTGTAACCCTAAGTAGAGAAGATAAATTCACAAGCTTGATGAATCCTTCCCAGTTTCCAGCCTAGGCAGACGACTCAGCACCAGCCTGCTGTATGGATCAAGGATCTGAATGTGGTCGTGTGCACGCACTCTACACACCATGCACAGAAAGACATACACAAATACTAAACAGTAACACACCTGCATCACACTCCACACACACATCTTGTCTACAAACCCCCACATATACAACATGCACACAGCATATAACCGACTAAACATGCACCCCACAGTAGCCCTTCAGTCAGCAGGGGAATAATTTGAATAATGACAAACACAAGCAAAAGAATGACAACCTGACTGACCAAATTCCTTGATATCTGAGCACCTTCACCTTTACTCCCTCCTCATCCTCTGTGATCCACCCTTCCCCGCACACCCCGACACCACACTGCAAAGGCAAAGGTCTCAACCCTCACAAGAAGCACCAAACCCACTGACCCCATTTCAGTCCCGCTGGAGGCCCTGGCCACCTGACTCCCCATCCCTGCTCTGTGCCCAGCTCTCAGGAGACTCCAGAGCTGAGTCTGACCTTGGCCCCTTCCCAGAGCCCATGAAAAGGAGTTCCCTGGGCAACTCCACCCACCTGACCACTTCAGCTGCCACCGATGCCAGTAAGTCCAAACCTCGTCTCCAGCCAGACCCTCTCTGACCCCCACCCATCAGCCTTCAGACATTTCTACTCGATGTCCCCCAACTCCTTAGACAAGTCCCAAACAGCCTTCCCCCATCTCCACCCCGCACTGTTCCTCCCTGTGTTCTCCATCCCCACCTATGCCAGAGGCTGGTGCGCAGGAAGCACTCAATGCACATCTCATGGAGAGAGGAAGAAATCATGTAAATCCCAGAAAGAGAGGAAAAGCAAACTTCCTGGTGAGTCAGATAGAAAGTCTTACCCCATTTTACAGATGAGAGCCCAAAGATTCAGTGGAGTGAAGAGGCCAGCCCAGAAGCAGCGCCAAAGCAGTGGACTGTGAGGTGGAGGGAGCCTGAGCTGGGGGCTGCAGGCAGCAGCAGCCAGGCCAGGGCCAGCCCCGCAGGCTCAGCTCTCCCCAGCCCCAAGTGAGGGGTTAGTTACAAAGAAAAGGAAAAGGCGTTCCTGATACGCGTCCTGTTTCCTCTCCTCCTCCGGGCTTCTCGGGCCATGGAGGGCGGATGTCCCTGGGCTGGCAGCACTCTGCCTGTACACAGACGGGCAGGGGGTGAGGGTCTCCCCAAGGATGGTGACGGTCTCCCTAGACCACTTTCCATTCCAGCAGTCCAGCCTGCATGGAGACAGGGGCTCACCAGAGTGACCCCTCAAGTTTCCCTTCCAGCCTGGGGGAGCCCTTACCCCTTATCCCCAGTGGGTACTTGTCACAGCCAGGCACCTCCTGTCCATCAGAGGATCCCATACAGACACCTTCACCAGGAAGGCTTCTATGTCACCCTCACTTGCTGCAGAGGGCCTTCTTGCAGTCTCCTGTAAGGAGTCTCCTGTCTTCCCTTCCTCCCTGCCCCACAGCAGCCAAGTTTATAAGTGCCCATCTCCGTCCGTAGCTGCTGCCTGTGGGACCTGAGCTCCCCATGAATCAGGGAGCGGAAGGGGTCAAAGTGAAGGGGTCAAAGGTGAAGGCCATAAATGGGGTTTCTTGAGTGAGAGGACAAGATGAGCCTCCATCAGACAGGGGTCCTTCCTGAGGACAGAGGTCAGGGCTCCTCTCTCAAATAGGGAATCTCTCTGAGGGAAGTGGCCATGGATCCCCCATCAGATTGGAGGCTCCTGCAGGATGGAGGCCATGCTTCATTCCTCAGGCACACAGCTCCTACAGAACAAGAGGACTGTGTCCCCTCTGTTACACAGAGAGTCCCAGGAAACAGAAGTCATGGTGCCCCATCAGACAGGAGTGTCCTGGAGGACAGGGCCATGCCTCCTCCATCACACCAGGAGCTCCCAGAGGGCACGATCCCCATCTGCTCCCTCTCCCCAGAAGCTCCCAGGACAGACTTCAGCTCAGTCTAACACACGGGGAAGGTCTTCCCTCTGGAGCAGAACTGACAGGGAGTCTTGCTCACACCCTCCCCTGCCCAGGGTCCCACTCCAACTCCCCATTTATGCTCTCCATTGAACTGAAGCCACCATGCCATATTTATGTCAGCTGTGTGTCTGGGCAGAGGCCAGCAACCTCTGGAGAGATGGCAGGGGGCAACAGGGGGATCCCTGACAAGAGGATCCCAGGACAGGCCATGGCTCCAGCTCTGGCTGGATGTGACCCAGATGGGTATCCACACCTGGCTCTGCCAGTAACTGAGCAAGCCTCTTCCCCCGTGGCCATGGATAGCACCATCCCCATCATCAAACTTTATCAGCACCCACTCCTGGCTAAAGTGGAATAAAGCATCAGGGACAGGGGATAGCAGGCCCTTCCTTAGTCCCACTGTGAGGACAACACTGGCCCTCCCTGGGTGCCAGCCCTGAGCCCGGCCCAAGCAACTTCCACAGTCATCTTTCCTACTCACGGCAGCTCCAGGGAACTGCTATTAGTTAGCATCGATCCACAAAGTACTTTGCCGACACTTTATGAGCTCAGTCTCACCAGAGGCCCCAGGGGCCATAAGCAAGAGGCAGAAACCAAGGCCCAGGAGCTCAGGCCACTGAGTAGAGCCAGGGAGTCGCTGAGCCAGCATTTGAAACCAGGCCCCATGACCAAGGCCCAAGCGAGCCCAGAGACAGCACTAAGTAAATGTTTACTGAATGCCTGTTCACTGAAAAGCAATCTGACTGGATTTTGGTAACAATCTGGGCATATTTTCTTATTAAGAAATTTGGCCTGGCACAGTAGCTCACGCCTATAATCCCAGCACTTTGGGAAGCCAAGGCGGGTGGATCACGAGGTCAGGAATTCAAGACCAGCCTGGCCAACATGGTGAAACCCTGTCTCTACTAAAAATAAAAAAAATTAGCTGGGTGTGATGGCACACACCTATAATGCCAGCTATTCGGGAGGCTGAGGCAGGAGAATTGCTTGAACCTGGGAGACGGAGGTTGCAGTGAGCCAAGATAGCACCACTGCACTCCAGCCTTGGCGACAGAGTGAGAATCCATCTCAAAAAAAAAAAAATAGCCCTACAGTAATATTTTTTTCTGGAGAAAGGGTCTCACTATATTGCCCTAGCTGGTCTTGATCTCCTGGGCGCAAGTGAGCCTCCCACCTCGGCGTCCTGAGTAGCTGCAATTACAGGTACATGCCATCATGCCCAGTGATTATTTTAAGACATACCATTTGTTAATTTGTCATGTGCTAGGTACTTTAAATATTTATGTTTAATCTCAAGGATAACTCAAGGAGAAAAAGCCAGTATCCTCATTTTACAGAATTGGAAACTGGAGGCTAGGGAGGGGAAGAGAAAAGTTACCCAGTTCAGGGGAGGCAACGCCCGCCTGGCGGCCCCAAAGCCCCTGCTCCTTTTCTGGCCCACACAGCTCCCTGTGCTCTCAGAAGGTGGCCTGGGGAGGCCAGAGGCCCACAAATGGGCGCAGCCAGCATCAAAGTGCTCAGGCAGCCTGCCTGGTGGGCCTGACCCCACATTGCAGGGATCCCTGGAGGAGAGGGCCCAAGCCCTGCTCCCTCAGGGAGCTTTGCCAGGCCTCTCTGAGGGCACCTATTTCACACCCCTGCCTTGGTGGGAATCATTCATTTGAGAACTTGCCCCCCAGGATGGGAGCTCCTCCAGGGCAAGGCCTGTGCTTGGCACAGAGAAGGTGCATCATAAAGGAGTTAAGGGCACAGGCTTAGGGTCAGGCAGGCCTGTAGCCTCATCACCCTGCAACGCAGCCGTCTTGAGTGAAATGAGGCCCTGGCACAGAGTTGGAGCTCTGTGAATGGTGAGAATACTAACCCCTACCACAGCAAGCGGACCCACTGGTGGCCTTGGGCAGGTCCTTGTCCATCTTGGCTTCAGCTGGCTTACGTGCTGTCACTGGGGGTCACATTACCTCACAGGAGGCTAGGTAGGTGGGAGGAAATAATGGGTATATGAGGAGTCCTGGGGAGACCAGAGTGCTGAGCAGAGACAAAGGCCTGATATTAGGACAAGGCTGAATTATTGAGCATTTTAAATAAATGCATTTCCATTACTTCCAAGAATACACAGGCCTTGCAGATAAGGTGGGCACAGCAAAGCCAACCAAGAGCAGCTGTGCCTCAGTGAGGCAGGGAGCAGGGGAGGAGCATTCTAGAGCATCTCCAGACCATTCCCCAGACATACACTGGGACTTGGTAATATGCAACCCCCAAACCTTCCACTTGCTCCTCAAAACAGTTCCCTTTTATGGCTTCAGGAGGGGTAGTAAGAAGCCCGCAGGAGGAACGGTGCTGGCCCTCTTAGCCACCAACCTATCTGGAGTGACCTTCCCAGAACCAGCTCTGCCTGCCACAACCTAGAAGCTCAAGCCATCTGATCCCAAACCTCGGGGAGAACTGCGCAAATGGAAATCGATGTGGGGAGCAATGGGGAATGGGGTCTCGCTCTCTCCCCTGGTATTTAATGGCTATGTTTGGACATGGCATCTTACCTTTCCTGTCCTCACCTGGATAATAGGGCAACACAGCCTGCTCCAGGGTGTTGAGGGGGATGAAAGGCCAACGTCTGTATGCGCCTGGCATGTAACCTGGGTTCAACATAGGTAGGTGAGTGCACTGAGAGGCACTGGGAACACCAAGGGGAACAAGGCCATCCAGGGCCCTGCCTCTGTGGGGCTTAAAGTCTAGCAGGGGGGAAAAGGTATAAGGAATCGCATGTAAGAACACCTGCAGGAAGCGGAGGAGCCTTTGGTCACCATGCTACATTGTTTCCAACATTTATTTTATACTCTCTGTGTATCCAACCGGCACCAGGCAGTGGGACACAGGCTTCCCACGGGGTTTGGAGTGTGGTGGATGAGCTTACGGAATGTGCTTCCTTAAGACCTAGATGGCCTTTCCTTCAGCACCTTCCTTTGGCTCACATTTCACCCTCATGAGGAAACCTCATGAGCAACTCAGCCCCTGTGCTGTCTGATTATCAGCAGGAGGCAGTGGGCATGGGCATTCATGCCACAGAGAGAGAAGGACCTGAATGATTTGGTTGCCTGCTTTTAGCTCAGGTTCATGTGAATCTGATTGAGTCAGTCATGTGGTCTGCTCAATTCTAAGGGCTGGACTGACATGTGGCAACTTTGTACAGGCCAGACCCCAGGAGGCCGGCTCCCCAATTGCCTTTGCCACACTGCCTCTGTCCCACCACAACCACAGTGACCTTAAGGAGCAGAAGGGTCTGTTACAAATGTACTGCCCACATAGGGTAGGGGAGACAGATGTCCAAACCAATACCCAGCCTACCAAAGGCACCCTATGAGAGGGTTATAAAGAGACCACAGGGCCAGGCGCGGTGGCTCATGCCTGTAATCCCAGCACTTTGAAAGATCAAGGCAGGCAGATCATCTGAGGTCAGGAATTCGAGACCAGCCTGACCAACATGGTGAAACCCCGTCTCTACTAAAAATACAAAATTAGCCTGGCGTGGTGGCACATGCCTGTAATCCCAGCTACTTGGGAAGCTGGGGCAGGAGAATCACTTGAACCCGGGAGGCACAGGTTGCAGTGAGCTGAGATGGTGCCGTTGCACTCCAGCCTGGGCAACAAGAGTGAAACTCTGTCTCAAGAAAATATAAAAATTAAAAAAATTAAGAGGCCACAGCAATTCCGAGAAAGGAGCAGCTCCATTCTTTCTGGGATGGGCAGGGGGCTGTTGAGAAAGTTGCAGAGAGCAGGTGACATCTGAGCTGGACTTGAAGCACAATGAAGAGTTTGTCAGATTGTCAAATTGCAGAAGAGAACGTTAAAGGAACAGGCTATGCATGGAATGCACATCCTTACATAGCAGACTGCACATTTCAAAAATCAGTTCAAAATCACAATCTCGTTTCACCCTCTCAAATCCCATAATGGTGTTATTAACTGCCTCTCCCACGGCCCTCCACCTGCCACACACAGGCAAACAAAAAAAGTAAGGTCCAGTGAAGGCAGATGGTGAGCCCCAGGGCAAACAAACGGTGACTGATTTCTGAGTAGAGGGAAGTGAGGGGTGGACTCTGGCTGAAATGGTCCTCTTCTCACTGAAGTGGGGGATTCCTGAATTCCTGTCCGGCGGCAGCACCCCACTTCGGCCCCTGCTGGCCTGTGACACCCTCCTCTCATCCCCAGCATACACACACACTCCTCCGGCCACCAGGGCCTGTCAGAAGGGGCTGGCTGAGAGGGGACGGCCGGCAGAGGAACCAAGCAGCAGGGCCTGGGCCGAGGGGCTGGGAAAAAGCTGACCGTTCTCGAAGGCCCAGATCGGAGGCCCTGCCCAGCCTCTTCCCCTCCTCTAAGTGCTGATCACCTCAGCCTCTCCCGCTGCAAGTCTCCTTCCATGGCCTCTCCTCTCCCATCTCTTGCAGTGGCTGCTGCTGGCCTCTCCCTTCTCCTTCCTCCACCCTCGCCCTCCCCGGGGAGTGGTGAGCTCAGCCTTTCCCAGCAGCCGTCCCTAGGAATGATGGGAAATGCACCGCCAGGAACTGAGAACAGGCCTGCCCCTGGGAAGGAGTGGGAGAAGAGGCGTCAGGGACAGGGCTCAAGTCTGCCACTTCCTAGGACCCCTGACCGCCGAAGGGACAGTCTGCCTGTGTGTACTGCACGCTGGAAGGACATGGGCTCAGACTGTGTGGACTGCCAGGGACCTTGTCTTACAGATGGGGAGACAAAGGCCCCAGGAGAGGAGAAAGGGGACTGACTGCCTGTCCCAGGCATTGGGAGCCTTTCATTGTCTCATGTCATCCTCACAACTGCTCTGCAAGGTGTGTGTGGTAGGCTGAGTAACAGCCCCCCGAGATGCCCACATCCTAATCACCAGAGCTGTGGCTGTGTTGGGTCATGTGGTAGAAGAGATTCTGCAGATGTGATTTTGTTCAGGGCCTTGAGATGGAGAGATTATCCTGCATGACCTGGGTGGGCCCAATGTCATCACAAGGGTCCTGACAAGAGGGAGGCAGGAGGGTCAGAGAGAGTAAAGGCAATGGGGTGATGGAAGCATTGAAAGACAGACGAAAATCTACACTGCTGGCTTCAAAGCTGGAGGATGGGGCTGGGAGCCAAGGCATGCAGACAGCTTCTGGAAGCCAGCAGAGGCAAGGGAATGGATCCCCGCTAGAGTTTCCAGAGGACACAGCCCTGACAACCCATTTCAGGACTTTGGACCTCCAGAAGTGTAAAGAATATATTTGTGTTGTTTTAAGCCACTAAATATATGGTAATTTGTAACAGGAGTAATAGGAGACTAATACGACAGACATTCTTATTCCCATTCTGCGGACCAGGAAACTGAGGCTCACAGAAGGCTCATAACTCCCTCAGGCCAGGTGTGGTGGCTCACACCTGTAATCCCAGCACTTTGGGAGGCCAAGGCGGGCAGATCACTTGAGGTCAGGAGTTCGAAACCAACCTGGCCAACATGGTGAAACCCTGTTTCTGCTAAAAATACAAAAATTACGGGCGTGGTGGCTCTTGCCTGTAATCCCAGGTACTTGGGAGGCTGAGGCAGGAGAATTGCTTAAAGCTGGCAGGTGGAGGTTGCAGTGAGCTGAGATTGAGCCACTTCACTCCAGCCTGCGTGACAGAGTGAGACTCCATCTCAAAAAATAATAACAATTATAATAATAACTCCCTCAGGTCCTTCGGGAATCTCTATGGGCTCTTAAGGTTGGGGGCCCCTCAGCCAAGGCTTCAGGCTAGGGGGAGAGTCTGAGGAGGAGGCAGCGGTCTGCCACTGTAGGCTAAGGCTGAGGACAAGAGAGAGAACTGGAGAAGGTTAAGCTTTGTGCCTTATTACAGCTGGGCCCTTCCAGATCCCGTGACTAAGAACTGCCATGTCCTGACTGAGAAGCAGGGAGGCGTGTGACACACAGGAAGGGCCCTGGCTGTGCAGCTGGGATTGGCTGGCTGAGTGTTTGCCGGATTAACTGAGATGAAATGAAATCCCCTACTTAGCTCTTGGATCCTGATAAAACCCCTGTGAGGAAATTCCTTATCCCTCTGCATTACTGGTAAGGAAAATTGGTCCCCCGGGTTAGTGACTGGCCCAAGTTCTCCCAGCTAGTAAGCAGTGGAGTCTGGGTATTCATAATGAGCAACAGAAAAAGCATCACAGCCAGGCCTGATGGCTATTGAGTGCTTCTTACGTGCCTAACACTGCCTTAACAGTTGCAGGCATTTTCTCAGTCATTCCAGATGCAAACCTGATCACGTGCCTCCTCTGCCTAAAAACTCTTAACCGCTCCCAAGAGCTCTTCACAATCTGGCCTCTGTCCAGCCTCCAGCCTCCCTCCCACCATGCTCCCTGCCCCCACACACCCTCCAGCCACACTGACCTTGGTCAGTTCCCTGGAGCCACCAACTTCCTTCTCACTTCGGGGTCTCCCACAGGACTCCAGTCCCACCAGCCTGGGGCCCCACTAACACAGGGTGGAGAAACCATGGGTCCTGGCCACCTCTGCTCCCCATTGTGTGTAAGGAAGGGATAGGGCCAGGGGTCAGCCCACAATGGCAAGGGGCCTGGGAGGCTGGAGTCAAGAGGGCCCAAGTCAGCCAGTCATCTTCTTAGTAAAGATAACAGCAGACTGGATGCCGCAGGGCATGGTGGCACAGCTCCCAGGGATGCCCCCCCTCCAGCAGAAATGCAGACCCCAGGACACTGGAGCAGAGGGGGTTTGTGGAACACAAGGTGTCCCCTTAAGAGCATGCATGGCAACATGAGGCCCACAGAAGGGCAGGACTTGCTGCAGGCCCCAGAGTGTCACTCTGGGAGTCAGGTCAGAGCAATGGTTAAGGCTTTGGGATCTGCCACTCACTAGCTGGGTAACTGAACCTCTGACTCTCGTCTCTAACAACAGCACGTTTTTTTTTCTTTGAAAAAAAACTTTGTTGCCCAGGCTGGAGTGCAGTGGCACCATCACAGCTCACTGCAGCCTTGACCTCCCCAGGCTCAGGTGATCCTCCCACCTCAGCCTCCCAAGTATCTGGGACTACAGGCATGTGCCACACCACCACACCCAGCTCATTTTTGTATTTTTTGTAGCGATGGGGTTTCACCATGTTGCCCAGGCTGGTCTCAAACTCCTGACCTCAGGTGATCCACCCGCCTCGGCCTCCCAAAGTGCTAGGATTACAGGCGTGAGCCACCACGCCCAGCCAACAGTGCCTTTCTTCACTGATGCATGTGGAGCACCTGGTTCAGTGCCCGGTGAACAGAGAGGCCCGTGGTAGATGACAGCTGCTCTTTCCATTGAGAGAGCAGGGCCTGCACTCGGGACGCCTGGGTCCCAGTTAGTGCTGCTTCCACCACCACCACCACCACCCCACGCTGCGGGATGGGGGAGATCACCCGCTGTAGTGAATTTTAACAATTTCATGTTGCTTGGGCACCCACTCTGAGTATGTCAGACTTTCTCGTACCAGAAGCAGGGCTCAGTCACCCTTGACACAGCTTCCAGTGCTCGGCCTCCTCCCAGTTCCTCAATGTGATCCATCCAGGTATCTGCCTTATGCAACCTCCTCCTGGTGACCACCTCGCTATGGGACAGCCAGACAGAAGCCACCTAACTTGCCCATTGACCCCCACACCCACATGGGCTACATGGATTTGCCGCAGTGACCCCCCTCAGTCACCATGCCTTATGCCTGCTTGCTCTAATCCCAGCAATTATATTTACCCACAGAAACTGCGTGGGTAACATCTTGCACCCCAACAAAGCCTCCAGTCCACAGGTCCTCCCATCTCTCTCTTGCTCCAACTCACTGGCTAAGCACGGGGTCCCAGGCAGCTTCCCGCTGCCCTCCCCTCTGTGAGTAATACTCTGCTTCTGTTATTTCCTGGGTTTTGCTGGCTACTTCCTCAGTGTCTCACCTGACCACGTACTCTCCTAGAGAGTGGTTTTCTTGGTAGGAATAAACGGACACAGGTCAGAAAAGAGCCACAAGGCGCCTTCCACTATAAGCCAGTTTCCTGTGAGAGAGACACCTGGTCACGGCTGGATACTTAGGCATCAGACCATCCACCAGGATAAAGAAGCATCTCATGAAAGGCACACTGTGGACCCCCACAAACACCTGCCCTGGAACTCCGTCAGCAGGGCTAGAATTTATAGCCATTCTCAGAGAGAGACCTCAAGACCAAATTAGAGGAAAATACACTCACGCCACCCCTACTCTATGATATAGCTGGGTGGGTTTAATTAACCCCTCAGGTGGGACCCAAACAGGGAGGACACCTGGAGAGGTGGCACTCAGCTGTTTCTGGAGCCTCTGCTTCTGGGCCTCAAAGCTGGTTACAGGTGGGGTGCCGTGGCTCATGCCTGTAATCCCAGCACTTTAGGAGGCCGAGGCAGACAGATCACCTGAGATCAGGAGTTCAAGACCAGGCTGGCCAACATGGTGAAACCCCGTCTCTACAAAAATACAAAAATTAGCCAGGCATGATGGCGGGTGCCTGTAATCCCAGCTACTTGGGAGGCTGAGGCGGGAGAATTGCTTGAACCCGGGAGGCAGAGGTTGCAGTGAGCCAAGATTGCACCATTGCACTCCAGCCTGGGTGACAGAGTGAGACTCTGTCAAAAAAAAAAAAAAAGTGCTGGTTATGTCCTTATCTCCTCTGGTCATCTATAGAAAAGAGGTGATCGGCTTCGTTTTCCTTACAATTAAAGGAAGGGGCCAGCACTGCCCCAGCAGAGTGAGCCTAGGCTAGAGGAACTCCTAATTCAAAACTGAGCTCCCTACTTGCAAACCGACAGAAGGGAAAGAGGAATGGACTATTCACTGAGCACTTCCAGCGGGTGGGTGTCATGGGAACCTGCCATGAAACATCTCGCTTAAACCCCACAACAGCACAACGAGAGGGGCTAGGCAGTAGTCCAGTCCCATTTTGCCAGGCACGATGGCTCACCCCTGTAATCCCAGCAACTCAGAAGACACAGGCAGGAGAATCATTTAAGGACAGGAGGTCAAGACCAGCCTAGGCAAGACAGTGAGACTTATCTCTTTAAAAAAATTTTTTTTTAATTAAAAAAAATAATAGGCCAGGTGCAGTGGCTCACGCCTGTAATCCCAGCACTTTGGGAGGCTGAGGTGGGCAGATCATGAGGTCAGGAGTTTGAGACCAGCCTGGGCAATATGGTGAAACCCCATCTCTACTAATAATACAAAAATTAGCCATGTGTAGTGGCGCGTACCTGTAGTCCCAGCTACTCGGGAGACTGAGGCAGAAGAATCGTTTGAACCCGGTAGGTGGAGGTTGCAGTCAGCCGAGATCGAGCTACTACTGCCCTCCAGCCTGGGCAACAGAGCGAGACTCCGTCTCAAAATAATAATAATAATAATCCCATTTTGCTTACATGAAGCTAAGGTTCCCAGAGGTAAAACAACTTAACTTGTGGCACTGGCTGGCAAAGTCATTCTCCTCCACTGTGTCAGGTGGCCTCTGGGTAACGGCCCCATTTCCATTCTAAATGGCTACAGTCTAGGGTCTTTTTGAAGGAAAGGAACCCAGATCAGGAAGATGAGGCCCCCAAAGCAGCCTCTCACCCACCCTTAGCCCCTATGGCCCATCTCCTCCCTCCAGGTGCTCTCCCCTCCCATCAGCCTACCCCAGAGGCTGGTTATTAACTTCTGTGAAAATAACACATAGCAGTGCTGCTGCCTCCCCCAACCCCCGACGGCATCCTCACCCCCACACCCGGTTCACAGCCACTCCTTCTCTGAGTTTTGCTCCTTTGGCACTTCCAAAGCCTTTAGTGAGCTGCAACTAGGTCAGATCCCCCCATCAGACAATCTCCTGTGCCTGCACTTTTCCCTCGGAGCACATTTCACAGTGTGCATCTCTTGCCGTCTGTCTACCTGCTCCAGACCATAAGCCCCATTAAGCCAAGGACATGTCTGTTTTGCTGCCATGGTATCCCCAGGGGTGTGCACCGCACTGGCACCCAGCCTCAGAGTCACTCCACACTCGCCTGTGCCAGGCCCTGTGCTAAGAGCTGTGCTTAGGCATCACACTTAACCCCCATCAGTGCTCCAGCAGAGTGAGAATGATCATCCGGCTGCACAGATGAGGACAGCGAGACTCTGAAAGGTGAAGTGACTTCCTAGAGGTTACCCCCTAGCCTGGGTCACGGCAGGGACCAGCACCGAGGACTAGCTACATAATTTGTGGGCCCCGGTGCAAACTGAAAATGTGCTCAGATGTCAAGACAAAGTCCTGACTCGAAGTCAAAGCCAGGCTCCACCCACCGAGACGCTTAGGTCCCCTAAGGCAGTGGGTCTCACACTTGAGCTGGGGTCACAATCACTGGAAGGGCTTGTTAAAAAACAGGTTGCTGGGGCCCAGTCCTAGAGTTCTGATTCAGTGGATGTGATGTCGGCCTGGGAATAAGCATTTCTAACTTTTTTTTTTTTTTTTTTTTTTTTTTTGAGAGAGAGAGAGATTGGATCTCACTCTGTTGCCTCAGCTGGAGTACAGCACAATCATAGCTCACTGCAGCCTCAAACTCCTGGACTCAAACAATCCTCCAGCTTCAGCCTCCTGAGTAACTGAGACTACAGGAACATGCCTGGCTAATTTTTTTATTATTATTTGTGGAGACAAGGTCTCACTATGTTGCCCAGGCTAGTCCTGAACTCCTGGGCTCAAAAGATCTCCCCATGGCTGGGCACGGTGGCTCATGCCGATAATCCCAGAACTTTGGGAGGCCGAGGTGGGCGGGGCACCTGAGGTCAGGAGTTCGAGACCAGCCTGGCCAACATGGTGAAACCCCATCTCTACTAAAAATACAAAAATTAGCTGGGCATGGTGGCATGCACCTTTAATCCCAGCTACTCAGGAGGCTGAGGCAGGAGAATTGCTTGAACCTGGTAGGCGGAGGTGGCAGTGAGCTGAGATCACGCCACTGCACCCTAGCCTGGGCAACAGAGTGAGACTCTGTCTCAAAAAAAAAAAGCAAGAGAGATCCTCCCGCCTCAGCCTCCCAAAGCACTGGCACTGGGATTATAGGAGTGAGCCACTGCGCCCAACATAACTGTTGCATTTCTAAAGGGGATGCTGATCCTGTGGCCCACAGACACTGAGAACTGGGCTGTCAGGGCTGAGGATGTCCAGGATCCTTCAAACAATAGTCAGGCCCTCAGTCCAAATGGCCAGCCCTACTAAGAAGGAGAGGAGCACATGGGAGTAGGGGCAGAAGGAAAGGAGGAAAAAGAAAAACTTTACACAAGTTTCCTTGTTTGATTTTCATAACAATCTTGCCAGGTAGGTTCTATTATCTTTATTATAGAAACAACTGTAGCACACAGAAGTCAATAATTTACCCCGGGTCCCAGCCAGGAAATTACGGAGACCAGAACTGAACCTGGTTCTATCTATGTTAGGTAGCTAGAACCTGCTTGAACCACAGCTGGCTCCAACAGGTTCAAACCCCATAACCTGCTCGCCCAGGGGAGCAGAGCCCAAGCCTCAGGAGGGAAGGATTAGCACAGCCTCAAGCCCTGGGGAGCCCTGGCAAGCCCCCAGGATCCTCCCCTTCCACTGCCTGCGTGCTCTCCAAGCCCAGGCCCGCAGCACAGAGACCCGGGACCAGGTGAGGGGGCCAATCACTGGTGCCACTCCAGGAGGCCAGGGTGCCCATGCCCAGATGAAAGGTTCCTCACACATGTCCTAAGTGCCAGATCTGACCACACTGTTTCAGACTTTGCACAGGCTGCTCCTGCCTGGAATGCCCTTCCCACCCTGCCTCTCTGTCCAACTCTTACTCATCCTTCAAAATGCAGTTGGGCTCTGGGAAGTGTTCCCTCAGCACCTTGTCCGTCCTCACTGCTCCATCAGGTCACCCTGCGATTTCCTGGCTGCTCCTCCAGCCATTCACTGCACAAAAATTTAATAAGCATCTGCCCTGCCCCAGGCACAGTGCAAGGTGCTAAGGCTACAAGGCCGAGGTTGGGCTCTGTCAGGCCAGGATGTACGCTGGTTTCATCCCTGTGAAGCTCTGTAAGCCAGGAGGAGCAGACAGGGAAAGGGACCGTAAGGGTCCCCAGGGGGACCCCTTGGGGTTTGAAAAATTAGAAGTACTCAAATTCTACATTCCAGGCCACTTGCCTAGGTGGTGGGGTGGAGGGTAGCCCCCACCCAGTGCTTCCAGGCCTGGAGTAAAGATGCTTGGCAAAGCAGCACAAAACTCCTACCAAACAAATACGAAGCATGCTATGTACCTCTGTGTCAAGAGGCCCAGTTGGCTGTGAACTCCCCAGGAAACCGAAGCCCCATCGGGGACAGGGATGAGACCAAAGTCCCCCCCAGAGCAGGAGGCAGCCCTGGAGTGGTCCTGCAGCCTCTTCTCCCAGGAGATTTGGGCTTCAACAGAGGAGGAAGAGAAGAGGTGAGGTGCCCCCATCCTGAAGGATTTGCCTACAGACCCTCCACTGGTGAAGAGGGCATTAAGGGTGCACCCTGGGAAGCCACAGCCCACAGAAGCCCCAGGCCGGAGAGGATGGCTGCTGCCTGCCCAAGGTGGGGAGGGGGCTGGAGTGGAGCCAGGCTGGCGGAGGAAACATCTTGATCAGCAAGCAGGAGGAAAGGAGGAGGAATGAGAAAGGAGGAAAGAGCCAGACATGCAAACTCCTCCGCCTCCTCCTTCCAACCAAAACAGAATCCCCAGCAGACTGAGACCTGTGGAGAAGGAGGCGGGAAAGAAGCTGAGGCCTCCAAGGGCGGGTGGCTGGATGGTGGCCCTGAGGCTGGAGCCTCTGAAAGCTTGGGGGGCTGGATAGCCCCACCAGAGATGGGGAGGGATCAGTCATCAGGGCCTGCTCAGCTCTGTTCCCGCAAGGGCTGAAGGCTCCAGGAGGAAGAGGCCATGGGCTCCACATGGTAACTCCGATTCCTCCTTCGAGACCCCACTCAAGTACCCAACTCTTCCCAAAGCCCTCAGACCTGACCTCAGCTGGGCTGGCTCCAGCACCGCACAAACTCAAAAACATTGTAGAGTAAAATTCATCCTAGTCTCTGGAAAGCCTGGAATCTGCTAGGAAACCCAAGGAACCCAGAAGAGGAAGTGCCAGCACAGAGATGGCCCTGGACTCCCAGACCACTGGGCGCTGGGACACACTTCATTTCCATTCGCAAAGCCTTCATGGGGGCCTTTTCCTCTGGTGGGACAGGAGGCTGGGATGAGGAGACAGGAGGGGCCATGGGAGCTGAGCAATAGGGAGACATCATCTTTGCCCCTCTGCCCTCAACACAACACACGTGCACAGACACACACATACACTCACTAGTGGGGGCTAAGAGGCTCCCAGGGACCTATGTGTCTTGGACAAATCCTTTGACTTCTCTTGTTCTCTGTTTTCCCTCACCTGCACACCTGCTTTCCTGCCCTCCTTCCTTTCAGGAGAGGCACAAGGTAAAGTTTAGGCCTCCAGGTAGGTAAGAACAAAGGCCTCTGGTATGACCTCAGCACGTGGAAGAAAATCCCACCCCACGTGGAAGAAAATCCCACCCCATTCCTGCTCACCCCCCCCCACCACCATCCCCCCACCTCTTCCTCAGGACTCTATTATGGCAGAGTGAGCCTGGGAGGCAGAAGCTGTGGTCAGGAAAGTAGGCAGCCAGGCTTGGAGCCCAAGGGGAGAGTGACCACCAAAGTAACCCATCTCCTGTCCAGGGCCTTTTCTCTCCTTCTTCTCTCCCTGCTGGCGGAAACCACCTTCCTTACACACATGCTCACCACCATTTGAGAGAGGCTTTATGGGATGACTTTAGTCTGTGTTTTCCTTACAGCCCTCATCTGAGTTACTTGAAGCTGCTGGAATTTAGGGGTCCTTCTTTCATTCACTTTTTTATCCTAGTGAACTGGTCTGCCTTGGTTGGAACCGGCTAGAGGGCATCAGTCAAGTGACCTCCCCTCACTCAACTTGTTTCTTCATCTGTAAAATGGGATGATAGCAGTGCCCACCCCATCAGGTTGTTCTGAGGATTAAGTGAGTGTAGTGTCTGGCACCTAGTAATACACATTAGATCTTCTTATGAATATTCAACAGAATTTATTGAGCACCTATTGTGTGTCAGATGCTGTTGGCCATCAGACATATGGTGAATAGGGCAGATTTGGGCAAAGGGCCCTGTCTACATAAAGCTTCCCGTCTGGCCAGGGAAACTGCAGGGCTCTGCACTACACAACTCCTTTGGTTACCATGACACAGATCACAGTGCAAACAGAACACAGAGCGTTCCTACAAGCAGGTAACACAGCAGCCCTGCAAGACAGGCATCATACAAACAAGTATATGGTGACTCTCACAATAAATGCTATAAAGTGGAGGGCTCCAAGAGCCCAGGATGGGCACAGACCAGCCTAAGGAGTCAGGGAAGTCTTCCCCAAGAAAGTGACATCCGGGCTAAGAGTTGAAGAAGCAGCAGTACTAACTCCAAAAGGGACAAGGGCTGGGGTGCTGAACTGGGGCAAAACAAAACCAAACCTACCAGCCAGACGCCTGTTATCCCAGCACTTTGGGAGGTTGAGGCAGATGGATCACCTGAGGTCAGGAGTTCGAGACCAGTCTGGCCAACATGGCAAAACCCTGTCTTTACTAAAAATACAAAAACTAGCCAGGCATGGTGGCACATGCCTGTAATCCCAGCTACTTGGGATTCTGAGGCAGGAGAATCGCTTGTACCCAGGAGGCAGAGGTTGCAATGAGCCAAGATCATGCCACTGCACTCCAGCCTGGGCAACAGAGCAAGACTCCATCTCAAAAAACAAAACAACAACAACAAAAAACACCAAACCTACTATGGGAGGGTTCTAGGGGAAGACAGGGGAATCACTGAAGGTACAAGGCCAGCAGGGACATGGGGGCAGGGCCTGGTCACCAGAAGGCCAGATCAGAAGTGTGGATATTACTCTGTCACCGTGATAAGATGTTGGTGGGGTTTCAGCAGATAATTGACACAATGCAGTCATGCTTTAGTACGTTCACTTTGGCTGCTGGGAGGCGAATGGAAGGGCAGAGAGACTGGAGTGGAAGCAGAGAGACCAGTTAGGAGGCAGATTCAACTAGACTGCTCTGGGTTCAAATCCTAGATCTGCCGTTTATTAGATGGGAAACCTCTCAGGGTCTCAGTTTTCCCTTCTGTAAAATGGAGATTACAACAGTGTCTACTTCCTGGGTTGTTGTGAGGATTAAATGAGCAACTTTACGCATGTAAAGAACTTGGAACAATACCTGGACCACAGGAAGTGCTGTATGTTTTGCTGATATTATTCATCTGGGTCAGAAATGAGGGTGGCCCAGATTAGGGAGGTAGCAATGAGAGAGAAAGAGAAAACTGGACAGATTCAGAGATAAAATCAATAGGTCTTGCTCCAAGCAACCAGCTGCTCCAGCCCACCTTGTGCCACCTGCAGCCATCAGAGAGACCCTAAGCCAGAACTGCCCAGCGGAGCTCTTCCCAAACTCCTGACCTACAGAAACCACAGTCCATAACAAAATGAATGTTGTTGTTTTGAGCCACTAAGTTTTTGGGTGATTTGTTATGTAGCAAAAGATAAATGGAACAACCCTCATTGAAATGTACCTAGAGGGGCCGGGCGTGGTGGCTCACGCCTGTAATCCCAGCACTTTGGGAGGCCGAGGCGGGTGGATCACTTGCGGTCAGGAGCTGGAGACCAACCTGTCCAACATGGTAAAATCCTCATCTCTACTAAAAATACAAAAATTAGCCAGGCGTGGTGGTGCATGCCTGTAGTCCCAGCTACTCGGGAGGCTGAGGCATGAGAATTGCTTGAACCCAGGAGACGAAGATTGCAGTGAGCCCAGATCACGCCACTGCACTCCAGCCTGGGCAACAAGAGCAAGACTCCGTCTCAAAACAAAAAAGAAAAAAATAAGTGTACCTGGAGAGGAAACCTTCTCTCCCCCCATGAGCAAGAAGGGAAGCAGCTGAGCAGGAAGGAAGCGGAAAGGTGTGCAGGGAAGATGGGAGGGGCTGAGAGCCAAGCCTGGGACCTCTGAGCCACCCAGGGTCCAGGCTCTGCCTTCAGGAAGTGACGGGATAGCTCCAAAGCTAATCATTTCAGCACTATTTACAAAACCAAACACCTGGAAATAATGTAAATACCAAAGAAGGGGCTGGTTAAACTGTAGGGCACCCACATGAGGAACAATCATTAACGAATCGAGATACTACGAGTTAATAGCATAGGAGATACTGAAGAAAAAAAAACGTATTCAAAATTTTACATACAGTTTAATCACAATGGAGCTTGAATACACAAACACATGCATGCACACACACACAGCAAGAAGCACAAACACCAAAAAGTGTTAGAAATGTTGTTTCTAAATGATGAAATTCTGGATGATTGCTCTCTTCTCCTTGTCTAATGTGGAGGGTTTTGTTGTTGCTTAAATAATTACTGAAAGATAACTGTTAGTTCTTTCAAGCCCTCAGAACTCAGGCTGTGTGCCCGCGCCCTCCCCCCAGGTCTAGGGGAACATAGCACCAGCATCAGTTGCTCCATGAGGGCAGGGATTCTTGCCTGCTTCCTTTACTGCTGGGACAGCGCCTAGCACACAGCAGGCTGGCTGAGCACTTCCTGGTGAATGAATGAATGAATGGTCTTTATCTGCCCGTGCGAAGCTCCTCTGAGTCCACAGCAGCCGCCCTCGTCAGCCTCAGGTAGGGATGAGGTCTGGCCCCACTCCATGTCCTCAGGGTTCAGAACAGGGCCTGGCACCGAGGAGGCACTAGCAAGGGCCGTGAATGAACGAAGGGCTGAATAAATGAACATCCTACCCAAAGAAGCCCTCCCTGATCACCGTTGCCGAGCCCTGGAGGCCTGGGGAGTGTGCGTGTGGGTGTGGGTGTGGAATAGGGGGCAGCAAGAATGGAAACATACCTGGGTCTTCTGAGAACCCAGAGAGCCTGTGCACCTGACTCCAACTCCACCTGCCTCCTCGGGCCCCTTCCCTTTCTGCTGCGACTTTGCCTGTTTGGTCCCCTTCTGAGACCACAGAAAAGTTCTGGAAGGTTCTAACTGCTACGTCTACACTCAAAGTGTAGCTGTTTTTAAAAGGAGAAGAGAGCAAGGCCCTTCCTAGACTTTTCTGCCTCTCTAACCACCCCCACCCCTGTCCCTGGGAGAAACCTCTGGGAGGGAAGCCAGCACATGGGGACCCAGGGCTGGTGGCTGGCGTGAGGTGAGGCAGGGAGGGATGCAGGTGTCAGAGACTCAGGCAGGGCTGGGCGGGAGGGCCTTGGGGTAGAGACCTGAAGAAAACCCTGTGGAAGGAAATGGCAGAGAACGTATGCTGGTTGTCAGGGTTGGAGAAAGGACTACATGGTGCAGGGGTGACAACTGAGGCTGGCAGTGGGGGAGGTGCCAACATGGAGAGATTGACCGTAAGGAGGACCAGCAGTGGAATCAGATTGTTTTTGTCCAGGAGAAGTGAGGTCAGACTGAGCCTGAATGGCTACCAGAGGGGTGGGGCAGGAATCCCCCGACCCTCACCCCAGCCCCTACTCTGGCTGCCCAGAATGCCAGCCCAAAAAAGGCAGTTTACTTTGTTTTTGTTTTTGTTTTTCAACAGGGTCTCTCGTTCTGTCACCCAGGCTGGAGTGCAGTGGCACAATCTCAGCTCACTGCAACCTCCGCCTCCTGGGTTCAAGCGATTCTCGTGCCTCAGCCTCCTGAGTAGCTGGGATTACAGGCATGTACCACCACATCCAGCTAACTTTTGTATTTTTAGTAGAGACAGGAGTTTCACCATGTTGGCCAGGCTGGTCTCAAACTCCTGACCTCAAGTGATCTACCTGCCTCAGCCTCCCAAAGTGTTGGGATTATAGGCGTGAGCCACCATGCCTGGCCCAGTTTACTTTTTATAAAATAAATCTCAACAGGCATGACACTTTAAGCCCATCCAAAATATAGACTAGTGAACTCTGCGGCTCATGCTAAGAACAGGTAGGGGCTGAGGCCACCAAAGCCGCTCCCCAAACCAGGCTTGGCCATTACCTTCCAGGCACCCCCAGGCATGCCCCAGCCTCTCTCTGGACCTCACTAACCTTGTGCGTAAAGGGACCTCTGAGATCCCTTCTGGACCTCACGCCCAGGGCTCTCTGGTCTGACCCTGCCAGTGCTCAAAGCAAAAGCCCCAGGCCCAACTCGGGCCGGCTGACTCAGAGGCTTGGAGGTTAGAAAACAGAAGAATCTCAGAGCTCAGCCAGGCTGACCTCTCCCATGACAGGTAGGGAAACTAAGGCCTAGGATCTTTCCTAAGGTCCCCTCAAACCTAGGGCACCAGCTCCCAAGCCTAGGGCATTTTCTAATGCCTTGAAGGAGCTCTGCAGGGTCCCAGGGGAGGTGGTGCCTGCTCAGGCAGCTCTGGAGAAGCAGGAGGTGATGAAGAATTTTCATTAACAGCCAAGGCTCCAGGCTGGGAGGAGGAGGGTGCTGCCGGAGGATGTGCGAGAGCTCCTGAGAGAGGCACTGAGTCATGCTTGCAGCTGCGTCCCCAGAAAGCAGCCCAGGGCCTGGCACAGCGTGGGTGTGCAGTAAATGAACAAATAAATAAAAATGTGAATGAGTGATAACAACAGCAGCTAACACGTAGTACTTACTTTGTGCCAAGCACTTTACAAATATTAACTCATTTAATCCTAATGGAAACATTAAGATTCCCATAACAAAAGATGAAGATTCTCATAATAAAAATTTTGTTATTCCTCTTTTATAGACAGGGAAACTGAAACAGAGAGAGGTTAAATAACCTGCCCAAGGCCACACAGCTTGGGCAGTGTGGGAAGTCTGGCAGTCAACCTTGGTCTTAACCACTCTGCCTCCCACTCAGCACCCTTACCTGCCACAGCCTCTCTCCCACACACCGTCTCCAGCAGTCTCACCCTAACGCCCATGTCTCATCGCAACCCCATCCCCTCTTACTACACACTGCCTTTTTAAAATTACTGTCTTTTTTTTTTTTTTTTTTTGAGACAGGGTGTCACTCCAGCCCAGGCTAGAGTGCAGGGCTGCAATCATGGCTCACTACAGCTTCAACCTCCTACCTCAGCCTCTCGAGTAGCTGGGACTACAGGCATGCCCCACCACACCCATGCCTAATTTTTGTATTTTTAGTAGAGATAGAGTTTTGCCATGTTGCCCAGGCTCATCTCAAAGGCCTGAGCTCAAGTGATCTGCCCATCTTGGCCTCACAAAATGCTGGGATTACAGGCATGAGCCACCATGCCCAGACTCTTGTTATTTTTAAGAATAATTTTGTGCTGGGCGTGGTGGCTCACGCCTGTAATCCCAACACTTTGGGAGGCCGAGGCGGGCGGGTCACGAGGTCAGGAGATCAAGACCACGGTGAAACCCTGTCTCTACTAAAAATACAAAAAATTAGCTGGGCGCAGTGGCGGGTGCCTGTAGTCCCAGCTACTCGGGAGGCTGAGGCAGGAGAATGGCGTGAACCCAAAAGGCGGAGCTTGCAGTGAGCCGAGATGGCGCCACTGCACTCCAGCCTGGGTGACAGAGCGAAACTCCATCTCAAAAAAAAAAAAAAAAAAAAAAGAATAATTGTATAAAATGTATTTTTTTGAAACAGAGTCTCACTAGGTTGCCGAGGATGATCTCTAACTCCTGGACTCAAGCAATCCTCCTGTCTCAGCCTTCCAAAGTGCTGGGATTACAGGTGCGAACCACATCAACCAGCAGAAAAAATAATTTATTGAGGTGGGTGCAGTGGTTCATGCCTGTAATCCCAGCATTTTAGGAGGCCAAGACAGGAGGATCACTTGAGCTCAGGAGTTTGTTTATTTTTTTGTTTTGTTTTGTTTTTTGTTTTTGTTTTTTTTTTTTGAGTCTTGCTCTTGTCGCCCAGGCTAGAGTGCAGTGGCGTGATCTCGGCTTACTGCAACCTCTGCCTCCTGGGTTCAAGCGATTCTCCTGCCTCAGCCTCCTAAGTAGCTGGGATTACAGGCGTTCACCACCACACCATACTAATTGTTGTAATTTTAGTAGAGACGGGGTTTCGCCATGTTGGCCAGGCTGGTCTCGAACTCCTGACCTCAGGTGATCTGCCCACCTTGGCCTCCCAGTGCTGGGATTACAAGCATGAGCCATTGCGCCTGGGTGAGCTCAGGAGTTTGACAGCAGCCTGGGCAATGCAGCAAGACCCTGTCTCTACAAATAAATAAATAAAAATAAAATAAATACATAAAGTGAACAATTCAGTGGCATTTAGTCCATTCACAACGTTGTGCAAAACCGCCACTTCTATCTAGATCCAACGCATTTCCATCACTCCAAAGTAAAACCCCTTACTCACTATGTAGTCTCTCCCCATTCTTTCCTCTCTCCAACCCCTGGCAACTACCAGTGTCTGCTTTCTGTCTCTATGGATTTCTCTATTCTGGATATTTCATACAAGTTGACTCATACTATAGGTGACCTCTTGTGTCTGGCTTTTTTCATTTCACGTAAGGTTTGCAAGGTTCGTCCACTTTATAGCATGGATCAGTATTTCATTCCTTCTCATGGGTGAATAATGTTGTACAGCATGGATATACCACCATTTGTTTATCCATTCATCTGCAGATGGGCATTTAGGCTGTCTGTTCCCACTTTTTGGCTATTGTGAATAGTCAGTTGCTGCCTGTTCCTCCTCCCTAAAACCCTGTGAATGAGGACAGTTGTTCATCCCCATTCCCCAGAAGACAACATTGAGGTTCATTTGTGATACAGATGGTGACTTGAACTGAAGCCCCTGCCGCCCAAATGAAAGTGCCCTTCTTACATCCTTGTCTCCCACCAGCCATTCACCCATCCCAAGTGTCATGCCTTCCCTGGGCATCTGTTACCACATTCTGGGCTCTGTGCCAACTGCTGGCCACCTGGTGTGGACAGCTCAGGCCAAGTCCCAGACTCTACTATAGTCTGAAGCTGCAGAGGCCTGGAGGCTGCAGTCTCACCCTCTGGGATGGGCTCCTGTCCAGCCAAGGAGTCCCAGGATCCAGGGCCAGGGGCCAGGCATACCACATCCAAGATGCGTATAGACAGGAGTGCCCTGCTCCTGCCCTCCCTGGATCCCAGTATTCCTCAATGCACAGAGGAAGATGGCCCCCAGCAGATGGCTCCAGAGATCTGCACAGCAAAACCATTGAGTGGAACGGGAACGGCTGGGCTGAGAGGGCCGTCAGAAAACACTGAACTCAGAGCCCTGAAGAGAGTGGGGCAGCCAGTAAGGGTTTCCCATGCAAATTGGTCACTGCACCTCTCAAATGTAAACACACTAGAAACAGCACTTCGCTGGGACCATTCCTTCCTGCTGTGTAACTTTTTTTTTTTTTTTTTTTTTTTGAGACAAGTTCTTGCTCTGTCACCCAGGCTGACATGCAGTAACAATTACGGCTCACAGGGCTCACTGCAGCCTCAACATCCTGTGTTCAACTGATCCTCCCACCTCAGCCGCCTGAGTAGCTGGAACTATAGGCACGCACCACCATGTCTAGCTAATTTTTTGTATTTTTTATAGAGATGGAGGGTCTCACCATGTTGCTCAGGCTGGCCTGGAACTCCTGGGCTCAAGTGATCCTCCTGCCTTGGCCTCCCAAAGTGCTGGAATTACAGGTGTGAGCCACTGAACCTTGCTGCTGTGTAACCTTGAGCCAAACCTTCTCTGAGCCATCTCTGCCTAAAAGCAGGGTTCAGGGATCTAGAATTCCAGATTCTAGGGTGGGAGGAGTGGGTTGTCCTTGCAGAGCCCCTCCTGTTAAAGACTACATCCACTCAAGCTGTCTCTTTGTGTAAGATGGTGTGACTATGACCACTACGCGGACCACTGCCTTCCTGGCCTTTCACGAAACCACCTTCTGCCACACATTAGCCTGTTAATGGGACCATCCTCAGAGGGTTTCTGACATTCCATGTGGGGACGAACAGTCACAATAATCACTACTGGCTGGGCACTGTGGTGCATGCCTGTAATCCCAGTGCTTTGGGAGATCAAGGTGGGAGGATTGCTTGAGCCCAAGAGTTTGAGACCAGCCTGGGCAACATAGTAAGACTCCATCTCTACAAAAAATTTTAAAATCTACCCAGGCATGGTAGCACATACCTGTGCTACAAGTCTCAGCTACTTGAAAAGCTGATGCAGGAGGATCACTTGACCCCAGGAGTTCGAGGCTGCAGTGAGATGTGATTGCACCACTGCACTCTAGCCTGAATGACAAGACTGAGACCCTGTCTCTAAAAAAAAAAAAAGTCACTACTGCCTCTCAGACTCCCTTTCACACATGACAGAGGCCTGACAAATTTGCACTGAATGAATAAATGAACGAACGAACAATCTGTCACTCATTTCCCAACTTCTAGCCTCTCTCTTCTAGTCTATTTACCTACACAGCTGCCACGTGAACCTTCAGATCCTGCTGCTCCTGCAAGCTGTGTGTTCAGACAAATTGCTGAACTTAGCTGAGCCTTCAATTCCTCAACTACAAACAGGGACTCTACTTGGGTAATTAGGAAGATTGAAAGAAAGCATAAGCACAGCATCTCAAGGGCTAAGGAGGAGTCCAGGAAAAGCTGTTGAAGGAAAGCTGTTTCTCCCCACCCCACCCCATAACACCCCACACCACCCTGATCCTCTAATCTCTCTGTTCCAAAGGCTGCAGGAAAGAGCCCAGCCCCTGGGCTGGCCCCTGGCTATATGTAAATGTTTATGCCAAGCCCAGCCTCCTAAGGACAAGTTATTTGCTTTGCTTGTAATTAATTGCAGAAGGCCTGCCTGGGTAATAAACTCTGCCGAAGAAATATAAACAGTTTGCACAGAGCTTCAAATCCATTGTGAGGCCAAGAGAAAGGGTCTGCTAGGAATGGAATGTTCTCCCCAGTCTTCCTCTAAGCTGGAGGCAGAGAGATCACTGAAGGTCAGAACTGAGAGGACCCTTGGAAATCATTTGAAAAATAGCACCTGGCATCATGACCTTGTTCCAGGCCCGGCTGAGCACTTGCTTTATATGGTACAGCTATTTTCCCATTCTAAAGATGAAGAAACTGAAGCTGAATGAAAGTGGCAGGGAACTTTCCCCAACTAGAAGGCAGCTGGGCTGAAAGTTGAATCTGGCTGGACTTTAGAGAAAAAGAAAGACAGCCATTCATTCAACAAAAATATCCCGTGTCCCCCGTGCCAGACACTGGTACCTGGTGACACAGCTCCTGCAGCACTTGCATTCCAGCAGGGAGAGGCATATTTCAGATGTTGAGGACTAAAATCTGATTTTTATTTTTTGAGGCGGAGTCTCGCTCTGTCGCCCAGTGGCGCGATCTCGGCTTACCGCAACCTCCGCCTCCCAGGTTCAAGCAATTCTGCCTCAGCCTCCCAAGTAGCTGGGATTACAAGCGCCTGCCACCACGCCTGGCTAATTTTTTGGTATTTTTAGTAGAGACAGGGTTTCACCATGTTGGCCAGGCTGGTTTTGAACTCTTGACCTCAAGTGATCCGTCCGCCTAGGCCTCCCAAAGTGCTGGGATTACAGGGGTGACCCACCATGCCTGGCCATGTCTGATTTTTTTTTTTACCTTGCCCAAATTCCTGTCTAAGGGGTCTGGGGAGTCATCTTCTACAAACCATGAATTCTCATTGTCAGGCCTCTGAGCCCAAGCTAAGACATCACAGCCCCCGTGACCTGCACGTATACATCCAGATGGCCTGAAGTAACTGAAGAATGACAAAAGAAGTGAAAATGGCCTGTTCCTGCCTTAACTGATGCCTTTATCTTGTGAAATTCCTTCTCCTGGCTCATCCTGGCTCAAAAGCTCCCCCGCTGAACACCTTGTGACCCCCACCCCTGCCCGCCAGAGAACAACCCCCTTTTGACTGTAATTTTCCTTTACCTACGCAAATCTTATAAAACGGCCCCACCCCTATCCCCCTCCACTGACTCTCTTTTCGGACTCAGCCCGCCTGCACCCAGGTGAAATAAACAGCCTTGTTGCTCACACAAAGCCTGTTTGGTGGTCTCTTCACACGGACTCGAGTGAAACTCATCAGTTGGGTTTTATGTAACCCTACATGTCGTGACTTACTTTCCAGTCTGACTCTGGCATAACATTACTGTAAGGCTTCTGAGCTCAAGCCCGCAGGTATACATCCGGATGGCCTGAGGCAACTGAAGAACCACAAAAGAAGTGAAAATGGCCGGTTCCTGCCTTAACTGATGACATTACCTTGTGACATTCCTTCTCCTGGACAATAAGTCTCCGGAGCTCCCCACTGAGCACCTTTTGACCCCCGCCCCTACCCGCAAGAGAACAACCCCCTTTAACTGTAATTTTCCACTACCTACCCAAAATCCTGTAAAACTGCCCCACCCCTATCTCTCTCTCTTTGCTGATTCCTTTTTCAGACTCAGTCTACCTGCACCCAGGTGATTAAAAAGCTTTATTGTTCACACAAAGCCTGTTTGGTGGTCTCTTCACAGGGATGTGTGTGACAATTGCGAGATAAGGAAGAAAATCAGAATATTTTATCCCAAAACGTGTTTCTCTGCCATATCTTGAAATGGCCCTGCAAAGCCATCCTTAGTGGGGGAAAATCTGCGTCTGTAAACATAGCTAGATCTTTTTCTTCGAGGCCCTCCCAATCCTGATGAGAATGACTAAAAGTCTAGCACCTTTTAAAGGTCTGAATAGGAAACATTTGTCATCTATTTTCTCTAAGGGCAGCCACCATTAGACTTCAAAAGAACTTTCGTCTCCACAATCTTTTATCTTAACCTGAACATTTCCTTTCTAAGGATCCCAAGTCTTTAGACAAACTCAACCACCTGTCAACCAGAAAATGTTTAAGTTTACCTATAGCTGGCCAGGCGCGGTGGCTCACGCCTGTAATCCCAGCACTTTGGGAGGCCGAGGCAGGCTGATCATGAGGTCAGGAGTTCGAGACCAGCCTGGCCAATATGGTGAAACCCCGTCTCAACTAAAAATACAAAAATTAGCCAGGTGTGGTCAGGCGCACCTGTAGTCCCAGCTACTCAGGAGGCTGAGGCAGGAGAATCACTTGAACCCGGGAGGCGGAGGTTGCAGTAAGCTGAGATCGCGCCACTGCACTCTGGCCTGGGCGACAGAGTGAGACTCCATCTCAAAAAAAAAAATGTACCTATAGCCTGGAAGCTCCCCCCAACCCCTGCCCACCGCTTTGAGTTGTCCCACCTTTCTGAACCAAACCAATGTATTCCTTAAATGTATTTGATTGATGTCTCATGCCTCCTAAAATATATAAAACCAAGTTGTACCCCGACCACCTTGGGCACATGTTCTCAAGACCTCCTGAGGGCTGTGTCACAGGCCACGGTCACTCATATTTGGCTCAGAATAAATATCTTCAAATATTTTACAGAGTTTGACTCAACAACGCTCACCAAATTGATTACAGCAGGTGCTAAGTGCTCTGAAGAAAAAAACAAAGCCACTTGTCAAGAAGGGCAGAGCCACAGTTGTGGGTGGCCATTCAAGCTCTGCAGGGCAGAAACCATACAGTAAGTGCTCTGGCAGGAGCACACAGTAGGTGTGTTGTAAGCAGGTTTCCAGCTAAAACTTAACACTGTTTTCTTTGGGCCCAGTGCAGCTTCTTGCCAACCAGTTCAGGGTGTATTGAAGGCATTGTGCCAGGGCTGGGGAATAGAATGATTGGTGAACAAAAATCAGTCCTTGCCACCACGGAGCCCACACCCAACTGGGGGCACAGACAAACGGGGAAGTGTAAAAGAGAAGTTGATGAGGGTCATGGGGCAGGAGAGGGACAATCAGCATGTATTGAGCACCTACTGTGTACCAGGCACTGTGTTAAGCCATGCATTATCTCATTTAAGCCTTACCACAACCCTATGGGGGTGAGGAGAGGATTTTATTACCCCCATTTTAAAGATGACAAAACCAAGGTTCAGAAAGATTATGTAACCGTCTCTAGGTCACAGGCATAACAAGCAGTAGGGGTGGGATCTGAAACCTAGCCGGACATCATGTTTGTTCTTCGAAGCCCTCCCCACAGCCACCTGTCTTAGGGAAGCACAGAAGGCAAGACATTGCTGCCAACAAACTCCGCTTCCCTGACTCTGCAGAGGGATGCACCGCACCCTGCCAGCCTGGCTTCCTTTCTGAGCAGGAAAGGTCAGCTCGGCCTGCCCTGGCAGCTCCCCTCAGGCACCAGACCAGCCAGACTCCTGACCCAGTCCCAGGAGCAGGAAAGGCCTGTCCAGACTTCTACTCTGCCCCACTCCCACAGAAGGTCCCATCCCAGGCCGGGCGCGGTGGCTCACGCTTGTAATCCCAGCACTTTGGGAGGCCCAGGTGGGCAGACCACAAGGTCAGAAGTTCAAGACCAGCCTGACCAACATGGTGAAACCTCATCTATACTAAAAATACAAAAATTAGCTGGGCGTGGTGGCATGTGCCTATTATCCCAGCTACTCAAGGCAGGAGAGTTGCTTGAACCCGGGCTGAGATAGCACCACTGCACTCCAGCCTGGGTGACAGGGCAAGACTCCGTCTCAAACAAAAAAAAAAAAAAAAAAAAGGCCCCATCCCGGTTACAACAGCCCCTTCCCAGGCAAGCCGTGCTCCACAGTTTATAACCACTTTCACCCTCTTGATTCGTCTGACCACCTCACCCCAGCAGCTTGTATCCCAGAGCCTAATACCAGGCCTGGCACACAGCAGGTTAATTTGACAGACAGCAGGACAGACTATCCCAATGAAAGGCATGGGCTCCCCTGAGCCATCTCCATCCAGCTTTCATCAGCATTTCCTGAGCTCCCAGGACAAGCCTGGGGCTAGACCAGGCAGTTTCACCTATGGTTCATTATTTTAACCTTTCCAGGAAGGTCTTATCTCCATTTTGCAGAAGAGGAAGATTGAAGTCAGAGAAGCCTTTCCAGTCTCTAATTTACATGGCAAGTGAAGCTGCAGGTTCAGCCTGCCCCAGAACTGGCTCCCCTGGATGCCTTTCAGGTGTTGCTTCTGTAGGGAGGGCTCTAACCTATGACAGATCTCTGCTGTGGGATGAGAGCCCCCTGAGGACATGCAGCAGATGTGGCACCAACATCCTAGCCCAAACGAAAACTTGCCACAGCAGGGCAGAGCTGGGCTTGGGCGCCTAAAGCTTACAGAGCTTGGAAGGTTTTTTTTTTGTTTGTTTGTTTGTTTTAAAAAAAAAAGAGTACAAAAATAATTTCCTTTTGCAAATTTCACAAAACCCCTGAGCACATGGACACATTGCTAGGCCTTGGAAAGGGCCCTGGAGCGTGAAGGGCTGGAAGCTGAAGCTGCATCAGCCTCATGGTGAATCCGCCTCGGGGCTGGAGGAAGGGCCCAGAGGCGATCTGAGCACCACCCGCCTTCACAAAGGCCCTGCCTCCAGCCCAACAGACAGATGAGGCTCCGGAAGACATTCCTTCTTCTTGATGGGAGTCCCGCTGCTACTTAACCCTCCCTGCAGTAGGTCCAAGTCTGTCTGTCTTTCTCTTGCCATGGTTTCAGAAGAAGCAGATCTTGGCCGGACGTGGTAGCTCACACCTGTAATCCCAGCACTTTGGGAGGCTGAGACGGGAGGATTGCTCGAGCCCAGGAGTTCAAGACCAGCCTGGGCAATGTAGCAAAACCACATCTGTACAAAAAATTTAAAAATTAGCCTGGGATGGTGGCGAACACCTGTGGTCCCAGCTACTCAGGAGGCTGAGGAGGAAAGATTGTGTGAGCCCAGGAAGTCAAGGCTATAGTGAGCTATGATCACACTACTGCACTCCAGGCTGGGCAACAGAGCCAGGCCCTGTCCCTGTCTCAAAAAAAAAAGAAGCAGAGCTCAGCTGAGTCTCGGACCTGCCTGCGGAGGTCTGCTGCTCACAAGGGCAGCACTGCCAGATTTCTTTGTGATCCTGGGGCACAACCCCAAGAGGAGCCTTCCATGCCTGGGCTGGAATCCTGGGCCTGGAATCCTGGGCTGGCAAGGGCTGCCCTATTAAGAACCCCATCCTCAAACATTTGTAGGGTATGATACAGTTTACCAAATGTTCCCACATCCCACATCCACATCCCGTTTGGCCCACACGACAGTCCTGGAGGTGAGCAGGGCAAGCTTTATTGTCCCCCTTTTATAGACGGGGACAAAACATGAGACTTGCTGTGCACCTATTGCATACTAAAGATGCCAAGGGGCTTTCCACACGTGACAACTCACAGATACCCTGTGAGAAACCAAGGCTCACTCAGTGTCTGGGGCTGGGCCTGAGAATGAGCCTGCAGCCCTGCTCTCCCATCTCGCAGCCCGTGCCTCTGCCCTGTCTCATCTCAGTCTGGCATGGACAGCTCAGAAGGCAGTGGGCAGGCACGCTGAGACTCAGTAGGTTGAGGAAGAAGAGGCCTCCAGCTACCAAGGCGGAAGAGTAGCTGAGGGCTCAATATATTTAATAGAAATCAAAAAAGTGAGAATCAACCGTGCCCTCTCTGGATGTGTCTGAGGAAGAGCACATGGCCCTTGGGAGCCTGAAACCTGTTTGAAAGCAGTCACCTTACAGACTCAGGGCCTGATGTCCTCCCCACACCCTGCCAAGCTGCAGATGGCCCCACCCCTACCTCCCACTGTCCACATGCTAGGCCTTCCAGACCCTTCTGCTGACTCCTCTCAGCGCCCAAGGCAGCCACCCAGTGCTTGCCCTGGCCTGTTCAAGTCCTACTCCTGTCCTTCACTAATGCTTGCTTAATTCGTGGATATACCTACTCTACGAATCTTTATGAGAAGATACTGTAGGGTGACCCACAGTCCTGATTTGCCCAGGAGTGAGCTGAGGGGTTTCCTGAGATGCGAGACTGAGACTGTCCCAGGAAAATTGGGATGGCTGACGACCCTCATGTACTGCATGCCTGGTCCCTGGGCTGGGTGCCAAGGACACATTTATCTACCAAACATAGTCACTGCCCTCAAGAAACTTCCAGTCGGAGAGTGGCTGCCACTCAATGAGAAACCACTGTCAAAGGCACCTGTTCAGCCCCTCACACACATGATCCATCACCACCCTATGAGGGGAATATTATCACCTCCGTGGTATGCATAAGAAAACTAGGGCTCAGAAAGGTGGCACAATGTGCCCAGAGTCAGAGTTACAAGTGACCTGCTAAGATTTGAACTTGATCCAATGAAACAGAAAAAGGGCAGTTTCCAGCATGAACATTATGGAGATAGAAAAAGATAGACATGTTTTATTTAATTCATTTTGTAGCTCCAGTGTCTGGCATGTTCTAGGTATTCAGGAAATGCGTGAAGGGAGAGAGGGAGATCTAAGCCTTATTTAATTATCTCCAGGCTAGGAGATTCCATCCCTCAATTCAAAAGCCATACATTTCCCTTTTCAAAGTCAGTTTCAGACCAGGCACAGTGGCTCACACCTATAATCCCAACACTATGGGAGGCTGAGGCAGAAGGATCTCTTGAGCCCAGGAGTTTGAGACCAGCCTGAGCAACACAGTGAGACCCCATCTCCACAAAAAATCTTCGAGGCTGCAGTGAGCTATGATCGTGCCACTGCACTCCAGTCTGGATGACACAGCAAGATCCTATCTCAAAGGAAAAACAGAAAAGGAAAAAAAAAGTTTTGACTGTTTTCCTTCAGCACGAGGACCAGGAAGGAAGTAAGAAGAGGGAAAGGGTGCTTTTTCTTTAAGTCAGCAGCTCGGGGCTCACTTCCTCCAGGGAATCTTCCCTGACTCACTCCCTAACCCAAGTCTGGCCCCACACTGTGCCAGGCCCCAGTCAGGAGCTGGGAGTCCAAGAGACAAGAGATACACATTTGCCCTCGAGCAGAGAGGGAACTGACTTGTTAGCAGTCAACTACAATGTAAAGTGCCATCCGGGAAGCCTGCACAGTGCTAAGGGAGCCTGGAAGAGGCCATTCACTCTACCTGGGCAGGGAGCAGTCAAGGGAGGGCTTCATGTCTACAGCAGGTGCCCTGTGCAGTTGTTCAATGAATTTCATTGAAATGTCTTTTTTTTTTTTTTTTTTTTTTTTTTTTTTTGAGACGGAGATTCACTCCTGTTGCCCAGGCTGGAGTGCAATGGTGCTCAAGTGATCCGCCTGCCTCGGCCTCCCAAAGTGCTGGGATTAAGGGTGTGAGCCACCGCACCCAGGCTAAAATGTTTTTAAGTTCAACCTGAAAATATAAGGAATATTTCACCAGAGGAAGAAGGGCATTCCAGCTAAAGAGATCGGCTTGAGCAAAGGCACAGAGGCGTGAAAAGTACAAAGACTGTTGAGGAAGATCCAAAAAAGTCAATGCAGCCAGGTTGTTAGCAGTGTGGTGGGGACAGCTGGGAAAGGAGTGTGGAAGGGACATTAGAGACAGATCCTGAAGGGCCTCCAGTGCCACCTAGAGAATGGGGACTTTCCCATAGGACATGGGGAGCAGTGGATCAGGCCTTAGGCTGGGAAGAATGACCAGATGTGAATTTCAGAATAACAGGATGGCTTGGAGGGTTGGGACTGAGCAGAAAGACAGCAACTAGAAGACAATTGTAATGATCCAGGCCAGGAGTGGGGCTTGACCTGAGCCAGTGGCGGTAGAATGAGGAGAACAGTACTTTGGGAGCCATGTCTCTATCACCATTCAGTTTGGATCCCCTGAACTGGGGCTGCCCACAGGAAGGCATGGTTTTCTCTTCTCCAGGGAGCTCAGCACACCCCCATCCAGGTCTACACTCAAATGGAAGTTGAGGCCAGAGCCTCAGTGTACAGAAACTCAGGTCTTTCTGTACACTGGGTCAGGGCTCAGTGTGGGGCCAGGTCATGGTTCTTTGAAAGTTCTCCCTACTACAAAGTTTACTCTGCAAATGGTGAACATCAGAGGTGGCTGAATTGTTTCAAGTATGCACAGTGAATCACTGCTGTACTGAATCGCTGCTGTGGAACAGTCAGCGCAGGGAGAAACGACAACGCATATTAATCACTTGATTATGATGTGTAATCATTTTTGTCATTTTTAGAATGTCAAAAAAATCTGTTGCAAAAAAAAATCTCCTTATTGAGTTTTAAAACGTCTGTAGGTTTCTCCCAGTACCCTGGGGCAATAGAGACCCATCATAACATCAACCAGTGATGAGCCCTGCTAATGTGCTGGGTGCTTTAATTAGCACAGCTGTAACCGAGAAAGGATGAACACATTATCTCCAGAGGCTGGAAAACTTGCCTACAGACATGCAATTACTGGTAAAGGGGAGGGGAGAACCCCAGCCTGCTGCCTCCTCTCCACCACTCCACGTGGCCTCAGTGTGCCCAAAGATAGCCCTCCAATCTGTAGAGACCAGCGCACATGGCCCCTGGCTGCCAGCCCCAAAGCCTGGAGCTGTTTCTCCTAAGACATAGTTTCTCAACTGTCTCATGCCCATGGGCTCCTCTGGGAAGAGCCATCAGATCTCTGCAGTGTCTCCTGGGCTAGAGGGAAGCTTTCCTCTCCATACCCTCAGGACAGTAGACCCTGGTTTCCAATGGCAGGTTTGCTGAGCCCAGTGTCTCCTGATATACCCACCCCATTTTCTTTCTCCAGGCAGAAACACTTACTGTGATGCCCTGTGGCAGAACTTTCACTTTTCACCCTAGTTTTTTTGTCCTCAAGCAGTCTGCATTCCCAAGACACTCCTTACTGACAGCAGATGAAACCAGTGCCTGACACTATGCCGGCACATAGTAGGTTTCTCAAGTCTGCTGAAGGAAGTCAGTCCTGGATGAAAACACATGTCACAGAGATACTGCCAGGAAGAGTACTACCTCTGGCTCACACAAACGCACTTTCCAACCAGGTCGTGAGTCCCTACTTCTGGGGAGCTGCCTCTGATCCTTAACCTCTGGCCCTGTTTTGTCCCTGCTATAAACAGATGCCCACTACCCCTCTTCTGGCAGCTGTTGAGATCATCTATTTCCTCTCTCCCAATACATCTGAGCAGCATGAGGGCAGAGACTTGTCTGGGTCCTCTTCATATTTCAGGTGCCCAGCACAGGGCCCGGGGTGTGGCACAGAGAGAAAGCTTTGTTCCTTGGAACCTCCTCAGGAGGGCAGCGATGGCCTAACAGAAACGATATAAGCTAACCCTGAAAACTCCTAGCCCGAGGCCCGGGGAGATAGTGTTCCATGTCATGAGGTTTCTTGCCACCCAGAACCTGGGAAGGCCAGGCCCTCAACTTCGGAGAAAGGGCAGCCTCAGGCGGGAGGCAGAGCAGAGCTGCTCCATAAATCCCCTTCCCACTCGGAGAGAGACACACCACTGGGACAGGCCCGGCCACTTCGGGACATGCCTTGAGTGGAGGGAGAAATGTTTGTGGAATTGAATGGAACAAACTGTAAAATGCTAGCTATTTGTTCCTCTGGCTGCAGAGGCCAGTTGCCCTCTGGGGGCAGTTTGCAGGCAAATTATCTCAGGACGAGGCCTGTTTCCTCTAATGAGGCTTCCCCGCTTTGCAGCTCTGCTCCCAAGAGAGTTGGAGGGGACAATGCTCAGAGCCAACCCCAGAGGCCTGCACTGAGGAAGCATACATGGCTCACCATTCTACACAGTGTGGGCGGCACTACCACTATCCAAGGCAGGGGGATGCTCCCCACGACCTTCTGGGTGCAGGAATTCTGAGCAATGCAGCACCTCCTCCAAGGCCCCTCTGGGGAAACAGGGAGGAAAGGAGCAGGGAGGCATGCTCAGTTATGTAACCAGCTGCCTTGGAGTCAGAGTCCCTGGCATATCTCAGCCCAGCACTACGAGGAGAGGCTGTGGGGGCTGGGGGTCTTTCTTCTCTTTTGCTGCCTCCTCCAGACCTGGCAGACCCTGTAGCAGGCGCTGCTTTCCAAGTGCCTGAGCTCCAAGCAGGCACCTCCTACTTGGGGTTGGGAACCAGGAAAGCTGTTGTTTTCTGAGTGTGTGAAACAGTGGCCTGCTGGCTCCCTTGGCAGAAAGCCAGGCTCGGGGCTCTGCACAGGGGTGAGGGTTAAGAAAGAGGAGCCTGGGGCCAGGATGCCAAGGGACTTCCCTCCACAACCGCCCCCAGCTTCCTGCTCCCCAATCTCTCCCCACTTCCTCCTAGAGAATCTGCCGTGGGTGAGGGGCCAGAGGGGAGTGGCGCCAGCAGCCCCAGCACCACACTGCTGCTGCTGGCCCTGGGCAATCTCACTTCCCTTCCTGCCTTCCTTGGAGCTTCTCCGCTGGCCGGCACAGCCCCCACTCCCTGTGCCCCCACCCCCGCGCACTCAGCTGTGTACACTACCCTGGACCATGGAAAAGAGGGATGAAAGAGGAGGAAGGGGACATGGGAGAGGGAAGGAGCTGAGATCCACCCTCAGTCTTGAATGATGATGGCTTTTTTGTTGTTGTTGTTGAGACAGAGTCTCACTCTGTCACTCAGGCTGGAGTACAATAGTAAGATCTCAGCTCACTGCAACCTTCACCTCCCGGGTCCAAGCAATCCTCCCACCTCAGCCTCCCTGGTAGCTGGGATTACAGGTGTGTGCCACCACACCTGGCTAATTTTTGTATTTTTAGTAGAGACGAGGTTTCACCATGTTGGCCAGGCTGGTTTCGAACTCGTGACCTCAGGTCATCTGCCCACCTCAGCCTCCCAAGAGGCTGGGATTACAGGCGTCAGCCACCATGCCTGGCCGACAATGGCTTTTTATGAAGCCCTTACCCTCTCTGCCCACAGAAACCCCATTAATATTATTATACCTATTTCCCAAAGGAGAAAACTGAGGCCGGAGAGTTTAAGACCCAAGCTGAAGGTCATGGAGCTAGCAAGTGAGCAGTAGAGCAGAGTCTGCCTAACTCTGAATTCCAAACTCCAAACCTCCTGCCTCTAGCTCTGGGAGCCCCTCCTCCACACTCTCTGAGGGTGCTACTTGGGCAATTCCTACACAGATGGAAATGACACTGCCCAGCCCTGGGGAGGGAGCCCTCGGCCTTAAAGAGTCCCTCGCTGAGGACTAGTTTGGGAACCACAGGACAGTCCCAAAGACAGGACCAAGGCTCAAGGGCAGGACATGCTTGGGGAGCCAGGTGGGCAGACTGCTGCTCCCAACTGTCTTCCCTTCCCACCCAGTCTAGGCTGGCTCAGACTCCTACACTGTCTGCCACTTCCAGAAGGCAGGGCTGCCAGAGGCCAAGCTGTCCCGCCAGAATCACACTGCTGCTCACGCCCTCTCCCCTCCTAACGAGAGAAGGAAAGGGTCCTAGGGAGGAGCCTCTAGGCCAAAGCCTCTCCTACTTCCTGCTTGACACATAGAGAAACTGAGGCCCAATGAGGAAAAGCAGCTTGCCTATGGCAGCACAGGGACAGTGAAGAAGTGAGATCCCTGTCTCCCAGGCCAGAGCCCCTTCCCTCCATTCACCCCACTTGGGTGCTCTCCTCAGATGGCACCTTTGGGCATCTGCCCACTTCTCTCCCTCTTTCTCACCTTCCCTCTGCACTTCCTGCTTCCCTCTCCGAGCCCTGCTCTGCAGACCCATTTCTGAGCCTCCCCTGTTACATCTCCTCCCAGCCTCACCACCTCACCCCCCTTCCCTCTGCTCTGGGCCAAGGAGCAATGCTTGGGTGGTTTAATTAGCTGATTATGACCGCAGCCTGCTGGATGCAGTGCCCAGAATTCTGTCCCCAGTAATTAGGTGGGTTCTGAGTACTTGCCCAGTGGGGAGCCGATGGGGAGCTCTGTGCTCTGCCAGCCAAGGGAGGCTGTCCAGCTGAATAAAGAGCTCCTTGATCACCGGTGGGTCATCGGAAACCATGGTCCCCTCCTCAGGCCGGGTCAAACCACACTGGAGGGACTGCAGCCAGACCCAGATGTCCATCCTAAGGAGGGACTCCCTACTCTCCCATGCCACTGCCCACACCCGGGAAAGGCTCAGTACATGACTGAGGATGAGGATGAAGAATGGAGCGCGCCCTCCAGAGGCCGGGAGAGAATGGCTCCGTGGCCGGGGCACCTATTTAGGAAGTAGGATTGGACCAAGTAGACAGAGAGGCGCAGCAGGAACAAAGGCCCTGAGGCGGGAATGAGCCGCCAATCCCCTTCCCAGAGAGCTCTGGTTGTCAGAAAATACAGTCTTCAAGCAAGGTAAAGCTGAACATCCAGTGACCTCTGCCCTTTAGGTCACAAAGAATAATCTAATTCCTATGGCTCTGGGCTACTTTGAGATATTTTGAAATCAGCAATGATGTCCTATGGTCCTCACCAACCACACTGCCCACCCCCTAGAGTATCTCCTCCCAGCGAAATGCCTTGGCTGAACAAATATTTATGGAGCTCAGCGGCATGCCAGGTCTGCGCAGGTGCTGGGGACAAGCAGATCCAGGGTGCTCTTGAAAAGTTCTTGACCTCACAAGATGACATCATCACGAGTGTGCAAATAACCAGGACCTATGCAGGGAGGGAGGGATGAGTGCTGAGAGAGAGAGATTACAAGAAGGTCACAAAGCGCTGGGAATCCAGTGAGGGCTTCCCAGAGGAAGAGGTGTATGTGATCCAGGCCTTGAAGGATGGGACAGCTGTTGTATGTGGTCAAGTCAGCAATCAGGTACTGAAAGCCAGCAATAATACAGGCTTGTAATGAGGCCTTGGGAGGCTCAAAAAAATGAATCAAACAGGGTCCTTCCCTGGGGGAGCTCACAGCTGGGTTAGGGAGGCAGGGCCGGTGAGACGTCATATAAGCGATAAGAACCGCATAAAACTGACCTTGCACAGGGACTTTCTTTGCTTTATCTTACTTAATTTTAACTCAGTCCTCATGACAACCTACTACCCTATTTTACAGATAAGGGAGCCACAGCAGAGAAAGGGTTAAGTAATCAGGGAAGCCACCCAGCTGGTAAGTGTCAGAGCTGGGACTGGAAACCAGGAAATCTGGTTCTTCCAAGAGCCTAACCGCTATGCTAATCTGCTAATAATCCATGCTAATCAGATCACCGAAGGGCCTGCAGGTGCCCAGAGGAGGCCCCAGAGCAGCAGAGAAGGCTTCCTGGAGGAAGTGTTCCTGACCTGAGTATTTTTTTTTTTTTAAGACAGAGTCTTGCTCTGTCCCTCTGTCGCCCAGGCTGGAGTGCAGTGGCGTGATCTCGGCTCACTGCAAGCTCCGCCTCCCGGGTTCATGCTATTCTCCTGCCTCAGCCTCCGGAGTAGCTGGGACTACAGGCGCCCGCCACCACGCCCAGCTAATTTTTCATATTTTTAGTAGAGACAAGGTTTCACCGTGTTAGCCAGGATGGTCTCGAACTCCTGACCTCAAGTGATCCACCCGCCTCGGCCTCCCAAAGTGCTGTGATTACAGGCATGAGCCACTGCCCTGGACCTGCTACAGATGCTTTATGTCCCTGGAGGTGAACATGACTGCTGTTCAAGGACCTGATACCATGGGAGACAGCACTACCCTTTCGAGCAGTAGCCAATTCCTTCCTGGCCGCCAGCACCCAACACCCATCCCCACCCAGGACACACTCCCTGGTGGTCTCAGTCCCACTGGCCTGTAGCAGAGGCCTGAGACTTTGGCCGCCCAGAAGAAAGGTCACTCCTGGACCTGCTAGCAAAAGGGCCTCTCACCTGATTTGACTTCACAGGGAAACTAGGACCCAGAGAGGGTGCATGTCATGCCCAAGGTCACACAGCAATAAGTAAGCAGTAGAGCATGCCTCTGGGACCATTCTGAGATGGTGAGCCACAGCAGTCTACTCCCCACCCCTCCCCTGGCCCTATGCCAAAACCTGTCCATGCCCTTTGCACAAGGCAGGGGCAAGGGTGAAGAGGGAACAAACCTAGCAGAGGTTTGCTCACCCTCTGTCCAACCCTCTGTTCTCCAACCCCCTACTAGGACTCAAACCACCCCTAGGATGGACGCATCCTGCACACGGGAAGGCAGAAGAGAAGGTGCCCAGGAACCATCTGAGATGATACCTATTCTAATCCCAGGGCTCATGTGGGAGACAAGGCCCCAACTTCAGGAGCCCCCAGTGTGATGGGGGAAGAAAGGAAGAAAGAGTTCAGTCCAGTTCGACAAGCCTCCCTGCAAGGCTGAGGGAAGGGTGTGGCCGCACAAGGACCAAGTGAGTTGGTTGTGGGCTACAGGCCCAGGGCCAGCATGAAAGGGACCTCCTGCCTCATCCAGGCCCATACACGGGCTGTTGAACCACTGAATGGTTCAGACATTGCATCCTGCCTCCCGCTGACTCGACATCAGTCACAGTGCTTCCAGTGCTGAAGGCCCTTTAGACCAGCAGATCCCTCTCCAGGTGCAGGGAGGCAGAAGCTCAACTGTGGCCTCAGCCAGGTGCCGCCCAGCCCCAGGCAGAGGAAAAGCTGTTCAGTTCCTGCGGTGACCTTAGTCACACACAATTCTGGGGACCTGTCTTGTCCAACTCCCAGGGGCTTCATCTGGCACCAGGTCTCCTGGGAAGGAACAAGCAGTTCTTCTGAAGTGGGGCTAAAGATGGGGCCAGTCCCAGGAAGGAGGAGGCGCGTCTCCCGAGAGATGACCCTGCCAGGGCCCCTTAGGGAAGGCGGGAGGGGGCTGGGACAACAGAGTCCTTTGTTACCCTCTCAAAAGCAGCCACCCTGTCCTGCCAACCCCCTCTGTTCTCCAACCCCCTACTAGGACTCAAGCCACCCCTGGGACAGGAACCATCCTGTCCACATAGGAGGGAAGAACACAGGGTGCCCAGGGACCATCTGAGACGATACCTGTTCTAATCCCAGGGCTCACATGGGAGACAAGGCCCCAACCTCAGGAGCCCCCGGTGTGATGGAGGAGACATCCTTCCTTCAGAAGCCTCCAGTCTGAGGAGGGAGACATGGCTCCCACCTGCAAAAGCCAATCAGATGAGGGAGCCCCAGGCCTCCCGCTCAGGCGCCCCATGCTAATAGGAGTGGTATAACCCTGTCCCTCAGGACTTCCCAGTCTGATGGAGGAGTCAGGACCCCACCCCTCTCTTTTGAGAACTTGCCTAATGTGGGAAATATCGCTTTCAGTCTTACGATTCACTAATGGGAAAGGCCTAATTTCAGCACTTAGGGAGTCCCTGGACCGATAGCAGAGGCAAGAAGGGAAAAAAATTTTCAGTCCAGTTCAGCAAACCTCTGCCAGGCATCTCCTGGGGAAGCAGACCCAGCGTGGGTAAGGAAGCATCAACTGAGAAACAGAAATAGCCCTGAACCACAAGCTGCTTACCAAATGGGGAGCTCACTCAGCCTGAGGTATGAATGAATAAGAAAGTACCTTGAAACCACCCCCTCCAGCATCCAAGACCTGCTGGCCAAGGCTGTCCCTTCCTCCACAGCCTCACCCCTCACACTCCCACACCTGCAGCCAGTATCTGCACCTTGGCCTAGGCTCTTTCTTCTGTCTAGAACACCTTACTCCTGCCTAAGTCTTTCTCATACTCCAGCACCCAGCTCCGGGGTCACCTCTTCAAAGAAGCCTTCCTCCAAGTCCCCCACCTGAGTCAGAAGCCCCTCCTTTCTGGAGCCAGCACATTACATGTCTTCCCCAGGACCAGCTCACACTTCACAACCCCTCAGCCTGAGCCTGAAAGGAGAGCACAGGGCAGTGGTCTTCTGCCTCTGGACATAAGGCAGAGGGAGGGGGTGGATGAGATAAAACCCCTAGGTTCCCATACCCAGTCTTCACTGCCTGCCGCCATACTGCTTGCTCCCAGCCCAGGGCCTCACGCCCTTCCTCCAAGAGGCTCAAGCCTTGCTCCAGGCATGTAGAAAAGCAGGGTCCCCTCCCACTCCTCTCTGCCCGCTGTAGCCTAGTTTTGCCCTCACCACTCCACCAAAACCCATGCCACCAGCTAATGCCTTCTGGCTGAATCTGAGGGGTCTCGCTCCAGCTCATCCTCTGTGGGTCTGTCCCTGCTTCTTTGGCTCCAAGAATATGGCCTTCCGTCAGTTTCCTCCCTCTTCTCTCCATACCCAGGCACTGGTGCTCTCCAAGGCCCTGGCTGTCCCTAATCATCCTCTCTTCATACTCTATACCTCCTCCCTATGCGATGTCATTCATCCACATTTCCAAAGCCCTGCCTCGCACCTTGATTCTTACCCCAGGATCCAGACCCTTCTATGCAGAAGCCCCACTACGTCCAGCCTATAACAGACTGCCCTGGCTCCCTCACCAAGCTGCTCCCAGCCATGCAGGCCTCAGCCAGATGGTAGGCGCGGGCACTCTGGCAGTAGCGGAGCATGGCTGTGTAGAGGCCAGGACCTCACTTGGGGTGTGCTGACTCCCAGCCTGCTGTTCTACTGCCACCAACCCAAAGTGTCAGAAGCCCTGGAAGTGGCAAGCCCACAACTCAGGACCTCTGGACCCATGCCAACGGGAGGCGTCAGCCTCAGGCAAGGAGGCCCAAACTTGGAAGGAAGAGAGCAGTGGAGAAGTCTGAAGCCCAGAGGCCGGCCTGGAATCAGGGATCAGAGACAGTGGGCCAGACTTGATGCTACCACTCCCAGCGGCCCCATGAGCAGCCCTGGCCAAAGCCACAGGACTTCCCCATGTTCCAGCCAAGATGGGTCACACAGGGCTTAACCACCAAGAGAAATGACAGCCAAAGTTCACAGAGAGCTGGTGATTACATGTCCTCATCACCCTCCTTTCTCTGAAAAAAGAGGAGTTCATCTGCAGGAAAGGAAATTCCATTCCCTACCACTGCCTCTCAGGAAGTCCCTCCTGTTGTCTAAATCTGATCCTTCATGTTGTCTGTTGAGTAAGTGGAAACGGCAAGGCCCAGAAAGGACGCACAACTTGAGGCTGGGAGCTGCTGGGGAGGCCAACTGTGAGCCAGACAAGGCCCCCTCTCTTGGGCAAAAGCGTCGAGTAGCAGAGAGGGCTTTGTGGGTCAATAGGCCTGGGTTCTTATGCTTGCTGGCTGAATGGCAGTGAACAAATACTTAATCTCTTCTAGTCTGTTTCCTCATCTGCAAAATGGGGACAACAATGACTACACTACTAGATTACAGTTGAATTCATTGAGATTATGCGTGTAATTCTAACACACACCAGATACCTGGCAAAGGTCCAATCGACCAGCAAGGTTGATGGACTCCACCTCCTATTCACATTCATATTTCTCAACTCTATCCTCTCTGCAGCCTAAGTTCAGAGCTCACAGCCTTAGTTCTCAGGTTTCTCCCCAGCCTCCTCACTGGTCTTCCTGCTTCTAGGCCTGCTCTTCCCATCCACCCTACTTGGCGCTGCCAAAGACATCTCTCTGAAATGAAAACATCTGCTTCCAGCCCTCTGCTGCCTCACACTCTTCTCTGAATCACCATCCACTTCAGGAGAAAATGCTCTCTCCTTAGCCTGACATTCCCAGACTGCTGGTGACCGGTCTGTGTTTACCTCTTAAGGCTCACTATCATCCCCAGCCCAGGCCCCAGGCTGCACGCCTTGCTTCCTGCCTCCAAGCCACTGCACATTCTGCACCCTTGGCCAGAAATATCATTCCCAATCCCGCCCCCTTGGCCTATTCATCCTTCCAGATGAAGCTCAGTAGTTCCAACGCCACCTCCTTTCCAGGAGAGCTTCCTGTACCATGCTCCCTGCCTGGGCCTGGGTTGGGGACTTCTCCTTAAGCCTCCCACAACACATGTCATCCTGCGTTATGACCACCTGCTCTGCTCTAAATCCCTGGAGGACAGAGTAGACTCCTTCCTTGCTGAATCCCCAGGCCCTGGGCACTCAGAAGGCACTCATCAACATTTGTTGAATGAATATATGATTGTTCCCAGAGCACCTTGCAGCAACCATCATACTCCTGCCCTGTGATTAGTCCTGTCCAGGTATTTTTTTTTTTTATTTTTTCAGACAGGGTCTCACTCTCTCATCCAGGCTGGAGTGCAGTGGCATGATCATGGCTCACTGCAGCCTTAACCTCCAGGGCTCAAGTGATCCTCCCACTTCAGCCTCCAGAGTAGTTAGGACTATAGGCATGTGCCACCACACTCAGCTAATTTTTGTGTTTTTTGTAGAGATGGTATGTTGCCCAGACTGGTCTCGAACTCCTGAGCTCAAGCAATCTGCCCATCTCAGCCTTCCAAAGTTCTAGGATTACAGGCGTGAACCACCGCGCACAGCCCTGTCCAGGTATTTAACACCTCTTTCCCCCTTGACCCTGGGAGTTCCTAGAGGGCAATGACAGTTTGTGATAAATTTTCATTGTCACTTTCACATGGGGGTGCAATTCCAGATGGAGGGATGGTTGCGATGATTCCTGATGTTCAGTTTTTGATATCTGCAGATTCCTCTTCTAAGTCATAGGTACTCATGCCTTACGGAAAAAGACAAGGTACAGCCCATTACTGATTTTGCCCTTCTTTTCCAAATTACTTAGCCAACTGTCCGGAAAGGGACAGAAAGGCCTCATGGGGCTGCAGGAGAGTCTGAAGGGGAGGTCTGGGCCACCATCAGGTGGATTTAGCCGGGCCTTGGCTCCAGGCTTCAGGCAGTGCCTCTTCCCCTGCCCAGTGAAGTCAGTAAGTACAAGGGAAGCCCTAAAATGTAAGTATTGATAGCTCCAGTTTACAGATGGGAAACTAACGTCCGGAAAAGTAAAGGCAATTGCCCAATGTCCCAAAGGTCCACCAGTGAGTTTGAGGCAGGGCAGGGGGAGCCATGGAAAATACCTTGGCCTCAGAGACAGGGTCTCCAACAGGTGCCTGGAAGCCCATGGTGTCCACATCTTCCTGACAATCATGTCAGCAGGACAACAATGACACTTATCCCCCAAGTCACAGAGAGGTACAGAGAGACCCAAGAGAGGCTGAGTCACTCCGATCACAAGGCAGCCTAGGAAGGACAATGGAGTGGAGAATGGCTCCGACTCCCTGCTATGCCCTGCAGGAAGAAAAGCCTGACCTCATGGGTCAAGAGGGTCTTAATTTCAGGGCAGATGGATGTGGCTGGGGAAGGAGTCACATACCTTCCTACTGAGGACAGAGGCCTAGGTCACAGTGCTGGCCAGCCAGCTGCAATGGGGACTAGCCATCAAGGTTCATGCAGACACAGCATGATCTTCTGCCGTCCCCCCCAAAGCCTGGGCCTCCAGCACAGAGCAGGGCTCCCCTCCCTGGCCCATGAGGGGCCTGGCAGTGCCCTAGGGCCATCCACAGAGACATGACCAAGTGGACTCCAGCCTCCGCCCTGCCTCTGGCCCCTTTTGACCTTAGGCAAATCACATGGCCTCTAGCCCTCTGGTTCCTCTGCTAGAAAACAGGAAGAGGAAAATTAACCTCCTGGAAGAGCTGTCAGGAGGATGGCTGGAAAGTAGTTTCTAAACATTAAGAGCCTGAGTTGCCTCTGAGCCTGTTTCCTCCTCTAGAAAATGGAAATAATCTCTGCAAGCCCTTTCTCACACTGTGGAGAGAGAGTCTTAGATGGCAGTGGGTGAGAAATAGCTTTGTCAGTGGCCCTGAAAGGTGGTGCCCACCGGGGTGGTGTCTCTCTAGTCTGTTAGCTCCTTCAGGGGAGGAGTGGGCCTTGCGCATCTTTGATCCCCCACACTACGCCTAGTATACAGCAAGAGCTTAATAATAAATGGAAACGAGGAGAGGGGAGGGGAGGAAAGGAAGGAGGCAGAAGTCGGACACAAGAATAGAAGAGAAAGACAGAAAACAATGAGAAAGAGGGGGAGCCCAGGGAGAGGCTGCTGTGCCCACTTAGGGGGTGGGGAGGGCAACGGGGAAAATAGGGTGGCAACGCTGAGCCCCTGACCAGCGCTGGTCCTGTCTGAAGGGCTGCCCCCAGGGGCTGTCCTGCTCCAGCCCCCTCCTCCTTTTGTCCCAGTTTCCCCTTTCAGAGGCAGAGACTGTTTCTGAGTATTTCAGGACAGGTTCTAGGAGAACGGGAGGGGTTCTCCCAGCCCTAGGTTCAAAACAGCCCCTGGCCAGCCACTCCTCAGGAGGTCAGAGGGAAAGGGAACAGAGTAGATGGATGGGATCTATTTGGATGAAATGCGATCTGTTTTCCCCAGGCTGGGGGTGGCGGGGGGCGCTCTACCCTGTGTGATGTGTGTGTTTCCACTTCTGGCCATGTGGGGCCTGAAGCGTGTGTGTCAGCGGGCCTTGGGCTAGCAGCTCGTGCCTGTGGGGTGCCAGTCTTTGAGGGCATCAGTCTGATTGTGTCTGTGGGGGTCAGTGTTGGTGTGGCCTTGCGCTCCGCTGTGTTGGTGAGACATGCCAGCACAAGTGTGTGTGCCAGTGAGGGTGATGTGTGTGCCAGCAAGAGTGTTTGCTACAGCGAGTGCAGGTGACAGTGTGCGTATCAGTGTATGCCCACACGTGTGTGCCAGCACGAGGGTGTGCTAGAATTGGTGTGTGTTGGATTGTGAGCTGTGCATGCCAACAAGGCTGTCAGCAAGAATGTGTTGACCGAGGCGTGTATGACGGCGTGCCACTGCGTGTGATGAGCGTGTGCTAGCGGTTGCCAGTGTGTGCGCCAGCATGCCTGTGCCACGGGTTAGTGTGCCCGTGCGTGTATTGTGTGTCAACCTGCCCCCGTGCGTCTCTGCGGCTGCCGGCCAATGCTGGGTGTCAGCGAGCTGTGTGTCCGGGCCAGGAGCTGCGGCCCACATGGGGCGGCCCGGCCCTCGCCCTTTGGGTCCCCCCGCCCACGGCCCTGCCGGGGAGACCACACAGGAGACCTCGGGTGGAGGAGAGCTGGTACTAGATCCCGCGGTGGCCGCGAACGCAGAACCAGGACGCAATCGGAGCCCCCGCCCGTGTCCTCGCCGAGGTCGCCCCCACGCGCCCCCCGCCGGGCGGCCGCCCTGCACTCACCGGGTCCCTTTGTCGCCCATGGTCCGCGACGGTCGCAGGGAGGTCCGCGGCGTCAGCGCCCAGGCTGGAAAATCCCCAGCCAGCAGGAGGAGCGCGGGCCAGCCCGCTCCCGGCTCCCTGCTCCGCCTCCTCCGCTCTCCCGGCCGCCGCCGCCGCCCCCGCCCCCGGTCCCCGCCCGCCGCCCGCCGCGTCGAGCAGCGCAGCGCCCGGGCCGCGGCCAGGGGCGTGGAACCGCGCGGGGTGTGTGCGTGTGTGTATGTGTGTGTGTGTGCGCGTCTGCGTGTGCGCGCGCCGCCCAGCGAGGCAGGGCAGCGCGGCGGGACGCGTCAGGGCCCCAAGGTCGGCGTTTGTGGTGGGGGAGGGGGTCCACCCGCGTGCGAGTCCGTGTGAGAGTGTGTGTGTGTGTGTGTGGTGGTGGTGGTGGTGGTGTGGTGTATGTGAGGGCGCACGGCTGTGTGCGGGCCCTATTAGGGAGTGTATTGGTGTGGATGGAGGAGTGTGCACGTCTTTGTGCAGTTGTGCGTGTGTGCGCACGGCCGTGGGTGCGAGCGCGCTCTCCCGCGCATGCCGGGGCAGCCTTTGTGTGTGCGGGTGGTTGGAAGCCGAGGGTCTGGCGACCCCGAGGCCGCGCTCCCTGCGGCCCCTCGCTTAGCTGGAGACCCCGGGATGCCTGGCAAGGCCTTCGCCCTGTGCTCCACCCTTCCCCATTCCACCCACCCCACCCCCTTCTACTGGAGAGATAACACCCAGCCACACAACAGGGACAGGAAGAAGGGGCGGAGGGGGCAGTAGACGGCCTTGACACTGGGGAACTGAGCGGAGACCCGCGGCCAGCAGGGGCTGCAGGAGGCCGCCCAGGAAGAGGAAGCTGTGAGAAGTGAGAAGAGGCGATAAAGGAAGAGGGCAGAGCTGGCCCGCTGCTGTGACCGGGTAGCACCGTGGAAAGCGCCCATGCCCAGCTCCATGGCTCGCTGTGGGTGACCCTGTGCACTAAGCTTCTGAGAACCCATGTCCGGACCTGTAAAGTGAGGATACACTAATATCAGCCTGCAGAATTGTTAATAGGTTGAAAGAACTCGCTTGTGTTTGCTGGCCTCCCCTGAGCGCCTGCATACAGTAGGTGCCCAGTAGATGTTAGCCCACTTCTCTGCAGGCTTCTTGATGTCCTGTGAAATCTTGGCTGGGACCCTGCTTTGTCTGAGGTGCCTTCCTGCTTTGCAGGTAGTGGGAAACGGTAAGGTCTTTACCACACCCTCACTACTGAGATTTGGCTAATTATCCCGGATAGGTCCCTGATATCTAAGTATTAAGGGGAAAGTAAGCTATCATTTACTCTGATGCTGTTGTGAGTATGTAAACATCTCCTGTAATTATGCTCAGAAGCAGTTACCTATACTGTTTATATGCAGTATAATTACTATAATTATGTCCAGATTTGGCAGAGGGGCAGGGGGAGGCTGATGGGTAGGCAGGGTGGCCCACCTCTGGGCAATGTTAGGAGCTAGAGAGTATGGATGAAAGCCCAGAACCCTCCTCCCAGTCTTGGCCTCTGGGTTTCACCCTCTACAGAGGAAGAAGAGGAAGCCACCTGTTGTTTCTGCAGGGCTCAGAGATCTGGAAAGGAGCAGACTAGAATCTTCTTTGATGACAGGAGATCCCTAACCAGGATGGTGAAGCCAGGTCCTGCCACTCTCCACATCAGTTTCCCCACCTGTAAAACAGGTTTGACCAAACCATAAGATCTCCAATGGATCTCTCCATGCTGATGCCCAAAACATCTAAATATATTTATTTATTTTATTTATTTTTGAGACGAAGTCTTGCTCTGCCACCCAGGCTGGAGTACAATGGAATGATCTTGGCTCACTGCAACCTCTGCCTCCTGGGTTCAAGAAATTCTGCCACCTCAGCCTCCCCAGTAGCTGGAATTACAGCCACTGCCATCATGCCCAGCTAATTTTTGTATTTTTGTAGAGATAGGGATTCACCATGTTGGCCAGGCTGGTCTCGAACTCCTGACCTTAGGTGATCCACCCACCTTGGCCTCCCAAAGTGCTGGGATTACAGGCGTGAGCCACTGCTCCCGGTCGATTTAATTTACTTTAAATTCCAGTGAGGGAGCAACGATGGCAGAAGAAGAGTCAAGAGGACAATTTTGCTTTACCTGCCAGGCTCTATGAAAAACATATATATATATATATATATATATATATTTTTTTTTTTTTTTTTTTTTTTGAGACGGAGTCTTGCTCTGTCACCCAGGCTGGAGTGCAGTGGCGCAATCTCGGCTCACTGCAAGCTCTGCCTCCTGGGTTCGGGCCGTTCTCCTGCCTCAGCCTCCCGAGTAGCTGGGACTACAGGCGCCCACCACCACGCCCAGCTAATTTTTGAAAAACATATTTATGTATTAATAAAATGGCCGGGCATAGTGGCTCATGCCTGTAATCCTAACACTTTGGGAGGCCAAGGCGGGTAGATCACTTGAGGTCAGGCGTTCAAGACCAGCCTGGCTAACATGGTGAAACCCTGTCTCTCCTAAAAATACAAAAAAAAAAAAAAAAAAAAAATTAGCCAGGCATGGTGGCGGGCGCCTGTAGTCCTGGCAACTTGGGAGACTGAGGCAGGAGAATCACTTGAACCTGGGAAGTGGAGATTGCAGTGAGCCGAGATCACGCCACTGCACTCCAGCCTGGGTGACAGAGCCAGACTCCATCTCAAAAAAAAAAAAAATTAATAAAATGTAAAAGTGATAATGTTGAGGAGAACTCTTTGTATATCCACAATATAATCTCAGCCAGTAATAAGTTTTATGAAGAAAATAAAGCAATAATGAAACAGGGTGATAGGGACAAGTAGACTTAGAAAAAGGCCCTAGGCCCTCCGAGGAGGTGGGCTTTGGGCTGAAACCTGCGGAAAAGAATCAGCGATGTGAGGGGACAGTCAGGGAAGATGCTGCCCAGGCAGAAGGAGCAGCAACTGTAGAGGCGCAGGAGCAAGGACAGTGCTCCTGGTGTTGGTGAACAGGCAAGGGGTGGTACAGGTGAGGCAGCAGGGTTGGGGTCACACAGAACTTGTAGTTGAGGATGAGGAGTTTGGGGAGCCAGTGGGAGGTTTAAGCAGCTGAGCACCAGTATCTGCTTTACATTTTTAAAGGTCACTCTAACTGTTGGATAGAGATGACTTGGTACTGGACAACAGCAGAGGCAAGGCACCCCATTATTGCAGTCGTCAGGGTGGGGTTTTGGGCAAGACAGGTGGCCACAGAAATGAAGGAAGTAATGGGGTTCAGGATATATTTGGGAAGCAGATTTTTTTTTTTTTTTGAGACAGAGTCTTACTCTGTTGCCCAGGCTGGAGTGCGGTGGCACGATCTCAGCTCACTGCAAACTCTGCCTTCCAGGTTCAGGCGATTCTAGTGCCTCAGCTTCCTAAGGTAGCTGTGACTACAGGCGCATGCCATCCTGCCCAGCTAATTTTGTATTTTTAGTAGAGACACGGGATTTCACCTCAAGTGATCCACCCGCCTCGGCCTCCCAGAGTGCTGGGATTACGGGCGTGAGCCACCACGCCTGGCCGGGTTCAGGATATATTTGAAAGGGGAGCTGCCAGCACCTACTGAGGGACTGGCTGTGAATAATGGAGGATCCAGGATGACTCAGAGGTTTGGGTCAGGGTCTGTCTGTGCCAACTCTCCATGTAATTCTCCAAGGGAAGTCACGGTCGAGAGGACTGGTGGCCTCCATTCTTCCCGTCAACCCATTTGTGTCACATCCTCCACCTGAGCAACAGAGTGATTTTTGCTCAAAGGCAAATGGCTTCTGCAGCTGAGGCTCATAGGAGATGGTCATCTCCAACTGTGTTCCAACTAGGGCGAGTCACATGCCTGAAATTTACCACTCACAATCATTTCTTATTAAAAAATGAGAAAGGGTGGTTCTGGGTGTGGTGGCTCATGCCTGTAATCCCAGCACTTTGGGAGGCTGAGGCAGGAGGATTGCTAGAGCCCAGGAGTTTGAGACCAGCCTGGGCAACATAGTGAGATCTCTACAAAAAATAAAAAAACAAAAAACTAGCTGGGTTTGGTGGTGTGTGCCTGTAGTCTTAACTACTCGGGAGACCAAGGAAGGAGGATACCTTTAGACCAAGAGTTTGAGGCTGCCATGAGCTATGATTATACCACTGCACTCCAGCCTGTGCAGAGACCCCTGTCTCTTTAATAAAAAAAAAAAAGAAGAAGAAGAAAGAAAGCAAGAAAAAAAAAAAAGAAAGAAAGCAAGAAAAAGAAAAGAAAGAAAAGGAGAGATAGAGAGAGAGAAAGGAAGTATTATGTCTGCTTTTTAGATGAGAACACAAAACTTTACAAGGGAAACTGCTTAAGCCAAGGGCATAGCAAATGAAAGGTAGAGCAAGGACTCAAACCCAAAGCTTCTGCGTAGCTGGGCAGGTAGCTGAGTGTCAGACTAAAGTCAGACTGAAGTGTAAGTGAGTGGGTGGATGAGTTTTCAGCTCCTTGTTCAACAAAGGACTTGAGCTGGGTGTGGTGGCTCACGCCTGTAATCCCAGCAATTTGGGAAGCTGAGGTGGGTGGATCACCTGAGATCAGGAGTTCAAGACCAGCCTGGCCAACACCCTGTCTCTACTAAAAATACAAAAATTAGCCAAGTGTGGTGGCACGCGCCTGTAGTCCCAGGTACTCAGGAGGCTGAGGCAGGAGAATCGCTTGAACCTGGGAGATGGAAGTTGCAGTGAGCCGAGATCATGCCACTGCTCTCCAGCTGAGGCGACGGAGTGAGACTCCATCTCAAAAAAAAAAGGACTTGAGCCTGACTGAAGCCTTACTGATGTGCTCCTTCAAGATGTTAGAAATTGAGAAACTAATAAGGAGCTTCCCTACCTCTGCCCAACCAGAAATCTGAGTGTGATCCTTGACTCCTTTCTTGTCCACCTCACTCCTTAGCTACCTAGTCCCGGACTACCTCCTAAGTGTCTCCCAATAAAGTTGGAGGGGTACCAGGAACGAGACCATGCTGGGCCTGGAGGGTCATGTAAGGAATTTGTTCTTCATCCAAGTATCAATGAAGAGGCTGTGCAGAGAGGTGACATGATCAGACATGCATTTGGAGAAGATGCTCTGGTGGATGTGTGAAGAATGGATTGGACATGCACCAAAAGGGATGCAGACAGGAAGACCAATTAGGACATGGTGTCAGCAATTCAGAGGGAGGAATGATAACTGCATTCCAGAGAGAGGACACACAACAGCTGCAAAGCCAGGAAGGAAGGAAAAGGCACAATGCTTGGGGGAATTCAGATGGATCTGTGGCGAAAGCAGAGTAGTGGGGAAGGATTGGAAAGGAAGATGGGGCCGTATCCTGAGGAAGCAGGCTCAGACAAGGCATCTCCCCAGTATGGCTCAGGGCCTGTTTTAGGTTTGTCTAACAAGATCTCCAGTCCCCATTTTCCTAAGATGGGATTGTTGGTATTTATCACTAGGTGGACATTTCAATGTTATCTTTTTTTTTTTTTTTTTTTGAGATGGAGCCTCGCTCTGTTGCCCAGGCTGGAGTGCAGTGGTGCGATCTCGGCTCACTGCAACCTCTGCCTCCCGGGTTCACGCCATTCTCCTGCCTCAGCCTCCGGAATAGCTGGGACTATAGGCACCCACCACCACGCCCAGCTAATTTTTGGTATTCTTATTTTTAGTAGAGACGGGGTTTCACCGTGTTAGCCAGGATGGTCTTGATCTCCTGACCTCGTAGTCTGCCCGCCTCGGCCTCCCAAAGTCCTGGGATTACAGGCGTGAGCCAACGTGCCCAGCATCAAAATTCTCATTTGTAATCAACAAAAACCAATTCTGGCAGACTTAAACATACAAAAAAATTATTGGCCATATATTCAGGTAGCTGCCACTGCTGAACAATGGACACCACAGTTCACATCTCCACTTTCTCCAGCACCAAACCCAACCCCATTGCTGCCCCCAGAAACTAGATATGGCCACTGCTGCCTCTGTCACCATGATGGACTCTTTGTTGGCCCTACATCTTTGAGTCAAAGTCCCCCATGCATTTGATTGGCTGAGTCTAGGTTATGTGGTCCCACCCTTGCTTCAAGGATGCTGAGAAACTGTGTAGATGGCATTTGAGATTTCCATTCTGGGAGGTGGGCTTTGACTTACTGTAAGACTCATGGGATAGAGAATTCCCCAAACATGAGAATAGAGTTTAGAGGCTGAGCAGCCAAAAACAATTCAAGTATCCACTTCACTATGAAATGCAACTGGGTGAGTTATAGGAATAGCTCAGAATGGGAGGCAACATGAAGGGATAGATGTCCTTGCTGACAGGCCTTTGCCAGGATGCCTTAGTGTTGCTAGCTTTCTAAAACAGGGAGAAAATGATTCTGACTCTGTTAATGGTGGAGTATTATCCTCCACCCTCCTCCAGATAACAATATAAATGTTGGACAAAATATAAAAACAAGGATTTGGCTGGGCATGGTGGCTCAAGCTTGTAATCCCAGCACTTCAGGAGGCCAAGGTGGGAGGATCGCTTGAGCCCAAGAGTTCAAGACCAGCCTGGGCAACATGCGAGACCCTGTCTCTGGAAAAAAAAAAAATTTTCTTTTTTTTTTTTTTGCCAGGTACAGTTGCTCAAGCCTGTAATCCTAGCACTTTGGAAGGCAAGGCAGGTAGATCAGCTGAGGTCAGGAGTTCAAGACCAGCCTGGCCAACAAGGTGAAACCCCGTCTCTACTAAAATACAAAAATTAGCCAGGCATGATGGTGGGTGCTTGTAATCCCAGCTACTTGGGAGGCTGAGATGGGAGAATCGCTTGAACCCAGAAGACAGTGGTTGCAGTGAGCCGAGATCACACCACTGCACTCCAGCCTGGGTGGCTGAGTGAGAGTCTGTCTCAAAAAACAAAAATTTTTTTTTAATTCACCGGGCGTGGTAGCGTGCACCTGTAGTCCCAGCTACTTGGGAGGCTGAGGCAAGAGGATGGCTTGAGCCCAGGAGTTTGAGGCTGCAGTGAGCTGAGATTGCGCCACTGCACTCCAGCCTGAGTGACAGAGTAAAACGCTGTATTTGAATTAAAAAACAAAAACAAGGATTTGAAAGCACTGCAGAGCAAACAAAAACAGTCTGAAATTGGAGGAGATTCACCCTTGTTAGATGGGAACCACACTGGGGAAATCTCGTTTTCTATACTTTCCTCCTGAAGGCGCTACCCAATCTGGGCAGTGCATGGAAGCTAGGACTCAGGAAGAAATCTCTAGGACGCAGGAAGCTGCTTGAGATATTAAAGGGTGGAATTAGGGGCTGCTAAAATGGCTAGAAATTGAAGGAGAAATCCTGGAAAGAAGAGGGGCACAAAGGGGGTAAGCCCCCAAATAAGTATTTGACAGAAAAAGTATTTGAATTTCATAAATTTGATGAAAAACCTCATTAGAAATCCAAAAAGTTTAGCAAAATCCAAGTATGATAAATACGAAGAAAACAATACCTAAACACATCATAATCAAACTGTTAAAAACAAAAAAGAAAGAAAAAGTCTTTTTTTTTTTTTGAAACAGAGTTTTGCTGTTGTTGCCCAGGCTGGAGTGCAAAGGCGTGATCTCAGGTCACCACAACCTCCACTTCCCAGGTTCAAGCAATTCTCCTGCCTCAGCTTCCCGAGTAGCTGGGATTACAGGCATGCGCCACCACGCCCGGCTAATTTTGTATTTTTAGTAGGGACGGGGTTTCTCCATGTTGGTCAGGCTGGTCTCGAACTCCTGACCTCAGGTGATCTGCCCACCTCGGCCTCCCAAAGTGCTGGGATTACAGGCGTGAGCCACCATGCCCAGCAAGAAAGAGAAAGTCTTGACAGTAGCCATAGAAAAAGACATAATAGCAAACAGATTACGTACAGAGAAACAATACAAATGAATCCTGACTTCTCATCAGAAACCATGGAGCCAGAAAACAATGGAATATCATCTTTAAAATGCTGAAAAGTAAACAAAAACCTGTCAGTCCAGTGAAATAAAGATCTTTTCAGATAAATGAAAGCATAGGGCATTAATTGCCAGCAGACCTGCAGAATAAGAAATGTTGCTGGGCACGGTGGCTCACTCGCAGTCATCTCAGCAATTTGGGAAGCCAATGAAGGAGAATCGCTTGAGTCCAAAATGTAGCACAATGCCCGGCTAATTTTGTATGTGTGTGGAGACAGGGGTCTCATTATGTTGCCCAGGCTGGTCTCAAACTCCTGGGCTCAAGTGATCCTCCTGCCTCAGCCTCCCAAAGCGCTGGGATTACAGGCATGAGTCACCATGCCTGCCCCCCAGAAGTTAGATCTTTAGAAGGGTATGAAAGAATACTAGAAACAGTGAGTATATGGACAAATACATGAACAAATTTTTTTCTCTGCTTTTAATTGACTGGTGAACATCAAAATAATATTTTATTGTGGAGTTTTTAATGCATGTAGAAGTGAAATGTGTGGCAACAATAGCATAAAAGACAGATAAATTGAATTATATTGTTGTAAGGTTCATATTTTTTTTTTTTTTTTTTTTTTTAGACAGAATCTCCCTCTGTCACCCAGGCTGGAGTGTGCAAGGGCGCCATCTCAGCTCACTTCAATCTCCACCTCCTGGATTCCAGCAATTCTCCTGCCACAGCCTCCCAAGTAGCTGGGATTACAGGCACCTGCCATCATGCCCAGCTAATTTTTGTATTTTTGTAGAGACAGGGTTTCACCATGTTGTCCAGGCTGGTCTTCTTTTTTTTTTGAGACAGAGTCTTGCTCTGTCGCCCAGGCTGGAGTGCAGTGGCGTGATCTCAGCTCACTGCAAACTCCGCCTCCCAGGTTCAAGCGATTCTCCCACCTCAGCCTCCCCAGTAGCTGGGACTACAGGAGTGTATCACCACACCTAGCTACTTTTTGTATTTTTAGTAGAGATGGGGTTTCACCATGTTGACCAGGCTGGTCTTGAACTCTTGACCTCAGGTGATCCACAGGCCTCGGCCTCCCAAAGTGCTGGGATTACAGGCGTGAGCCACCGCACCCAGCCTATATCTTTTATTCTGAATAAACTGTGATAGGTTATGGAGGTATATTGTAATCCCTAGAGGAACCACTTAAAAATACAGGAAGTAGGTATATTTAAATGAAGTACTAAAAATACTTGATTAACCTGAAAGAGGACAGAAAGGAAAAAGAGAACAAAAAACAGATGGGACAAAAAAGAAACACAGCAAAATGGTAGATCTAAATCTTACCATATAAAAACTGCATTAAGGGGCGGGGTGCGGTGGCTCACGCCTGTTGTCCCAGCACTTTGGGAGGCCAAGGCAGGTGGATCACCTGAGGTCGGGAGTTCGTGACCCACCTGACCAACATGGAGAAACCCTGTCTCTACTAAAAATACAAAATTAGCCGGGTGTGGTGGCACATGCCTGTCATCCCAGCTACTTGGGAGGCTGAGGCTGGAGAACTGCTTGAACCTGGGAGGTGGAGGTCACGGAGAGCCAAGATCGCGCCATTACACTCCAGCCTGGGCAACAAGAGTGAAACTCTGTCTCAAAAAAAAAAAAAAACTGCAGTAAGTATATATGGACTAAACATTCTAATTAAAAGAATAACAAAGCAAGGCTCAATTTATACTGCCTTCAAAACATGTACTTTAGGCAGGGCGCAGTGGCTCACACCTGTAATCCCAGCACTTTGGGAGGCCGAGTTGAGGTCAGGAGTTTGAGACCAGCCTGGCCAACATGGTGAAACCCTGTCTCTCCTAAAAATACAAAAATTAGCCAGGCGTGGTAGCACATGCCTGTAATCCCAGCTACTCGGGAAGCTGAAGCAGGATAATCACTTGAACCCAGGAGGTGGAAGTTGCAGTAAGCCAAGATCGCGCCACTGCACCCCAGCCTGGGCAATGAGTGAGACTCCATATTTTTTAAAAATTTAATTAATTAAATTAAATATATATATGAAATAAAAGGCACAAATATTGAGAAGAAAAAAGTAGAGCTGTCTATATGTGCAGATTACATGAATATTTACATATAAAATATTAAGGAATGTATAAAACTGCTAGAATTAATAAACAATATATGAAAATCTATTGTGTTTCTAAAAATAAAAAAGAAATTGAGATTTAAATTTCTATTTATAATAGCATCAAAAAACACAAAGTACTTAAGAATAAATTTGGCTGGGCACAGTGGCTCACACCTGTAATCCCAGCACTTTGGGAGGCCAAGGCCAAGGCAGATGGATCACCTGAGGTCAGGAGTTCAAGACCAGCCTGGCCAACATAGTGAAACCCTGTCTCTACTAAAAAAAATACAAAAATTAGCCAGGTGTGGTGGCGCACATCTGTAGTCCCAGCTACTCGGGTGGCTGAGTCAGGAGAATCCCTTGAACCCGGGAGGCAGAGGTTGCAGTGAGCCGAGATCCAACACTGCACTCTAGCCTGGGCAAGAGAGTGAGATGCTGTATCAGAAAAATAAAAAATAAAAAAAATAAAAAATAAATTTAACTAAAGACATGTAAGACCTCTATCTTTACACTGAAAATCATAAAACGTTGTTGAAAGTAATCAAAGAGCTAAACAAATTAAGAAACATAACAAATTCATGGTTTGTAAGACACAATATTAAGCTGTTATTTTCCCAAAATTGTTCTATAAATCCAATACGATAAGCTTTGTTGTAGACATTTATATGGAAATAGCAAAAGCAATCTTGGTGGTGAGGGGGAGACAAAGTTGGAGGACACATACTACCTGATTTTAAAATTTATTCTCAAGCTACCATTATGAAGACTGAATGGGGCTGGGCACAGTGGCTCACACCTATAATCTCAGCTCTTTGGGAGGCTGAGACAAGCAGATCACTTGAGACCAGGAGTTCGAGACCAGCCTGGCCAACATGATGTAATCCTATCTCTACTAAAAATACAAAAATTAGCTGGGCGTGGTAGCACATGCCTATAATCCCAGCTACTTGGGAGGCTGAAGTATGAGAATCGTTTGAACCCAGGAGTTGGAAGTTGCAGTGAGCCGAGACTGCACTACTGCACTCCAGCCTGGGTGACAGAGCAAGACGCACACACACACACACACACACACACACACACACACACACACACACACACAAAAGACTGAATAGTACTAGTCTAAGGATAGACAAATAGGTTAATGGGATGGAAATAGCCCCATAAGAATATGGTCAACTGTCAGCATCCCCTTTTGGATTGTAAGCTTTGTATCTGTGTCTGTATTTGCCTGGTTTCTAACTGCACCCCCAGAGCCTAGAACAGAGCTGATTACTTCGTGTGTGTATTGTAACTGAATAATCAGAGCCTAGTATAGTAAGTGCTCAATAAATATTTATTGAATAAATGTATTTTAAGAAATGGGGTGGACATAACAATCTGGTCCTCTCCCAGGGCCAAGCTATATGCTTTTTTAAAAAAATTATTTACGTATTTATTTATTTATTTTTGAGACTGAGTCTCACTGTGTCCCTAGGCTGATGTGCAATGGTGTGATCTTGGCTCATTGCAACCTCTGCCTCCCAGGTTCAAGCAATTCTCCTGCCTCAGTCTCCCAAGTAGCTGGGATTGCAGGTGCCTGCCACCACACCCAGCTAATTTTTGTATTTTTCGTAGAGACAGGGGTTTCACCATGTTGATCAGGCTGGTCTCAACTCCTGACCTCAGGTGATCCACCCACTTTGGCCTCCAAAGTGCTGGGATTACACGCATGAGCCACTGTGCCCAGCCCAAACTGTATGCTTTTAGACATGCTAATTCTGGAGGATGAGAGATCACCCTACCTTACTCTATTCCCACTTCTCCTAGTTCCCTTTGCTGGAGTCCTCTCTTTCCTTTCTTTTAACCATCCAGAAAATCAGCACTACTGGCTCCCTGATCTGCACTGTCCCCAACCCCCCGACTACTGTGGACCCTCCAAAATTCAGAAAGCAGATCATGCTAGGGGCTCTAGAGGTTCTCCTCCAGCAGAACCAAGATGGAGGAAGAATGAGAGGCTGGGCTGGAATTGCCCCCTTGGAAGGGTGACCAACTGCACAGGTTTCCCAGATGCGGGGGTTTCCTGGGACATAGGGCTATGAGTTTTTAAACTAGGACAGTCCTGAGGAAACCAGGGATTACACCCACCTCCTGGGAATCCTCCAGCTTCCTTCATCAGAAAGGGATGGACTATACCTCTCCCATGGTGGGGACTGCCAACCCTAGGGTCAGCAGTCTTTTTGTAATGATGGTTTAAATATCCAGAGCAAAGATGGCTCCATATTCTCACCCCCAAAACAGGGTCTGAAGCTTAGGAAGCGCTAGATAATTGTTGGATGATGAGCGTGCTTAGGAGCAGGAGAAAGGGCCCTGCCCTCTGGGACCCCCTGAATCCAAGGTGGGCTGTTTTCTACAGCTCCAACCCCTCCTTCCTGCACACTTTGCACCTCTCCCAAGCAGGGAAACGGCTTTCTTGCCCCATCCAGCCCCATCATATCCCTGCCCACTCTGCACGTTCTATCAAGCACCAGCATGTTTCTGCAGTCAACATTTATGTACATTTTAATTATTTTTATAAAAGCATTACTTTTTAAAAAAGTTTCAATATAGAATGTTAGTAAGGGAAAAGTCAAAGCCCCACCCCACCTCATCCCACGCTGCCCTATACCCCTCTCTTTTTTTTTTTGAGATGGAGTCTAGCTCTGTTGCCCAGGCTGGAGTGCAGTGGCGTGATCTCAGCTCACTGCAAGCTCCACCTCCCAGGTTCACGCCATTCTCCTACCTCAGCCTCCCAAGTAGCTGAGACTATAGGCACCCAACACCATGCCCATGCCCAGATAATTTTTTGTATTTTTAGTAGAGACAGGGTTTCACTTTGTTAGCCAGGATGGTCTCAATCTCCTGACCTTGTGATTAGCCTGCCTTGGCCTCCCAAAGTGTTGGGATTACAGGCGTGAGCCACTGCGCCCAGCCCTTAACCCCTCTCTTAAAAAAACTTTATTTTTACCTTTTCTGCTTTTAGCTATGGTAGTTTGTACCACAAATCTGATTGATATGCATATACCTCAATTTCTTGATTTATCCACTTGAATTAACATTTATTGACTCTTCTCATGAAAAAGGACATTTGCTCATTTACTTTAATGCTCATCTCCCAATCCTTTCTACGTTGTGTTGTAGTGTTAGTTTAGTCTTCCATTGATTGATAATTGCTTAAAACCTTTATTTCCATTCCTATGCACTTTAGATAGTATCTGTCATTTTTTTTCTTTTTTTTGTTTTTTATAATAGAGATGGGGGCTCAACATATTGCCCAGGCTGGTCTCGAACTCCTGGGCTCAACTGATCCTCCTGCCTTGACCTCCCAAAGTGCTGGGATTAAGGCTTGAGCCAGCGTGCCTGGCCAAGATAGCATCTCTTGATTTATACTATGTAAAATGAAAAAGTTAGCATCTGTGCAGTGTTTGATCTCTCCTCTTCTCCTCCAGCCTTCTGACACTGATAGTTATACTGTTACATTGCTAAGAGTTATAATATTTAAATTTATTCTGTAACTATAATGAAGTCTTCCATGCTTTATCTAGAGAGTAATTCTGCTCATTTAAATCCAATAAATAGTATTTTCAATATTACAATTAGAAACAAATTCTAATTTGAGACTATATTAGATTCATAAAACAAGAAAGAACTGCTAATAAAGGGATCAATTAGACAACATGAAAGAGTCCTGGGAAATAAAAAACATGATTGCCCAGATAAAAAATATAATTAAAAAGTCTAGAAGTGGCAGGGCACGGTGGGTCACGCCTGTAATCCCAGCACTTTGGGAGGCCGAGGCAGGTGGATCACGAGGTCAGGAGATCAAGACCATCCTGGCTACATGGTGAAACCCCGTCTTTACTAAAAAATACAAAAAATTAGCAGGGCATGGTGGTGGGCGCCTGTAGTCCCAGCTACTTGGGAGGCTGAGGCAGGAGAATGGCACGAACCCAGGAGGCAGAGCTTGCAGTGAGCCAAGATCGCACCACTGCACTCCAGCCTGGGCAACAGAGTGAGACTCCGTCTCAAAAAAAAAAAAAAAAAAAAAAAAATTCTAGAAGCTAGTGCCAGAAAATAAGGAAGCACTGAAAAAAAAAAAAAAAAAAAAGGAACCTGAAAGAGCTCTCAATAGCCAAAACCGGAACAGTATGAGCAACAAAATAAATAAGGTCATATTGGATTATAACCCAAAGTATAAAATAAATAAACATGAGTCCATAGTGGTCTAAATAAATGGTTGAATAAATAAATACATGGCAGGAAAGGACAGATCTTCCTTACAGGGGAATACCAAATAATATATAGATATACTCTCCCCTCCAGATGGAGTTGAATTAGCCCTCTTGCCTTGAATGTGTGCTGGACTTAGTGACTCACTTCCAAAGAACAGAGTATGGATAGGGAAAAAAATAGTAACTTTAAAGTGGAGAAATCTGGCAAACACTTGAAGTGATCAGGGTTACGTCACCAGCTGATATCATGTGATGAGCCAGACACTCCACTGTTGTGATATTCTCCCCCAAAATACCTAACTCCAGCCTAATCATAAGAAAAATTCCAAATTGAGGAACATTCTGCGGAATACCTGACCAGCCCTCTTAAAACTGTGAAAATGATTTTAAAAACAAGGAAAGACTGAGAAATTGTCACAGAGGAGACCAAGGAGACATGAGGACTAAATACGGTGGGAAATACTGGAGTGGGTCCTGGAACAGAAAAGGACATTAGTAGGAAAACTAGTGAAAATCTGGAGTTTCATTAATAGTAATATATGAATGTTAACTTCTTAGTTTTGATGGACCACAGTTATGTAATGCCACGGACCCTGGTGGACTGAACAAAGGAGGGCAAACATGGGAATAAAAACAAAGACAAGGCCAGGCGTGGTGGTTCACGCCTGTAATCCCAGCACTTTGGGAGGTCGAGGCAGGCAGATCACGAGGTCAGGAGATCGAGACCATCCTGGCTAACACGGTGAAACCCTATCTCTACTAAAACTACAAAAAATTAGCCAGGCGTGGTGGTGGGCACCTGTAGTCCCAGCTACTTGACAGGCTGAGGCAGGAGAATGGCGTAAACCCATGAGGCGGAGCTTGCAGTGAGCCAAGATCGCTCCACCGCACTCCAGCCTGGGCAACAGAGCGAGACTCCCTCTCAAAAAAAAAAAAAAAAAAAAAAAAAATCAAAGGCAAAAGAGTATATTTGGAAGAAGGGGTTAGGGGGCTCCTTGCTTCTAGTGAACAAGGGCCCTGAGCTTCTAGAGCCCTTTGTATTTACTAAGTAAAGGAGATAAGGAGAAGGGGGTGGTTGTCGGTCAGCTGCTTGACTTAGTACATGGCCTGCATGACTACATTCTTTGAAGACTAGGCTCCAGATGTCCCCATAGATAACCTCAAGGAGCACGGCACCAGGGAGTGACTGCCCTCAGCATACCTTCTGGTAGCAGGTGCAGGTGCGAGTTTGCCCACATTCTGTATTCATGATAAACAGTTTGCTGTTTGATCATATAGCCTCCAGTGGAATGCTGAGTTGGTCACAACGCTCAGGCTTTCGGCTCCCATCAATGTAAGATGCTCACATTAGAAGAAAGTGGGTGAAGGGTATATGGGAACTTTGTATATTATCTTTGCAACTTTTCTAAAACCCTTTTTTTTTTTTTGAGATGGAGTCTTGCTCTGTCACCCAGGCTGGAGGGCAGTGGCGCAATCTCGGCTCACTGCAGCCTCTGCCTCCCGAGTAGCTGGGACAACAGGCGCCTGACACCACTCCCAGCTAATTTTTGTATTTTTAGTAGAGATGGGGTTTCACCATATTGACCTGGCTAGTCTTGAACTCCTAACCTCAAGTGATCCACCCACTTTGGCCTCCCAAAGTGCTGGGATTACAAGCATGAGCCACTGCACCCAGCATCCTACAAATCTAAAATTACTCCAAAATAAAAAATTTATGTGAAAAAGTGGCTGGGTACAGTAGCTCATGCCTGTAATCCCAGCACTTTGGAAGGCTGAGACAGACGGATCACCTGAGGTCAGGAGTTTGAGACCTGGGCCAACATGGAGAACCCCATCTCTCCACTAAAAATACAAAAACTAGCTGGGTGTGGTGGCGCATGCCTGTAATCCCAGCTACTCAGAAGGCTGAGGCAGGAGAGAATTGGTTGAACCTGAGGGGGGCGTGGAGGGGGCAGGTTGTAGTGAGCCAAGATCACACCACTGCACTCCAGCCTGGGGCAGCAGAACGAGGCTCTGACTCAAAAAAAAAAAAAATTCATATAGTTCTCCAAAAATATAGAGACAAAAAATAATTCTTTATTTTACCTTTTTTTTTTTTTTTTTTTTTTTAAGACAAGGTCTCACTCTGTTGCCCAGGCTGGAAGGCAGTGGCACAATCATGGCAGCCTTGACACCTAGGCTCATATGATCCTTCCACCTCAACCTCCCAAGTAGTTGGGACTACAGGTGCATGCCACCATACCTGGCTAATTTTTTACCTTTTATAGAGACAGGGTCTCACTATGTTGTCCAGGCTGGTCTTGAACTCCTGGGCTCAAGTAATCCCCCTGCCTCAGCCTCCCAAAGTGCTGGAATTACAAGTGTGAGCCACCATGCCCAGACACAATATTTTTAAATAGGTAGAAAAAAATCAAGTCATAAAGCATCAATTCAGGAGGTCTGATATCTGTTTAATGAGAATTCCAGAGAGAAAAAAGAGCCAGAGCCGGGCGCAGTGGCTCACGCCTGTAATCCCAGCACTTTGGGAGGCTGAGGCGGGCGGATCACGAGGTCAGGAGATGGAGGCCATCCTGGCTAACACGGTGAAATCCCGTCTCTACTAAAAATACAAAAAAATTAGCCGGGCGTGGTGGCAGGTGCCTGTAGTCCCAGCTACTCGGGAAGCTGAGGCAGGAGAATGGTGTGAACCTGGGAGGCAGTTTGCAGTGAGCCGAGATCCCGCCACTGCACTCCAGACTGGGCGAGAGCGAGACTCCGTCTCAAAAAAAAAAAAAAAAAAAAAAAAGAGCCAGGCATGGTGGCTTATCCCTGTAATCCCAGCACTTTGGGAGGCCGAGGCAGGTGGATCACGAGGTCAGGAATTCAAGACCAGCCTGACCAACGTGGTGAAACCCTGTCTCTACTAAAAATACAACAATTAGCTGGGCGTGGTGGCACATGCTTGTAATCCCAGCTACTCGGGAGGCTGAGGCAGGAGAATCGCTTTAACCCAGGAGGCAGGGGTTGCAGTGAGCCGAGATCATGCCATTGCACTCCAGTGACAGAGCAAGACTCTGTTTCAAAAAAAAAAAAAAAGAAAGAAAGAAAAATAATCAGAGAAATACTAGAAGAAAATTTCCCAGAGCAGTAACAACAAAAAAACGAGTCTTTACATTAAAAGTGTCCGTTGAATGCTGAGCAGAATCCTAGGGATTCATGAGGTTTCAGAAAGTCCAAGACCTTCTGGAAATCAGAAACAAACAAACATTATCTGCAAGGGAATGAAGATCAAATGAGCACTGGGCTTCTCTGAAGCTAGAAGCTATAAAACAATGGTCTGTATAGTTCTAAGGGGAAATGGTTTTGAACAGTTAAGCCACAAAACAAGCTTAGGGGCAAAATTCTGAGAAGCAATAAAATTTACCTCCCACACATTCTTTTCTTTTCTTATCTTTTTTTTTTTTTTTTTTTTGAGACTTGCCCTGTCGCCCAGGCTAGAGTGCAGTGACACCATCACAGTTCGCTGCAGCCTTGACCTCCTGGGCTCAACTGATCCTCCCACCTCAGCCTCCCAAGTAGCTGGGACTACAGGTGTACACCACCACACTTGGCTAATATTTGTATTTTTTGTAGAGATGGGGTTTCTCCATGTTGCCCAGGCTGGTCTCGAACTCCTGAGGCTCAAGTGATCTTCCCATCCCAGCCTCCCAAAGTGTTGGGATTATAGGCGTGAGCCACCACACTTGGCCAGTCACGTGCTTTTGCTGAAAAAATTACTTGAGATTGTAATCCAGAAAAAACAAAAAATCAGATATAATGTAGTGCTGTCATTCTCAAGATATAGTTCCAGAAGCAGCATCTGGGAACATGTTAAAAATGCAAATGTAGGGCCCATCCCAACCTGTTGAGTCAGAAACTCTGGGGTTTGAGGGCAGCAGTCTGTGTCTTTACCACCCTTCCAAGTGATGTGGTGCATGCTTAAATTTGCAGACCCCAGAGTTGTGGATGATGCCATCAGTCCACTCAAATCCCCTTCACCAGGCTGCTGCACCCATTCCCAGCTGCTGTGAGTTGCTGTACAAAATGCCCCCTGTCTCAAGGTGGCACCAGGCTGAGACTGGTCTCCAGCCAAGAACACTTCGTAGCTTAGCTTTCTTCCCCCGCCCTACCCTGCTTCCCTCCTTCCTCTTCTCCTGAGATCACTTCCTCAGTTGGTCACTGTCACCAAAATCCCTGTCCCAGCCTCTGCTTCCTAGGAGGCCGGACCTAAGTCACATAGTAACCAAGAAACCACAGAACTAACTTACATGCACATTGAAAAAGAAGTCCCACAATGGTAACTGCCAGGAAGTATTTGATTTAAATTAGAACATGGAAACAGAAGACTGCGATAACAATGTCTTTTAAACGTTTTTGTTTTTTTTTTTTCAAGGCAGAGTTTCACTCTTGTTGCCCAGGCTGGAGTGCAATGGCACGATCTCAGCTCACAGCAACCTCCACCTCCCGGGTTCAAGCCATTCTCCTGCCTCAGCCTCCAGAGTAGACGGGATTACAGGCATGCACTACCACACCCAGCTAATTTTGTATTTTTAGTAGAGATGGGGTTTCTCCATGTTGGCCAGGCTGGTCTCAAACTCCGGACCTCAGGTGATCCGCCCGCCTCAGCCTCCCAAAGTGCTGGGATTACAGTCGTGAGCCACCGCGCCGGGCGGGTCTTTAAAATGTTTTTAAGAAAAAAGGGAATTTCAGTCCATAGACAGTACAATTAAGAAGCTAGAAGCTCTTAGTCATATGGTAAAGAAAGCACACAGTTCTTCTCTCAAAAAGGAATAGGAAAAGTGTCAAGAAACTCCAGAAAAAACACAAAACTATACCAGAAAATTGTGATTCAAATATGAAACTGTGGCATGATTTTAAGCAATTGATGATATGTAAGGAAAGAGAAGAACTTGATCTGAACATTTGGAATATTTCTTTTTTTATTGACCTTATTTTATTTTACTTTGAGAAAAATTTCAACATATGCCGAAGTAGAAAAAAATTGCAAAATGAACTTCATGTACCCATCATCACTCAACTTCAATGGTTATCAAGATCAGGTCAATCTCAAATATCTAGTCAATTTTCAAATTTCTCTAAATATCTCATTTTTTTTCTTTTTACAGTTGGTATGTTTAAATCTGGACCCAAAGTATATTTATTGCATTTAGTTTATATGTCTCTCTTAAATCTCTCCCAGGCTACAGTGGAACGCTCCCATTTGGACAGCCTCAGTTTAGGGACCTGGAATTACATTTCCTTCTTTACTGATCCAAACAGTATCCAAAATCTACAGTGACTGTTCTGTTCCTGCTTGAAGGTCAAATCCCTTGTCTTTTTTTTTTTTTTTTTTTTTTTGAGACGGAGTCTCGCTCTGTCGCCCAGGCCGGAGTGCAGTGGCACAATCTCAGCACACTCCAAGTTCTGCCTCCCAGGTTCACGCCATTCTTCTGCCTCAGCCTCCCGAGTAGCTGGGACTACAGGCACCCGCCACCACGCCCGGCTAATTTTTTGTATTTTTAGTAGAGACGGGGTTTCACCATGTTAGCCAGGATGGTCTCGATCTCCTGCCCTCGTGATCCGCCCGCCTCGGCCTCCCAAAGTGCTGGGATTACAGGCATGAGCCACCATGCCTGGCCAAATCCCTTGTCTTAATCACTACTGCCTCTTGAAATAACCATTTGGATTGCCTTCAAGTTCAGCCTGCTTCAACCTCTCTCAAATCTTCAGGTTTTTTAGAATCAAAAGATTATCTACAGTTTCTTTAGGTCTTAAAGGACTTTTTCTTGGGGGTCCAGTCAATATAGAAATTTGGGATCCCCTGTTCCTGCATAAATACTGAAGCAGGTGTCCGGGGTCTAGAAATCTTCTGTATTTTTCTGTTTACCAAACTTCGTTAAGAGCTCCCCTGGTTACACAGGCTATGGATACTTGAGTGCCAGATGGGATTAAAGATAGCCAAACAATGCTCTAATTTATCTCTGAACCTCTCAGAAAGTTCAGGAAGTTTAGGTTAGGAGCCAAAAGGTGTTTAGAGCTGCAGCCACAAAAGATCCTCAGAAACAATCTTCAGCCGGGGAGCCCAGGTTTTGTTGTAAAGAGCCCTTGACCATGAACATAAATGAGGCGGCTGGCTTTGGGCATAGACTGCCTCATGGAAGCTCTGCCTCCTGCCCAGCCCTGAGTCCTGGGGTCTGGACTTTACCCCTTCCTTCTCTTTATTGGGGTGGTTGGTTATGAGGGGTGAGGAGCAGGAGGGGCAGATGGGGCTGGAAGCAACGTGAAGGGAGCTTTAGTCTCAGCTGCCCAAGACCTCCCAGCTAGTAAGTTGTCAGGCCAGGATTTGAACCCAGACTGGTCTGGTTTCAGATTTTAACCCCTTCTCCTGCCTCCTCACTCCCGTGGAAACTGGAAGACCAGGAGGGAAAAGCCCTAATGCTGACTTAGATATTCACTCACTCAAGGACTGAGAGGAACGCCTAGAATCAGAACGGCCAAGTTCCTTGCAGTTAAACAGTTGACTCAGACAAATATCAACAGACACACCCAGATAGATGAAAGCAAAAGTCAACAAACCAGCTAACAAAAACAGTCCTTTTGACAGATGAGGAAAAATCAAATAATTACTCAGGTCAACCTCTTCACTCTTGTTATAGATGCTTGGGGAACTTAAACCTTAACTAGCTAATTTTTTGTTGGGGGAGGAAAGGCGGGTAGACATTTGGAATGTTCCAGACACTGTGCTGAAAACTGGGACAGCAAGATGAGAAGATACAGTCCCTGCCCTCAAGAAAACTGTTCCTGGATGCTTTATTCCTGTGAGTGATGAGCTCCCTTGACAGCAGGGACAATTTTTCATCCTGTCTCCATCCTCATTGCCTGCATGGGGCCAGTCTGGCACAAAATTACCACTCACTCCGTGAATGAATTTCACTTTTGAAAATTATCCCATTTTCTCTGACACCTGATAATTCTTCAAGTGTTTGGTGATTTTGTAAATTGTTAGACAAGAGAAAACTGGGCCAGGCACAGTGGCACACACCTGTAATCCCAGCACATTGGAAGGCCAAGGCAGGTGGATTACCTGAGGTCAGGAGTTCGGGACCAGCCTGGCCAACATGGTGAAACCCCGTCTCTACTAAAAAATACAAAAATTAGCCGGGCATGCTGGCAGTCGCCTGTAATTCCAGCTACTCAGGAGGCTGAGGCAGGAGAATTGCTTGAACCCGGGAAGCAGATGTTGCAGTGAGCTGAGATCATGCCACTGCACTCCAATCTGGGTGATAAGAGCAAAACTCCACCAAAAAAAATAAATAAATAAAAAGAAGAAACTGTAGTCAAGGAAGGGAATTTAGAAGTGAAATGATGCATGCTGCTTGGTATACATACTTTTTCTTTCTTTCTTTTTTTTTAAGACAACGTCTTGCTATGTTGCCCAGGCTGGTCTCAAACTCCTGGGATCATGTGATCCTCCTGCCTCGGCCTTCCAAAGTCCTGAGATTACAGGTATCAGCCACCATGCCAGCCGAGACATACCTTTTTTTTTTTTTTGAGATGGAGTCTGGCTCTGTCACCCAGGCTGGAGTGCAGTGGCGCAATCTCGACTTACTGCAGGCTCCGCCTCCCAGGTTCAACCAATTCTCCTGCCTCAACCTCCTGAGTAGCTGGGACTACGGGTGCACACCACCACGCCTGGCCAATTTTTGTAATTTTAGTAGAGATGGGGTCTCACCATGTTAGCCAGGCTGGCCTCGAACTCCTGACCTCAGGTGATCCACCCGCCTCAGCCTCCCAAAGTGGTGGGATTACAGGTGTGAACCACCACAACTGGCCAAGACATACTTTTTTAATGCCTTCCTGAGTAAAGTAAGGGAAGCAGAGGGAGAAAACAGCCAGGCCTTAGAATGGCACCCTGTATCTGATGAAGAAAAAGCGCTGTGACTTCTGGAACAGGAGATGGGACCATCTCTTGCTTTCAAAGGTCTCTAAGGATCCACAGCCCTGTGGCTGTGAAGGAGACAGAGTTTGAAATGGTTGTCAGAAGTAAATCTTCAGACTTCCAGGAGTGGGGCCATTCATTCATTCAACATGGGTTTGTTTATTTATTTATTTATTATTTTTTGAGACAAAGTCTCGCTCTTGTCCCCCAGTCTGGAGTGCAATGGCGCCATCTCAGCTCACTGCAACCTCCGCCTCCTGGGTTCAAGTGATTCTCCTGCCTCAGCGTCCCGAGTAGCTGGGATTACAGGCACCTGCCACCATGCCCGGCTAATTTTTGTATTTTTAGTAGAGACAGGGTCTCACCATGTTGGCCAGGCTGGTCTCAAACTCCTGACCTAGGGTGACCCGCAGGCCTTGGCCTCCCAAAGTGCTGGGATTACAGGCATGAGCTACAGTGCCTGACGTTAACATGTATTTATTGAGTACCTACTCTGTGCCATGTCTTTGTTTGAAGGACTGGAGATACAACAATGAGTACGAGTTTAAGAATCCCTGCCCTCCTATGGAACTTACATTCTATTCAGGGAGCAGGAAAAAATTAATACATACAATTATAAATGCACTTATTCCTTGACCCAGCAACCTCATTTCTGAGGCTTTAGCCTAGAGCTTTATCGGCACCGTAAAAAATGATACAGGCACAAGGTTATTCATTGCGGTACTGTTTGAAATAGCAAAAGACTGAGCACAGCTTTCAATTTTGAACCACAAAACATATTATACATTCAAATCAAAAGGAACGTTTAGAAAATTGTAGTATAGGTTTTGTTGGATGGCGATAAATGTATTATGGAGAAAAATTAAGTAGGGAAGGAGATTCGGTAATGATGAGAGGGGACATTGCTATTTGAAAATGATTGTTAGGGAAGGCCTAGTGGAGAAGGCCCGCATGTGAGTAAATATCTGAAGGAGATAAGGATATACTGGGACATCCTTCAGGCAGAGGGAACAGCAAGGGCCAAGGCCCTGAGGCCTTTCAATGGCTGAAGAACAGCAAGGAGGCTAGAGTGAGCTGGAGTGGCCTAGTGGTGGGGAGAGGGTGTCCCAGCATTGTCCTCCAGCCGCTGGGGCCTGAAGGCTTGCAGCTGGGAGACTCATGGCCCTAAGGGACCACCACCATCTCCAGCTCCCCTGCCCACCTCCTAGTACTGCTTGCAGTGATGGCTTCCTCCTGGAAATTCTCTTCTCCGTTGGCCACCTGACGACAATCCTGAGGTCTCCCTCTGGGTACTTCTTCTTTTTTTCCTTTTTTTTTTTGAGATAGGGTCTCGCTTTGTTACCCAGGCTGGAGCACAGTAGCACAAACACTGCTCACTGCAGTCTCAAACTTCTGGGCTCAAGCGATCCTCTCGCCTCAGCCCCACAAGGAGCTGGGACTACAGGTGCGCAAGTCACCACTCCCAGCTAATTTTTGTATTTTGTAAAGACGGGGTTTCGCCATGTCGCACCAGGCTAGTCTCCTGGGCTCAAGTAATCCTCCAAGCTCAGCCTCCCAAAGTGCTGGGACTACAGGCGTGCATCACCCTGCCCCTCTGGCGGCCTCTTCTAAGTCTCCCTCACTGCCCCGAAGCCCCAAGCCTCCCGGTTCTGTCCTTGTCCTCCTCTCTCTTGCCGGCTGTTACCATTCCACCCTCCTCCAGGGCTTCTGCCCAGAGTCCGCTCCCAAGCCCAGACCCCACAGTTCTCCTGGCCTCTGGACATCTGCCTCGGATGTCTCAAGCATATTGGACTCCACGTATGCCCAGACCTGACCAAAGCACTCGCTGATCACCCCTCTGCCCCGCAGACCAGAAAGGTTCATCCTCTGGATTCCCACCGTGCATGCCTCCCCTCACAGACAGTGCTGATGGTTCCCCCTTCCTGCCTCCTCCATCTGCCCTGAGCAGGACCTGGCTTGGTCTGTTTGTTTGCTGAGGCCTCCCCAGCACCCAGCGCAGTGCCTGGTACACAGTGAGTCCTCAATAAACAAACTGAACAGGCCAGGCACGGTGGCTCATGCCTGTAATCTCAGCACTTTGGGAGAGAGGCAGGTGGATCACCTGAGATCAGGAGATCGAGACCAGCCTGACCAACATGGAGAAACCCCATCTCTACTAAAAATACAAATAAATTTAGCTGGGCGTGGTGTCGCATGCCTGTAATCCCAGCTATTCAGAAGGCTGAGGCAGGAGAATCGCTTGAACCTGGGAGGCAGAGGTTGCAGTGAGCCAAGATTGCGCCATTGCACTCCAGCCTGGGCAATAAGAGTGAAACTACGTCTCAAAAAACAAAAAAGAAAAAGAAAAACTGAACAAATAACTGCACAGCTTCAGTCACTGCCTCCAGCTTCTGAATCTGCTCCCCTCTGCTAGACCCGGGGGCCCGCCCTCCAGGGTCCCTAAGCTCTGGTTGGGGACAGCCCCACGGTCCAGCCTCACAGCTCTCCCACACTCAGAACCGTGCTTCTTGCAGGAGATTCCGATTTCAGGAGGCCACCGGCCCCTTGCATCTGCCCCCTGGAGGCTCAGTGTCGCTCTTTTGGTTTCAGTGATTTCTGCCTGCAGGGGACAGAGTGTGACTAGGTCATGGACACCCTTGGGAAGAACATTTTGAATAGGAGGAAAGAGAAGCAGAACCAGGCATTGGAGGGCCCCGCCTGTCGGGCCCTAAAGACCCATGGTGATGCCTCTCAGTGCAGCATCCTGATGTGTTTGTGTCCCACGATGAGACTGTAAGCCCTAGAGAGCGAGGATGGCCTCAGCTTCTCCTCTATGACTGGTGTCCTATGGCAATTGTTCTCAACACAGGGCAGTCCTCCACCCTCACCCCTAAGATTGCCAGAAAAATGCAGGCCACCAGGTGAAATCTTAGAATCAGATAAATAAGTACTTTTTCAGTATAAGTATGTTCTCTACTCAATATGTCATTTGGGGCATCCTTATACTGAAAAGTTATTTGTAGGAACATTCATTCTGTTTTATAGAATGAGGTGTTGTCCAATTCTAGAAAAAAAATTTGTTATATGTATGAAATACAAATTCAAATTTAACTGGGTGGTTTGAACTTTTATTAGCTAAGTCTGGCAACCCTATCCCTGGGTGACATTTGGCAATGTGTGGAGACACTTTTGGTTGTCAAACTGTAGGGGGGTGCGGGGTGCTACTGGCATTTAGTGAGAGAGGGGAAGGATGCTACTAAACATCCTGTAGGGCATAGGATACCCCCGCCACAACAAAGAATTCTCCAGACCAAAGTATCAATGGGTACTAGAGCACCCAGAACTCTCCTCCTCATACCCTTGACGCACCTGCCTTCCTACCCCCAAGCCATTGTGGCAAGAGACTCTTAAACTTACCACAGATGTTGGCTGGGCATGGTGGCTCATGCCTGTAATCCCAGCACTTTGGGAGGCTGAGGCGGGAGGATCACTTGAGGTCAGGAGTTCGAGACAAGCCTGGCCAAAATAATAAAACCCCATCTCTACTAAAAAATACCAAAAAAAATTAGCTGGGCATGGTGAGGCGTCCTTTCTGGACCAGCTCCTACAGCCTGGTCCCCGTGCCCATGCAGAGGTAGCTGCTGCTGCTGAGCTGATGTTGAGCATGGCAGGGACAGAGTTCTATCTTCTGCTTGGAACTGACACTGGAAAATGGGATCCTGTGGTCATGGGGGCAGTGTATTCTACTAGATTCTGCTAAGTTGCTTTAAAATTAGCTGTATCGGCTGGGCACGGTGGCTCACACCTGTAATCCCAGCACTTTGGGAGGCTGAGGCCAGCGGACCATGAGGTCAGGAGTTCGAGACCAGCCTGGCCAATATGGTGAAACCCCATCTCTACTAAAAATACAAAAATTAGCCGGGTGTGGTGGCGAGCGCCTATAGTCCCAGCTACTTGGGAGGCTAAGGCAGAAGATCGCTTGAATTCAGGAGGTGGAGGTTGCAGTAAGCCTAGATCACACCACTGCACTCCAGCCTGGGTGACAGAGCAAGACGCTGTCTCAAAAAAAAAAAAAAAAAAATTAGCTATACCATTATACTCTACCACCAGCAAGGTATGGCAGGACTGACACCAGGCTTTCAAATGCTGGCAATCTGACAGGCGAAAAGTAGCATCTTATTGTTTTAATTTGCATTTCCCTTACAATGGTAGAGATCGAATATCTTTGGATGTTCATTTTTATTTTTATTTTATTTTATTTATTTTTGGTGAGACAGAGATTTACTCTTGTTGCCCAGGCTGAAATGCAATGGCGCGATCTCGGCTTACTGCATCCCTGGCCTCCCAGGTTCAAGCGATTCTCCTGCCGCAGCCTCCCAAGTAGCTGGGATTACAGGCATGTGCCACCACGCCCGGCTAATTTTGTATTTTCAGTAGAGATGGGGTTTCACCATGTTGCCCAGGCTGATTTTGAACTCCTGACCTCAGGTGATCTGCCCGCCTCGGACTCCCAAAGTGCTGGGATTATAGGCGTGAGCCACTGTGCCCGGCCTTATTTTTTTTTTTAATTTTTTTAGTATTTATTGATCATTCTTGGGATTTGGCAGGGTCATAGGACAATAGTGGAGGGAAGGTCAGCAGATAAACATGTGAACAAAGGTCTCTGGTTTTCCTAGGCAGAGGGCCCTGCCGCCTTCCACAGTGTTTGTGTCCCTGGGTACTTGAGATTAGGGAGTGGTGATGATTCTTAACGAGCATGCTGCCTTCAAGCATCTGTTTAACAAAGCACATCTTGCACCGCCCTTAATCCATTTAACCTTGAGTGGACACAGCACATGTTTCAGAGAGCACGGGGTTGGGGGTAAGGTTATAGATTAACAGCATCCCAAGGCAGAAGAATTTTTCTTAGTACAGAACAAAATGGAGTCTCCTATGTCTACTTCTTTCTACACAGACACAGTAACAATCTGATCTCTCTTTCTTTTCCCCACATTTCCCCCTTTTCTATTCGACAAAACCGCCAGCGTCATCATGGCCCGTTCTCAATGAGCTGTTGGGTACACCTCCCAGATGGGGTGGCGGCCGGGCAGAAGGGCTCCTCACTTCCCGGACGGGGCAACTGGGCAGAGGCGCCCCCCACCTCCCAGACGGGGCGGCAGCCAGGCGGGGACTGCCCCCCACCTCCCGGACGGGGCATTTTTTATTTTTTATGTTTTTAAAATTTATTAACTCATATACCTGCACATCATACAACAGTCAAAAATCATCAGTGAGCCAGGAACGGTGGTTCACGCCTGTAATGTCAGCACTTTGGGAGGCCGAGGCAGGAGGATTGCTTGAGCTCAGGAGTTCAAGACCAGCCTGGGCAACATAATAAGATCTCATCTTTACTTTAAAATTTTTTTTAATTAGCCAGATGTGGTGGCACATGCTTGTAGTCCAGCTACTTGGGAGGCTGAGGTGGGAGGATCACTTGAGCCCAGGAGGTCAAGGCTGCAGTGATCTGTGATTGCACCAGTGCACTCTAGCCTGAGCAACAGAGCCAGACCCTGTCTCAAAAAAAAAAAAAAAAAAAAAGAGTCAGTAAAAAGTAAATCTCCTTTCCATAGATCTGAAGCCAGCTCCCATTGAAAGACCGTGTCTGAAAGAAGTTTCTGGTGTTTCCTTCCAGAGATATTCAATGCATATATAAGCACTTGGATGTACAGGCTTTCCTTTTGGTTTTTAAACAAATTGTCAACCAGGCATGGTGGCTCATGCCTGTAATCCCAGCATTTTGGGAGGCCGAGGTGGGCGGACCACTTGAGGTCAGGAGTTCAAGACCAGCCTGGCCAACATGTTGAAACCCCATCTCTGCTAAAAATGCAAAAATTAGCCAGGCATGGTGGTGGGCGCCTGTAATCCCAGCTACTCAGGAAGCTGAGGCATGAGAATCACTTGAACCCGGGAGGTGGAAGTTGCAGTGAGCCGAGATCATGCCACTGCATTCCAGCCCAGGCAACAGAACAAGACTCCAAGACTCCGTCTCAAAAAATAAACTAAACTAAACAAATTGTAACATTTTCCACAGTGTTCTGCACTTTTCTTTCTTTCTTTTTTTTTTTTTTTTATGAGACAGGGTCTTACCCTGTCATCCAGACTGGAATGCAGTGATCTTGCCTCACTGCAGCCACAACCTCCTGGGTTCAAGCAATCCTCCTGCCTCAGCCCCCCAAGTAGCTGGAACTATAGGCATGCACCACCACACCTGGCTAGTTATTTTTTTTTCTATTTTCTGTAGAGATGGGTTTTTGCCACATTGCCCAGGCTGGTCTTGAACTCCTGGGCTCATATGATCCTCCCGAAAGTGCTAGGGTTACAGGCATGAGCCACTGCACCTGGAATTTTTTTAAATCCTGGAAAATGGCTTATCCCAATACACATAGAGGTATCTCATTATTGTACATGATTCATAGTATCCCATCTGATGGACACAGTACAATTTTGAACAGTTCCCTAGCGTTGGACATTTTGGTGGCTTCCAATATTTTGCTATAGTGAATATTTTTGTGCATATACAATATCTCACCTATAGGAATGTATTTGCAGGATAATTTCCTGGAAGCACTAGAAGCGCAACTGCTGGGTCAAAGGGCAAGTGTATTTAAAATGTTCAAGGTTATTACCAAGTTGCCTTTCACATCAATTCACTGTTTATGTCATTTTATGATCATACAGAAGCTTTTTTTAAATTCAGAGAAAAATATAACACAGTCATTGTCTTTGATAATAAGAAACCAGCATTTATGAAGCATCTACTGTGTATCAGGAACTTTACACATATTGCCAAAAACACTCAGGACCCCTCTGAGGCACAATGAATTAAGTATTTTGTTCGAGGCACCCACAAAGGAGGTGGCAGAACCAGAAACCAAGCCACGGTCTGTCAGGATCCTCAGCTTGGGCCTGGGCTTGCTCCTTGTCATCATGCAGAAGCTGACACCCTGGTATGAGGAACTGGATTCCAGCATAACTCACAGTGATGTCACATGACAGGTGTCTGCATGGAGGCCTGAACCAAGAGCTGGAACACAGACCCAGAGAACAGGGCAGGTCGGGTGGCGGTGGGGTAGCTGAAGGGGCTTCACAGAGGCAAGAGCCTTGAAGGTGAGGCCTAAGGGTTGGAGGGAACAGATTTTGCTGGTGAAAAGTAGACAAGGCTGCTCAGGGGAAAGGGATCCACAAAGACATAGAGGCCTGAAAATCAACTGGGGAAAGAAGAGCTAGTGTGCACAGAGCAGAGGTTGGTCTGGGGCTGAGGCTGGAAAGGTGGGGTGCAGGCAGCGGGTGAAGAACCCCTTGCAGGCTGCTCTATGGAGCTTGGGCCTTCCAGCGGGAGGCTGCTCATCTGGGAGGCTGGACAGGGCACATGGCATGGGGTGGAGCTCAGACTCTGGAGCTAATCTTACCTCCACCCCTTCCTGGCTCTGTGCGCTGTCTCCTCCTCTGTGAAACAGAGAATCTAATTCATAACATTGTGGGAATTAAATGTGCTAAGACAAGTTTAAAAAATAAAAAACACTGGCTGGGCATGGTGGCTCACGCTTGTAATCCCAGCACTTTGGGAGGCCGAGATGGGCAGGACGGGTGCATCACGAGGTCAGGAGATGAAGACCATTCTGGCTAACACGGTGAAACCCCGTCTCTACTAAAAATACCCAAAAAATTAGCCAGGCGTGGTGGCAGGCACCTGTAGTCCCAGTTACTCAGGAGGCTGAGGCAGGAGAATGGCGTGAACCCGGGAGGCAGAGCTTGCAGTAAGCCGAGATTGCGCCACTGCACTCCAGCCTGGGCAACAGAGCGAGATTTCGTCTCAAAATAAGTAAATAAATAAATAACACCTGACACTTCACAAGCACTCAAGAAGTGGTAGCCATTTATTAGCCAACAATTGAATTGTTTTAAAAAGTTGTTTTTTTAAATGGATAACCTCTTTTTTTTAGGTTGTTAAAAAAAATCTTAGTTGGCAGAGCATTGGTTCCATTTGGCAGGAGATGACAGGAGGTGATATCATAACGGCCCAGTCCAAGCACCACTGACAAGGGTTTTGATCAGAGCGATGTCAGGTCCATCTCTGGGCAGCACAGCTGCCGAGACAGCTCTCAGTAGTTTATATGTGTTGCCAAACAATAATTGTCCTAAAGTGTTGAAATGCTGTTACGCAAATGCAGATTTTAGAAAGTTAGCATTTATTTAGCTCTTACTATTATAATTAAAGTATCTAATCCTCACACCAACCTTATTGGAGAAGTACTCTTATTATCCCCATTTTACAGATGACAAAACTGAGATCCAAAGAGAGCTTTAGGCCATCTTCCCAAGGCCACACAACTAGGGTCCACACCAGGCTTTGTGAGTCCAGAGCTTGTTCTCATCTCTTTTTTTGTTTTTTGGTTTTTGGTTTTTATTAGAGACAAAGTCTCACCCTGTTTCCCAGGCTGGAGTGCAGTGGCATGATCTTGGCTCACTGCAACCTCCGCCTCCTGGGTTCAAGTGATTCTCCTGCCTCAGCCTCCCAAGCAGCTGGGATTACAGGCGTGCACCACCATGCCTGGCTAATTTTTGTATTTTTAGTAAAGATGGGGTTTCACCATGATGGCCAAGCTGGTCTTGAACCCCTGACCTCAAGTGACCCTCCCACCTCGGCCTCCCAGAGTGCTGGGATTACAGGCGTGAGCACCCATGCCCAGTGCTCTCACCTCTTTTTGGATCTGCCTTTCCAGTGGGAAACTGAATCAAGAATCCAGTTGGTGGTGGTGGTGGTGTTGCCTTCCCAACACTGTGGTCTTTGAAGTTGAGTTGTCTAAACTCTCCAACCTCCTGAATCCTGAATAGCTCTGTTCTCAGACCAGAGGGGAGCAGAGAGACAGGGGTAGCCACACAAGTTTCCTAATCTGGGGCATGACAAGCTAAGCTGCATTTGTTATTTTATTATATATTTTAATTTTTTTGAGACAGGATCTTGCTCTGTTGCCCAGGTTGGAGTGCAGTGGTGTGATCATAGCTCACTGTAACCTCAAACTCCTGGGCTCAAGTGATTTCTCTGCCTCAGCCTCCCCAGTAGGTGGGATCACAGGTGCTATATATATATATACACACATATATATGTATATATGTGTATATGTGTATATCTATACATGTACGTATATGTGTATATCTATACACGTACGTATATGTGTATATCTATACATGTACGTATATGTGTATATCTATACTATATATGTGTATATGTGTGTATATATATATTTTTAAATATAATTTAGAGACAAGGTGTCACTATGTTGCCCAGGCCTGTCTCAAAAGATCCCCCCCACCTCAGCCTGTCAAAATGTTAGGATTTACAGGCATGAGCCACCACCCCAGGCCCATGCCTGGCTAATTTTAAAATTGTTTTGTAGAGACAGGGGTCTCACTATGTTGCATAGGCTGGTCTCAAACTGCTAGGTTCAAGTGATACTCCCACCTCAGCCTCTAGAGTAGCTGAGACTACAGACAGGAGCCACTATGCCCGGCTGAAGTTGTGTTTTAGAAAACAGCTCTGATGTAGCAAGGCGGAGGCCTGAGGGGTGAAGAGAGAGACAGCAAGCGTCCAGGAAGTGTGTGGGGGAGGTGTGGGCTGGCAGGGCTGTGGGCAGGGCCAGGAGAAACCCTGAGCCTAGCCATCTCCCAGGGATGCTCTGAAATCCTCCTAAGCCCTTGTCCTGCAGCAGGTACTTACCTGACTAAAATTATCAATAGCCACAAGTGGCTACTGAGCCCTTGAAATGTGAGTAGTCCAAATTGAGAAGGGCAAGAAACAAAAAACATCAGATTTCAAAGACTTAGTATCAAAAAAAGAATGTAAGGTGTCTGAATGATTTTTAGATTAATGGCATGTTGAAATGAGAACATTTTTGGATATATGGGGTTAGATTGAAATATTATTACAATTCAAGTCACCTGTTCCATTCTTTTTTTTTGAGACAGAGTTTTGCTCTTGTTGCCCAGGCTGGAGTGCCATGCGCCATCTCCGCTCACTGCAACCTCCGCCTCCCGGGTTCAAGCGATTCTCCTGCCTCAGCCTCCCGAGCAGCTGAGATTACAGGTGTCCACCACCATGCCCGTCTAATTCTTGTATTTTTAGCAGAGAAGGGGTTTCACCATGTTGGTCAGGCTGGTCTTGAACTCCTGACCTCAGGTGATCCAACCGCCTCTGCCTCCCAAAGTGCTGGGATTACAGCGTGAGCCAACGCGCCCGGCCCCTGTTTCATTATTTTTTTCTATGATTCTCTTTTTGAAATGGAGTCTCGCTCTGTTGCCCAGGCTGGAGTGCAGTGGTGCGATCTCGGCTCACTGCAACCTCCACCTCCCGAGTTCAAGCTATTCTCCTGCCTCGACCTCCCAAGTAGCTGGGACTATGGGCGTGCACCACCATGCCCGGCTAATTTTTGTATTTTTAGTAGAGGCGGAGTTTCACCATGTTGCCCCGGCCAGTCTCGAACTCCTGACCTCAAGTGATCCTTCGCCTCGGCCTCCCAAAGTGCTGGGATAACAGGCGTGAGCCACCGGGCCCAGCCTACTTTACTTTTTTTTGTTTTTTTAAGTGGCTACTAGAAAACTTGAAATTACGCATATGGCTCACGATGGACAGAGCCACACTTCCCTCCTGGGAACCTGTCTTCCTTCCCTTTCACAGAAGCTGGGTGCTCAGGGGCGAAGGCTCGGCATCAGAGGCGTCCTCCTGGGTCCAGGATCTTCTGGGTTCTCTCCTGCTGCGGAACCACAGCGCGGCTCCTGCAACCCACGGGCTCCGCTGTGCTCTGCCGCCCCCTAGCGGCGCCTCTTCCAATCAGCCCTCCCGCTCTTCAGCGACATCCCATCTTCGTTGATGTGACTGGGAGGGACTCTGTATCCTGAAGCACTTTGGGGTCCCAAGGCGTTCATTCCACTACCTACCATCCTGTGCTGATTTTAGCTGAAAGCCACTTAATACAAAGAATTTAAGGAAAAAATTAGAGTTTAAGGCATGTCCTCGTCCCAGGTCTCAATATAACGAAAATGTCTTAGGTATCTCTTCTCCGATTGTGGCTTCTGGTTGGTGAAGAGTTATCGATGATGTCTGGAAAGCAATATTGCGCCTACTCCATTAAACTCCAGGATGTTAATAAGTAATTTGATTTACGGGACTAGATGTTTGGTCTCGGAAGGCAGTTTCCTGATTTTGGTAAAACAGGTTAGTAGTATAGAGATCAGTTAAACTGTACCCTGAGGATTATGGGGCAATAATGTATATAAAGTATTTACAACAGTGCCTAGTACATTATGAACTCTCAACAAATGTAGCTATTGATAGATGAATTGATTTTTTAATATATATATAAACAAAAATCAGGCCAGATGTGGTGGCTCACACCTATAGTCACAGCACTTTGGGAAGCCGAGGCAGGCGGATCACCTGAGCTCAGGAGTTCTAGACCAGCCTGGCCAACATGACAAAACCCTGTCTCTACTAAAAATACAAAAATTAGCCAGGCATGGTGCACACCTGTAATCCCAGCTGCTCTGGAGGCTGAGGCAGGAGAGTTGCTTGAACCCGGGAGGCGGAGGTTGCAGTTAGCCGAGATCACACCACTGCACTCTAGCCTGGGTGACAGAGTGAGACTCTGTCTCAAAAATAAATAAATAAATAAATAGTATAAACAACAATTGTAGGTTTGGGGAGTGTTACTTGCCCCTGCATGCATGCTAGAGTCCTAGCTCAGAACCTTTTTCACAAGTAAACAAAGGGAGTTGAAAGAAACGAAATTTCCTTTTTTTTTTTTTTTGAGCTGGAGTCTCACTCCGTTGCCCAGGCTGGAGTGCAGTGGCACAATCTCAGCTCACTGCAACCTCTGCCTCCCAGGCTCAAGTGATTCTCCTGCCTCAGCCTCCTGAGTAGCTAGGATTACAGGTGTACACCACCACACCTGGCTAATTTTTGTATTTTTAGTAGAGACGGGGTTTCACCATGTTGGCCAGGCTGGTCTCGAACTCCTGACCTCAGGTGATCCACCCGCCTTGGCCTCCCAAAGTGCTGGGATTACAGGTGTGAGTCACCGTGCCTGGCCAGGAAGTAAATTTCAATGGGTCACTGGGCTGGGAAAACATCCCGCTGGTCAGGCTCTTCCTGGAAAATTACCCAGTGAGACCAAACCGAAGTCAACTCGGCCACCCTGGGCAAGGGGAGCGAGTGGGGAAGAGGTCATGGATCAACTCCACAGAGAACTCTGGATTTTCCAGAGTGCACGAAGACATTCCCAGGGTTGTGCGGAATGGAAATATAAATTCAAGAAGGAAATGAAACAATAAAAAATGTTCAACTGTTCAAGAAAAGCTTGTTTGTGTTCTTGTGTATTTTTTAAAGTGGATGATTATGGGTATCAAATCACTATGGCATTTATATTCCCATGGATACATTTTCATAAGTGACTAACTGCTTTAAAGTGTTGACATTAGAATGGTGCTGGAAATTGGCCGGGTGCGGTGGCTCACGCCTGTAATCCCAGCACTTTGGGAGCCTGAGACGGGCAGATCGTGAGGTCAGGAGGTCAAGACCATCCTAGCTAACATGGTGAAACCCCGCCTCTACTAAAATACAAATATTAGCCAGGCGTGGTGGCGGGTGCCTGTAGTCCTAGCTACTCGAGAGGCTGAGGCAGGAGAATAGCATGAACCCGGGAGGCGGAGCTTGCAGTGAGCCGAGATCTTGCCACTACACTCCAGCCTGGGTGACAGAGCAAGACTCCGTCTCAAAAAAAAAAAAAAAGAATAGTGCTGGAAATTATAGACTTTGCAAGTTTATTTAAACTTACAGTGAAAAGTTCTACCTATGTCAAGGTTCTACATAACTTTTTAAAATTTTATTTATTTATTTATTTTGAGATGGGGTCTCACTTTGCCACCCAAGCCAGAGTGCAGTGCTGCCAACTCGGCTCACTGCAACCTCCGGCTTTCAGGTTCAAGCGATTCTCCTGCCTCAGCCTCCTGAGTAGCTGGAATTACAGGCGCACGCCACCACGCCTGGCTAATTTTTGTACTTTTAGTAGAGATGGGGTTTCGCCATGTTGGCCAGGCTGGTCTAGAACTCCTGACCTCAAGTGATCCACCCACCTTGGCCTCCCCAAGTGCTGGAATTATAGGCATGAGCCACCACACCCTGCTCAAAGTTCTGCATATAACTTTAAACACACAAAAGAAAAACACATCCTTCAAATTCTTGGAGGTGGAATGTGAGCAACTCTGAATCCCAGGGCTCAGGCTGTATACCTGGGAGTGGTTCGTCTGGGTTGTAGGACTGCAGGATCAACATTCCTTAAGGATATACCAGACTCCACAAAGCAGCTGTGCTGCTGTATTTCCCCCCAGCAGGCTTGGCAAGATCCATTGTTCCACATCCCCATGAAGGGGTAAAAGACAACGCCAACCTGAAATATGCCAGATTGGTATACTGATTATTGCAAGAGGAAAACACTGGAGAAATTGTAGTTTCTGAAAGGCTGAGCTGACCTGTCTCTTGCTACATGAAGCAAGCAATAAAGATTCCTCTGGGAGGAGTCCCTTCTCCACACCAGACAGAGAAAATAACACTTATCAACGGAGACTGGGAATTGGAAGTCACCATGGACCTGAATAAACATACTTAACAGTAACCCTTATCTTCCACTTGGTTCACAGCTCACCACTACCATGTATCTCCTAGTGACTTCCCTAGAAAATCTACTGCCCCATAGCCAGATTTTCTTGGTGCTGTCATTTCTTCTCAAATGTATCACTCTATCTAAAAAGTATAAAAGTTTCTTGCTTTGGCCACTTCTTCATGCTTCACCCTCTTACGAAGATCCCCATATACATGTAAAATTAATGAAATTTGTATACTTTTCTCTTGTTAATCTGCCTGTTGTTGATTTCGTTTCTAGATCCAGCGGAAGAGCTCACTAAGAGCTAAAAGAAGGGGTTACAGGTGATCTCTGGCTCCCCAACACTCCCCAAGTTGATGACTGGGTGGGGTCTTGCAGCATTCCTGAGGCAAACACATCCATCATCTCTCCAGGGAAGTCCAAACTAAGCAGAGGTTACTTGGAGCCAGGACCTCAGACTCCCAAGCCTGGTGAGTCAGGTTTTGGGGTTTTTGTATGTGTGTGTCTTGCTTTTTGTTTTTTTTTTTTTTAGAGACAGGGTCTTGCTCTGTTGCCCAGGCTGAAGTGCAGTGGTACAACCTTGGCTCACTGCATCCTCAAACTCCTGGGCTCAAGCAATCTCCCCACCTCAGCCTCCTGAGCAGCTGGGACTACAGGCATGGGCCACCATGCCTGACTAATTTTTATTATTATTATTATTTTTAGATATACGATCTCACTATGTTGCCCAGGCTAGTCTTGAACTCCTGGCCTCAAGCCATCCTCCTGCCTTGACCTCCCAAAGTTCTGGGATTATAGGTGTGAGCCACCGTGCCTGGCCAAGAGTCAAGGTCTGAACTAGATTGGATGGTTCTAATAGCTTCTCTTTACGAAAGCCCTCAGCACTCACCCCTAAGTTAAAGCTCTCTCTTCCCTGTCATACCTGGTTCCTGTCCCTCCCTGGTCAGCTTGGCTGCATGCCAGTCCTTGGCTCTTCCCCTCCCCACTTGCCTCCAAGCTAACCAGCTGCCTGTTCACACAGCCTTATTCTGGGTAGGAAGCTGGGAAGTTGGTAGCATTGGCTTGTTAGCCTCTTGTTCCTGTCCTCCAGCTACTTAAGTGGAGTCACACAGTATATTCAGACCCATATGTGTGGATTTCACTAGTCAAATCCTGGGAAGCCAGTCTCCTGCCTGTTGTTTCTGTGGGGCATGCCCACCCCCCGCTATGTATTGTTCTCCATGCTCAGGCCTTTGAATGGAGTTTGAATGGGGTTACCAATGGTGTCCACTTGGCTGGGGGCCAGGTTTGTAATGGCGGTAGGATGCGGAGAGCAGCAGCCCCAACCCTTTCTGGGAAACAAATTGACCACGTTGCTGTAGTTGGTTGTTATGACCACCAGAGTGCGCAGTATGCACAGTTTTGGGAGAGCCAGTTAAGAAGGGTGGCATTTTAAACCTAAAATTAAGTGATAGCAAAGACGGAACTTATGATGAAAAAAAAATGAAAATAAAATTAAACTAGATAAACCTACTGCCTCTGGGTATTCCAGCTGTGTTCCCTGTCTTCAACCTGGGCTCAGTAACAGCGCTTCAAGAAGGGTCCAGCTGGTCTTTCTTACCTGGCTGACCACTGAAACTGCCCTCCCGCTCCTGGCCCTTTTTGGCCCTGGGAAGGCCCTTGCAGCTGCTCCTGGGCCCCATCTCTCTAGAACAGATGCTGGTCCCATGCCCCTGCATGACGCCTGATGGGGCTGGGACATCCTTGGCCTTTCTGTTCCAGCAGTCTGATCTGTGGCCGACTTCTTCCCACATTTTTCCTTTGAAGGAGCTTTCTCTGTCCTCTACGTTGTGGTAGTGTGGTCCTTTTGCCTGTAACGAAATAGTGCCTGCTCTGTGTAAGAATGAAAGGCACTGGTGTCTTGTGGTCTTCCCCTAAGAGCAGAGATATGAGCCACGTGTTCGTGTTGGGTAGGACTTGTTGAAACTGACTCACTAAACAAAAACACTGAAGATTAATGTAAACCTAAATGCCAAATTGTTTGTCTGCATTAAAAGCAATGACGGCCGGGCGCGGTGGCTCACGCCTATAATCCCAGCACTTTGGGAGGCCGAGGCGGGTGGATCATGAGGTCAGGAAATCGAGACCATCCTGGCTAACACGGTGAAACCCCGTCTCTACTAAAAATACAAAAAAAATTTAGCCGGGCGTGGAGGCGGGCGCCTATAGTCCTAGCTACTCGGGAGGCTGAGGCAGGAGAATGGCGTGAACCCGGGAGGCGGAGCTTGCAGTGAGCCGAGATCGCGCCACTGCACTCCAGCCTGGGCAACAGAGCGAGACTCCGTCTCAAAAAAAAAAAAAAAAAAAAAAAAGCAATGCTAACCCATTCCATCTAACAAGGATTTTCCATGTGCTAAGCACTAAGCTAAATGCTTTACAGATACCATTTAATTCAATCATAGAAATTCTATGAAATTAATGATAATTCCTCCATGTTATGGATGAAGACTCTTAGACTCAGAAAGGTTAAGTGACTTGCCTGAGATCACAAAGCTTGTAAGTGGCAGTACTGGGATAGGAAATAGACTGAGCTGGCTTCCAGTTTGCCCTCTGTCTGCCTCCACCTGAGCTGCCCACTCCCTTTCCACCCTCCAGGCATGGCGCCAGCGTCCCTCGCCGCCGGGTGTATTGTGGTGCCCCCATTTGTGTGATATTGCAGGTGCACATTGACTCCTCACAGTGGGTATCGACACCTAGGGAGAGATCTGGAAACTTGTGCCCCCGTAGTTTACACTGCCTTACCAGAACAGTGTCATTTTTATTTTCCTGGGTCTTTTTTCTTTTTTCCAAAAGGAGTCTCGCTCTGTCGCCCAGACTGGAATGCAGTGGCGCGATCTCAGCTCGCTGCAACCTCCACCTCCTGGGTTCGAGTGATTCTCCTGCCTCAGCCTCCTGAATAGCTGGGATTACAGGCACGCACCACCACTTCCAACTAATTTTTGTTAGAGACGAGGTTTCACCATGTTGGCCAGGCTGGTCTCAAACTCTTGACCTCAAGTGATCTGCCTGCCTTGGCCTCCCAAAGTGCTGGGATTACAGGCGTGAGCCACCATCTCCAGGCTTTCCTGGGTCATTTTTATTTCCTTCTTTGTTCTTTTCAATATTTTTAAATGAAAGCATTTTATTGTTTAAATCAGGAAACTATTTTCATAATTCAGGGGTGTTCTCTTGCTCCCAAAGTGTTCAACCCATTTACGCTGCCTGGTGCATCCACTACTCTGGTAAACAACTGAGCCTCTTGTAAGCCTCCACTGAAGAACTGAAACTCTGTGACATCTTTTCCAACACCCTGCCTTCCCCAACGCCTTCTCACTGTAATGCCCCTTATGATGCCTATCACACTCATTTATCTGTATCCCCACTCCCAGCTCTGAGCTCCTGGAAGGCAGCAGCGGAGTCAGATTCTTCAGTGACACTAGGATCTGGCATCGGCACTGGTTCCAAGCAAGAATAACTAATGCCAATTGAATACACTGCATCCCGGATGCTTTACTATGTGCTAAGCACTTTGCCTGTATTAATTCATTTACTCTTACAACTATTCCAGGGTGTGGGTTTACTATTATTTTCATCACATTTTACAGATGAAGTAACTGATGCACAGATAACACACCTGAGGTCGCCTAGCTGGTAACTATAGAAACCCAGACCAGGAATGCGAGACCAGGCTGTCGGGCTCAAACATACGCCACACTGAAGAGGTGCTTGGTAATGCTTTGCTAAATGAAAAAACCTAGAGTTTCTCCAAAGTATCATTCAATCTGAAAAGTGTTTTGAATACAGCTGGGAGCAGTGGCCACACCTGTAATCACAACTATTTGGGAGGCTGAGTGAGGTGTGAGGATGGCGTGAGGCCAGGAGTTTGGGAGCAGCCTGGGCAACATAGCAAAACCCTGTCTCTAAAATAAATAAATAAATAAATAAAATTGATCAGGGGGAGTGCCTTGAATAGTCCCAAAGGCAGGAAATTACGCTTATTTTTTTGTGTGTCTTTTTTTTTTTTTTCTTCCTTTTTGTGAAGAACAGGGTCTTGCTATATTGCCCAGGCAGGTCTCGAACTCCTGGGCTCAAGCTATCCTCCTGCCTCTGCCTCCCTGAGATCTGGGATTACAGGCGTGAGCCACCGCGCCCAGCTTCAAAGGCAGGAATTTAAATCCACATCCCAGCCCACTGTGCGGATCCAGTGGCCACACAGCCAGTTTATTCAGGAAAACCTGAACAAAGTTAAGTGGTTGCACTCACTGAGTTCACCTCTCCTCATTTACTAAACCATTTGGACCTCAGTTTATAGAAGAGAAAGAACACGTATATGTGGGTGAGGGGCTGTGGTGGTCTCACTTCCCTGGCTCCAGGCCTCCAGGCCTCCAGGAGCAATCCTGAACTTCCCTTAATCTGCCTCTTCCATCCTTATAAAGCTGATCTTCTAGGTCAGGGTGGGGTCCCAGGAACTCACCTGACTATGAAACTTAACTGTGAGTTTGCTATCAACTGTCTCTAAAAAAGAAAAAGAAAAAGGAATTGCCAGTCACCCCAGCCTTCAACAACCACCACCCTGATCAGTCAGCAGCCATCAACATCAAGGCAAGATCTTCCACCAGCAAAAAGATTATGACTCACTGAAAGCTCAGATGATCATTGGCATTTTTTATCAATAAAGTATTTTTAATTAAGATATGTACATTTTGGTTTTAGACATAATGCTATTGCACACTTAATAGACTACAGTTAAGTGTGCAATGGTGCAAATATAACTTTTACATGCACTATAGTGTAAATATAACTTTGATATGCACTGGGAAACAAAACAAATTCATGTGACTCACTTTGTTGGGATGTGTCTGGAGCCAAACCTGCAACGTCTCTGAGGTATACCTGTAATTCTAAATGTTCTAGTAGCAAAAAGCAAAAAGAAATAGATGAACTTAATTGTAATAACATTTTATTTAACCCTATATATAAAGTGTTATTGTTTCAACATGTAATCAATATAAAATATTAATGAGACATTATATTCCTTTTTGTATTTCCAAATCTGGTGTGTATTTTATGCTTACAGCATTTTTCCATCCAGACTAGCCATTTTTATGTGCTCAAAAGCCCCATGAGGTCAGTGCCTATGGTATAAGATAATACAAATGTATAGTCTGAATAAGAGACTCTGAGTTTTTTTTTTTTTTTTTTTTTTCCTGAGACGGAGTCTTGCTCTGTCGCCCAGGCTGTAGTGCAGTGGCGCCATCTCGGCTCACTGCAACCTCCGCCTCCCAGGTTCAAGCAATTCTCCTGCCTCAGCCTCCCGAGTAGCTGAGATTACAGGTGTGTGCCACCACACTCGGCTAATTTTGTATTTTTAGTAGAGATGGGGTTTCACCATGTTGGCCAGGCTGGCCTTGAACTCCTGACCTCTGGTGATCCATCCACCTCAGCCTCCCAAAGTGCTGGGATTACAGGCGTGAGCCACAGCTCCTGGCCTGAGACTCTGAGTTTTCTATCATAGATCACATTGTAGATGAAAAGTTTTTTTTTTAAAAAAAAGAGACTCTGAGTTTTCAGAAGAAAGGATTATGCCATTTTGTGTTGTAGGAAAAGACATCCCCATTGTTTCACAAGTGGTCGCATGATCAGAAATCCATATATGTTCGTGTCTCCTTACATTTTTTTTCTTTTTTCTTTGTTTTCATTTCACAAGTAACACATGCATATATATATTTTTTTCTTTTTTGTTTTTTGAGACAGAGTCTCGCTCTGTCACCCAGGCTGGAGTGCAGAGGCACGATCTGGGCTCACTGCAACCTCCACCTCCCAGGTTCAAGCCATCCTCCCACCTCAGCCTCCTGAGTAGCTAGGACTACAGACCCACACGCCCAGCTAATTTTTGTATCTTTTTGTAGAGATGGAGTTTTGCCCAGGCCCGTCTCGAACTCCTGAGTTCAAGCAATCTGCCCACCTCAGCCTCCCCAAGTGCAGGGATTAAAGGCGTGAGCCACTGCACCCAGCCAATATATTTTAAGAAAAGTCAAGCCATAAATTGCTCCTTAACCTCCCCTAATACTGCTGCATTCCCCAGAGGTAACCTTAGTTCTCTATCAGTTGAGTATAAATCCTTCCATACATTTACATGCATAGATATGTTTTATTATATTTTACATAAATATTATAGAGTAATATTTTTCTGCATCTTGCTTTTTTTCACATAGCAGAATTACTTAATGCTTTTTCCATGCAAGTACACAGATCTATTTCTTTTTTTTTAGTGATTACATAATATTCCATAACCATTTTCCTACTTCAGGGCTTTTTGGCTGTTTATAATTTATTTTTTCACTATTACTAATAATGTTCTAATAAGCATTCTTGTAATCACCCCATGTACATTGTGTGAGTCTTTTTCTGCAGTAGATAAAAAGAAATGTATTTTCTGGGCCAAAGGGAATCTACATCTTCAATTTTAGTGGATACTGCCAAGCTGCCCTCCAAAAAGGAAGTACCAATTCACACCTCACCTACAGAGTGAGGATGTTTGTTTTATCACACTCTTCCATACACTGAATCTTATTTTTATTTTAAGTAGGGGTATTCAGAAGTGTGAGTCTTTTAAGCAATGATACAAAAGCAATAAAAAAAAAGATCTGTTCAAATTTATTTGACAGCATTCTTCTATGAATATGCAGACTCAATTTGAGACCCAGAGTGAGTCACTGATCAATTTTAAACAAAACACTGAGAATCCAATGACATCATTGTGTCTCTCTGGGGGTGTCAGACTCTAAAGTAAGTGACAACTGAATATAGTCGCTATTGCCCTAGAACAGCAATCCCTTAACAGGTGCCATAATGGAGACCCATGTACCCTCTCTCTGTGAACAGTAGAAGCTCCTCTGTCTTCCCACCTCCCTCTGAGCCACTCTGGAGCAGTGAGGCAGGCACACCCACCCCTATTCCCACGACTTCAATTCTCTTTCTTTGCCAAGCTCATCGAGTGGGATTCAGGTAAGTTTTTCTCTCTTTCTTTCCTTTTTTTTTTTTTCCTGAGACAGAGTCTCACTCTGTTGCCCAGGCTGGAGTGCAGTGGCGCAATCATGGCTCACTGCAAACTCCACCTCCTGCGCTCAAATGAGTCTCGTGCCTCAGCCTCCTGAGTAGCTGGGACTATAGGCCTGCCATCATGCCTGACTAATTTTTGTATTTTTAGTAGAGACGGGGGTCTCACCATGTTGGCCAGGCTGGTCTCAAACTCCTGGCCTCAAGTGATCTGCCTGCCTTGGCCTCCCGAAGTGCTGGGATTACAGGCGTGAGCCACCATGCCCAGCCTTTGGATTCAGGTAAATTCAATGCTTTCTATGAGGTTCTACTGTTTTCAAACTGTTCCCAGAAACTGTGGGCTGTATTCATTTGACCAGGGCAAATCTCACCTTTGGTTTTCAGGAATTTCAGGAAAGTACCTTTGTGACGCTCAGAGGGCCCCTGCATGGCCCAAGTGTGGCCACAAAGCCATATTTTTCTCAGACACACACAGTCCTCTCTTCACAATCCCAGGGAGAATTCTGTGACTCTGTGGGCTGAACAGATAAAGCCTTGCTTTCATTTTGGATACCCAGGGAGAGATTAAGGCACTCTCACTGTCCTTGCTCTTAATTACAACTCAGTGTATCACAACTACTATTGTTTTCATAGCATTATTTTGAGTACTATATTGCCTTTTTCTTATAATAGTCTTAGACAAAGGAAGGGCAGTATGATCAAGACAAAGGCTTCCTTCATGGACTTTCTCCTGGGACTAGGGGGTGACACTCAGGCAGGCAGCCTCCTGGCATCCCTGGGGAAGGGCAGCAGATGAGCTACCACATCATCAAGAAGCATTTACCTCAGAGAACTTGCCACTGTCTGATCCTCAGCTTTGAGCCTCCAGAATTTGGTTTTCTGAACATCCCAAATAAGATACAGCATGTGCAGGCAAATTCATATTAGTTCCACGCTACGAGTAACTATCTAAAAACCAGAATCCATGCATTGATTTGTTTGCTCTTCAAACTTTGACTGACACTGGGCCTGAGCCTGTCCAGATCCAAGCTCTGAATAGAATGAATAAAATAGGCTCAGTCCAGGCTCTTACAGAACCTACAGTCTACTGAGAGAAACACATAGACCATTCCAACCCAGTGAGCTGAGTGTCACAGGAGGGGATGCACAGAACGCTATCAAAGCAATGAGAGGAGGCAAAACCCTGAAGAAGTGGTGTATTTAACATGCGGGCAGCAGGGAAGGGAAAGAGTCAGTATGAAGTGAGATTACCATGGGCAACGGGGAGAATGATTGCTAGAGCAAGGTCTTAAGGAAACAGAACTAAACTGGGACCAGAACACAATGGGAAGGCTGGCCTTGGGAAGAAAGAGGGTCTCTTTCCTAAGCCAGGAAGGAAGGAGGAAAGGATAGCCAGGGACACATGGGATTATAGGATGGGCGGGAGGCAGTTTCTGGTTGTGCAATCTATTAGGGGGGCAAGGGACTAGGAGGGAGGTTGACTATTGAAAGTGAGGAGGAGGTTCTGGGGTTCTAGCTTTGTCAAAGATTATAATAGGGACCGTGGGAGAATGTGAGGCATATGGGAATGAAAAATAGAAGCGATTCACTGAGAGGGTCTAGGAGCCTGCTGTGATTTTACTCTGATCCCAGCACGCAAGGCCAGGTGCTCTCCCTCAGCGCCCACATCTCTAGTGAATCCATAGGCAGGTGGATTTACCAGGCTCATGTTTTCAGCAACCTGGCCCCACTCTATAGACAGACCAAGGAGTTGGATGAAGAGGCACATGAAGAGCAGAGAGAGATAACAGATGGATGGGGGGTGGGGGGGGGAAGAAAAACAACTTATTCCTAGGTTCCTCATCTTGGTAAGGATTGTCGCCAAGCATTCACAACTGAAGTCAGAAACTAGGGCTTCTGCTGGGCACAGTGCTTCACGCCTGTAATCCCAGCACTTTGGGAGGCCGAGGTGGGTGGATCATCTGAGGTCAGGAGTTCGAGACCAGCCTGGCCAACATGGTGAGACCCTGTCTCTACTAAAAACACAAAAATTAGCCAGTGGTGGTGCATGCCTGTAATCCCAGCTACTCGGGAGGTTGAGGCAGGAGAATCGCTTGAACCCAGGAGGCAGAGGTTGCAGTGAGCCGAGATTGCGCTACTGCACTCTAGCCTGGACAACAAAGGGAAACTTTGTCTCAAAAAAAAAAAAAAAGATAGATCCACAGCTACCATCTCTTTGGTTCTTTGGTTCATCCACTTCTTTTCCTTTCTTTTCTTTTTTTTTCTTTGAGACGGGGTCTCGCTCTGTCACCCAGACTGGAGGGCAGTGGCTTTGACCATGGCTTACTGCAATTCCACCTCTCGGGTTCAAGTGACTCTCATGCCTCAGCCTCCCAAGTAGCTGGGATTACAGGCGTGCACCACCACACTAGGCTAATTTTTGTATTTTTAGTAGAGATGGGGTTTCACTATGCTGGCCAGGCTGGTCTCAAACTCACGACCTCAGGTGATCCACCTGCCTCGGCCTCCCAAAGTGCTGGGATTACAGGCATGAGCCACCGCGCCCATCCACTTTTTGTCATCTTCCCTGGTCCCTCTGCTCAGCAACCACAGAACTCTGTTAATTCCGTGATTATAGGACAGGTCACTTTACATCAGAGTTGTTTTAGAGCTGGAGTTAAACACTCCAATGGCTTCTAGGACCAGAAAATAACTGAGTGGTGCTGCCAGGGAGTGTGGCACCTTGGAAAGACTCTTTTTGTGTAACAGGAAAGGAGAGCACTGCCCATGAAGAAATGTGGGTTCACTATTTTGCTAGATATTTCTATATCCTTAAGAAAAACCTAAAATAGTTTTAGAGAGAAATACCCTGACTTTTAAATGAAGAAAACTATTCAAACTTAAAATAAAACTGTTGGCTGGGTGCGGTGGCTCACGCCTGTAATCCCAGCACTTTTGGAGGCCGAGGTGGGCGGATCACAAGGTTAGGAGTTCAAGACAAGCCTGGCCAACATAGTGAAACCCTATCTCTACTAAAAATATGAAAATTAGCTGGACATGGCGGTGCTTGCCTGTAGTCCCAGCTACTCAGGAGGCTGAGGCAGGAGAATCGCTTGAACCCGGGAGGTGGAGGTTACGGTGAGCGGCGATCGCACCACTGCACTCCAGCTTAGGCAACAGAGTAAGACTTCGTCTCAAAAATAAATAAATAAATAAAATAAAACTGTTATTGAAGTGTTTAGGGGTAAAGTTTACCAATGTCTGCAACTTACTTTGAAATGCCTCAAAAGATGTATTGGTGGGTGGCTACAGGGATGAGTAGATCCACGATAAAGCAACAGCAAAATATTAATTGTAGCATCATTCTCAATTCCCCCTCAGCTTGGTGATGCATACACGTACAGTTTTTTCAACTGTTCTGTAAGCTTCATTAAAAAATGAAGGGACATTTTTAATTTTTTATTTTTTTTAGACTGAGTCTCACTCTGTTGCCCGGGCTGAGTGCAGTGGCACAATCACGGCTCACTGCAGCCTAGACCTCCTGTACTCAAGCAATCCTCTCACATCTCCCTCCAGAGTAGCTGGGACTACAGGCACACACCACCACACCTGGATAATTTTCTTTTTTCACTTTTCATAGAGATGAGGGTGTCTCATTCTGTTGCCCAGACTGGTCTCAAACTTCTGGCCTCAAGCTATCCACTTGCCTTGGCCTCCCAAAGTGCTAAGATTACAGGCCTGAGCCACTGCACCTGGCTAGAATTTTTTTTAATTGAAAAAGAAGGCCAGGCACGGTGGCTCATGCCTGTAATCCCAGCACTCTGGGAGGCTAAGGCAGGTGGATCACTTGAGGTCAGGAGTTCAAGACCAGCCTGGCCAACATAGTGAAACTTCATCTCTACTAAAAATACAAAAATTAGCTGGGTGTGGTGGTGTGCACCTGTAATCCCAGCTACTCAGGAGGCCAAGGCAGAAGAATCACTTGAACCTGGGAAGTGGAGGTTGCAGGGAGCTGAGATCGTACTACTGCACTCCAGCTTGGGCAACCGGAGAGAAAAGAAAGAAAGGAGAGAAAGAGAGAGAGAAAGAGAGAGGAAGGAAGGAAGGAAGGAAGGAAGGGCGGGCCCATGGGACCTTCTGGGACTTCTGTTACAAATTGTAATGGACTTGATGAAAGTAAGGTGGGGTAAATGAGAACAACATAAAGGACACAGAACGCAGTCCCTAGGACACTTAGTAAGTATCAGGTTTTATTATTATCATTTGGAATGGAGGAAATGGGTACAGACTGGGGGACATGAGTTGTTTTGTTTGTTTGTTTGTTTGTTTGTTTGAGACAGAGTCTCACTCTGTGGTCCAGGCTAGAGTGCAGTGGTAGGATCTTGGCCCACTGCAACCTCCATCTCCCAGGTCCAAGCAATCCTCCCACCTCAGCCTCCCGAGTAGCTGGGATTACAGGTGCCCGACACCACTCCCAGCTAATTTTTCTATTTTTAGTAGAGACGGGGTTTCACCATGTTCGCCAGGCTAATCTCGAACTCCTGACCTCAAGTAATCCGCCCGCCTTGGCCTCCCAAAGAGGAGTCTTAAATGAGTTTCACTGAGGGATTTCAGCAGATTTTCATTACAGTGTCCACCCTGAAAGTGTAGGGGCCAGAGTTCCACGCTGGTTAATCTCTCTTGCTGTGTGAACTTATACCTGTAATTTCCACCTCTGCACCTCACATTGCTTGTTTTGAAACTATGAGAATTGAACTCTAAGGTCCCCTGAAGTTTAGAAGTCCTGCTGGATGAAGCCCCTTTCCTGTTCCTGCCTACATTCTTCTTTCCCTGGACGCCTTACTTACGTAAAAACTACATTTCCCATGAGCACCCACAGGCGTGCACGCAGCGCAGCCCTCCGTCGTCGCTCGCGCCCTTTATACTCACTTCCGCCCGCGAGCCACTTCCTTTCCTTTCAGCGGAGCGCGGCGGCAAGATGGCAGTGCAAATATCCAAGAAGAGGAAGGTGAGCCTCTGGGGACTGGGTTCGGAGAACGACGGCGCCGCGCGGGTCGAGGGCTTCTCGGGGTGCCACCGCGAGGCCTGCAGCTCCGTGGCCTGCCCTGGAAGCGGCCTAGGCTTCCTGGCGTTCCTGCGGGCCGCGGATGGCGGTGGATTGAGTGAGAGGCCCCAGCCAGGAGGGCGCTGTGTGGCCGGGTTCCAAGTGAAGCGCAGAGAGATGGGCACCAGGCGCCCCTTCTGTCCCGGAGAAGGCGTTTGTGAGCATTTGTCGGTCAACGGAATTAGTAAACGTGGTATTTTGAGGGCGTGTGTCATTTCCCTCATGTCTTATCCCGTGGTTTTGGGAAGAGAAGGCAGCAGTGTATTCTTGCCTTAACTGGTCGTTTCTGGGTACAGTCCGCTGGCCCCAGGACCTCAACTTGAAGGGTTGCTGACGGTTGCTTGCTCCGTCTGGGGACCCCGGGAGGAAGCTGCCTCGGATTTAACGCCTTGTCATTACATGGGATAGAACTGTGTAAAAATCATTAGCTTTAAAAATAGACAGTTTGTCATTTCGTATATACACTTCGATGTCAAAATTAAATCCACAACTTCTCGAGAGTTAGGATTTGCCAGCTCTGTTGGTACCGTAAAGCCAAATAACATGGCTGGGATTCTTTAGACGGTGCAGGTTGTGTCTACAAGTGAGAGAGCTTATATGTTAAGTCTACTATCTATTCCTTAACAGTGACAAGTACAGTGTCTTTGCTGTGCTGAATGAAGTGTAAATAGGCCATTAGAGCAGTTTCTTGTTTTGCATGTGGAACTGTTTTAAACCCTTCGATGAAGAGATGATGACGAGTCTGACTTGGGGATGTTCTCTTTGCCCAGGTGGCCTACTCTGTGCTGCGTTCTGTGGCACAGTTTAAAGAGCCCTGGTTGAAGTAATTTCCTAAAGATGACTTAGAGGCATTTGTCTGAGAAGGGTTGCTGCACTCCTGTTGGAACAAGGGTTTGGAACCATTGGTTGGAGGTATTTAGTTTTGGTGAGGGATGCATTGACTAATAAGACTAGACTGGCTCAGGCGAAAGTGAGCCTACACCGATCTCCTAATTTTGAACTTTGCTTTGTTTGGATTAGTTTGTCGCTGATGGCATCTTCAAAGCTGAACTGAATGAGTTTCTTACTCGGGAGCTGGCTGAAGATGGCTACTCTGGAGTTGAGGTGCGAGTTACACCAACCAGGACAGAAATCATTATCTTAGCCACCAGGTAAAACTCATTTGACTGGCCATCACCTATAATTGTTATAAATGCTAAGTTGGTTTATTTATTTATTTATTTTTTTGAGACGGAGTCTTGCTCTGTCCCCAAAGCTGGAGTGCAGTGGCGCGATCTCGGCTCACTGCAAGCTCCGCCTCCCGGGTTCACGCCATTCTCCTGCGTCAGCCTCCCGAGTAGCTGGGACTATAGGCGCCCGCCACCATACCTTGCTAATTTTTTGTGTTTTTAGTAGAGTTGGGGTTTCACCGTGTTAGCCAGGACGGTCTGGATCTCCTGACCTCGTGATCCGCCTGCCTCAGCCTCCCAAAGTGCTGGGATTACAGGCGTGAGCCACCGCGCCCGGCAGGTTTATCCTTTATGAACTTAAGGGGACAGACGGAACAGTGAATCTGGGCTTAGTGAATGTAATTGCTTCTTAAAAGCTAGATTTTAAGGCCAGGCGTAGGATCACTTAAGCTCAGGAATTCAAGATCAGCCGGGGCAACATGGGGAAACCCCCGCTCTACAAAAAATAAAAAAGGGTGTGGTGGTGCATGCATGTGGTCCCACCTATTCCAGAGGCTGAAGCAGGCGATGGCTTGAGCTCAAGAGGTTCAGGCTGCAGTGAGCCATTGGTGTGATCCAGCCTGGGTGACAGAGTGAGACCCTGTCTCAAAAAAAAAAGCTGCGTTTTAAAAATTTTAGTTTTTGTCAATGAAAATTATATGCTTTGTGGCAGAGATTTTGCTACCACACATATATGCAAGATTTAAAGTTACATCTAGCATTTGTGAGAATCTTGAATTGTCACTTTTCCCCCCCAGAACACAGAATGTTCTTGGTGAGAAGGGCCGGCGGATTCGGGAACTGACTGCTGTAGTTCAGAAGAGGTTTGGCTTTCCAGAGGGCAGTGTAGAGGTGAGTGATTCTGGCATATGCCAGAGGTAATGGCTCTTCAGAATGATACTTCTAAAAACTCTCAACTTGGAGACTTTAATTGTTTGTTCATTACAAATGGACTGGTATAACTGTTGAAATTCTCTTAATGAATAATGGGCTTAACTTTGTAAGCCTATTCTGCTAATGGCTGATGGTTAAAGGATTTTACATTCAACTTGGGTATAGAAATGATGCATATGATGGATTAACTGTCCCCATTGGTGTACTTGGCATGGCCAAAGGAGCCAGGGTGGGAGGGCAAGGAACCTGCATTGTGTGTAGGTGGTAGAAGTGCTTTAGGAATTGAGGGATACTGAAATTATATGCTGTATATGATGGTGGTGTCCGATCTTTTGGCCTCCGTAGGCTACGTTGGAAGAAGAAATGTCTTGGGCCACACTACTACTGGTAGCGCAAAAAATCACGATGTTGAATTTGTGTTGGGCCACAATCAAAGCCATCTCCTGGGCAGCATGCGGCCCGTGGGTTGGGCAAGCTTGGTGTAGAAAGTGATACTTGTGTGGCAAATGCCAAATTTTCAACTTTCAGTTGAAAATAATGGTGATGGTAACAGGATATCCCTTGCTTCCTTTAAAGCTTTATGCTGAAAAGGTGGCCACTAGAGGTCTGTGTGCCATTGCCCAGGCAGAGTCTCTGCGTTACAAACTCCTAGGAGGGCTTGCTGTGCGGAGGTAAGTGTCCTGAGACCTAATGGTCATGACCTTTTGTGTGTATCAACATACATGTCTGCCATTTGTTAATTTAGCAGATGAACTGTTACAAAGTTACAGGATCTGCTAGTCTCCCAGGGTTATAATAAGATACTAAGTCATGCCCTCACTGAACTGGCAGGCTAACAAGACTACTAAAGCAGCAAGAACTGTAAAGGGTGGTCAGTCCTGTAATGGAGAAGTGTTCTGGGTGCTTTGGGAGTTAAACACAAATAGAACTGTCCAAGGAGGGGACCAACTCCTGTTGGTCTTCTTGAGAAGGCTTTACAAAGAGCCCTGTTGCGGGGGGCGGGGCAGTGGGCAATGAGGAATAATTAGGCCTGTTACTGGGTGTGTTACGTATCCCTAGGTAGAAGTGCCTTAGTACTAGTTAGGATACCATGAAACTTTAGTAGCAATCATTCAAATCTGCTTAGTGTGTTCACTCTTAAGATGGTATTGTGAAGAGATAAGATAGACCTGATGCAAAATAGCTTAAAATCTAGACACTTAACCTCTGAGTTGCATGCAGATAGTAGTAATGTGAGGGTCTACTGGTAAGATTTCAACAGGAAGTTCTTTGTGCAGTTTGACTGTATGTAAAGGCACTGAAATGCCTTGCCTAGAGGAATGACAGGAAAGCTGTGCTGTAGGAAGGTTGACTGGTAGGGATGGGTAGTGTAGGCAAGGCTCTAGGTAAGGACATAGAAAAGACGGCTTACCTGGTTTGAGTGCCAGCTAGGCTGCTTAGAACAATGGTTCTCAAGATTAATGCCAGCCCCAGACCCACCAAATGGGAAACTGGATGTGTGACTCAGCAATCTGTCTTAATAACCCCTCCACATGCTGTTTGCACACATTGAAGCAAGTTAATGAACCTCTCAGCCTGGGATCTGTTATCTTCTAAGGTGGACCATTATACCACCTCTCAGTTGTGGAATATTAAGTAAGATAATGTGAAAGGGCCTGGAGGTGGCTAGCTCTCCAGTTAGTATCTCGCAGAGCGTAAACTGCCGAATGAGTTGGGGGGTAGGTCATATTTTAAAGTGTTTTATCAGCGTTCTAATAGCAAGATAGCCAGGATCCTAGGTGGGTAAGCTTTCCTAGTGAATGAGACTTCGGAGGTTGCAGAGTATTTCAAGGGACCACAAAGTGGGTAATTGTGGAGTGTAAATGTGGTTCTCAGTTTTGGTTATACATGAGAATCACCCAGGGAGCATTTTTAAATAGATATTCCTGGACTTTGCACATTTAATTGGCCTAGAGTAGGGCCTAGATGTCAGGGTTTCTTTTGTTTTTTATTTTAGCCTTCTGAGGTGATTCCAGTATGCAGCCAGGGTTGGAAAGTACATATTTAGGAGCTTGACATACTTGATGAATATTACCCTAAGGTTCGGAATGATAGGTGTGGAAGAGAATTGGTATTCTTGGGGCCGGACTCTGGTCAAATTATTCTCCATTAAAGGAACATTGAAAACCAAGTCTTTGTTTTGTTTTTTAAACTTGGTGGAGGTCCTTGGCAATAACACAGTGGCTCTCTTCTGTTCTTTTAAAGGGCCTGCTATGGTGTGCTGCGGTTCATCATGGAGAGTGGGGCCAAAGGCTGCGAGGTTGTGGTGTCTGGGAAACTCCGAGGACAGAGGGCTAAATCCATGAAGTTTGTGGATGGCCTGATGATCCACAGCGGAGACCCTGTTAACTACTACGTTGACACTGCTGTGCGCCACGTGTTGCTCAGACAGGGTGAGCAGCTGAGAGTGCTTGGCAAAGGGCATTTGTGGACAGATTTGGTTTTCCACAGACATCTTAAGTATTTGGGGGAGTTTATCATGGAAGTAGCTGGGCATGTTCATATTCCTTGGTGTATCGATTGCCACGTTGATCTGTAAGAATCGATTTGCTGAGATCTGTCAGATCCAAGAGTTGGTTTGTCCTTGTTTTAGCCATCTGTGTACCCTTCAGTGATGACACGATGACGAGTCAGAAAGGTCACGTCCTGCTCTTGGTCCTTGTCAGTGCCATGTTCTGTGGTGCTGTGCACGAGTTCCTTTGGCAGAAGTGTCCTATTTATTGATCGATTTAGAGGCATTTGTCTGAGAAGGGTCCAGACCCAGGGGTGCTTGAGTAAACTGCTTGCTCTCTTTGGTCTTGTGTGATGGGGGCCTTTGAGACCCCAGCTGTGTGCTAACAACTGTGGTGTCCTCTAGGTGTGCTGGGCATCAAGGTGAAGATCATGCTGCCCTGGGACCCAACTGGTAAGATTGGCCCTAAGAAGCCCCTGCCTGACCACGTGAGCATTGTGGAACCCAAAGATGAGATACTGCCCACCACCCCCATCTCAGAACAGAAGGGTGGGAAGCCAGAGCCGCCTGCCATGCCCCAGCCAGTCCCCACAGCATAACAGGTATGTCTGCAAGGGCAGGGGCCTCTTGGGGCATAATAGGGTCCTTCCGAGTCTTTCTGTTAATACTTGTATCCCACATTCTGGTAAGCGTTTGGTGAATAAAAATTTCATTTATTTGCTTTATGTGGGAGAATACAAGTTGAAACCTGGGGTCTATTTAACCCTTGGTTCCAATGGGACAGGTGTTGCCTTTATTCTTTCCAGAAAGAAGTTCCTGCTTTTACTCGTGTATATGAAATAGTTTTCCCTTATCCTCCCTTATTTGCTCAAAATTTTTGGCTCAGTGCAACCTCTGCCTCCCATGTTCAAGCAATTCTCCTGTCTCAGCCTCCCGAGTAGCTGGGATTATAGGCACCTGCCACCAAGCCCAGCTAATTTTTGTGTTTTTAGTAGAGACGGGGTTTCACCTTGTTGGCCAGGCTGGTCTCAGACTCCTGACCTCAGGTGAGCCACTGTGCTTGGCTGCTCAAGATTTTCTAGGCACTTTTGCTATTCTGTCCTTTAGCAGCCCCTGTAAAACACTAACAAGCCTCCTGTGGTCAACACTTGGGGTTTTTTTGTTTATAGGTGTTGTCTCTCCAGGTGCCTTGTATTTTTTTTTTTTATATGAAAAAGGACAAACCCTTATGTATGCATTTTATTAATGTTGCTGCAAACCCTAAGTGGGAGTGTGTATCCATTTGGTAAATCAGGAACTTAATAACTCTGGTAAAGTTTCTTACTTTTGTGCTTTATTTGGTTTCAGGGTCTCCTTGGCAGCTGTATTCTGGAGTCTGGATGTTGCTCTCTAAAGACCTTTAATAAAATTTTGTACAAAGACACAAGGTCTGACTAGACTGTTCAGTATTCAGACTGAGGGGCATGTTGGCCTCTGGAGCATTACATATCTTCTTGGTTTTAACCATACTTGTGGTATTTGCAAGGGCCAGAACAGTAAGACCCAAGCAGAGCCAACCAGAGAAATAATATTTGTGTGATAGAGAAGGCTGATAGCAAGCAAGGCAGCACCTTGATTCGTTGTCCTGTAGTTCAGGATTGTAGGTTTAGAAGAGGGATATGTTTGAGTTTTTCCTATGCATAAGGCGATCCACGTTGCACATAGAAAGTGAATATAAATGGCCATTATATTTTGTGTCATGCTGTGCTCTAAGTGTTCTTTACATATGTACTCGTTAATCAACCTCTCTAAAGTGTAAAGGAAATTTGCTTGCACCACTGAAGGCACATAAGGCTCAGAAGTAAATTTGCCTAAGCAGTATAAAGCTATCATTAGAATCCACATTCCTAAGTTGTGTTCTCTTAGGGGATCATGGAACCAGTCATTGGTACTACAGGCTATTATGTTCTGGAGAACTGTGAAGAACATTTAAATTGTCTCTGATTTTATCTATCAATGTTTTGAAGTATTTTCTACCAGTGTCTGTACTTCACAAGAAATTCGGCACTATTTTTTCAGGCAAAACTAGTGAGGGACAGGTTGGCTTGAAAATCATGAGACTGTTGTTAAATCAGATGCTGGTTGATCACAGAGGGGACTTCCAGGGAAAGCTGTTATCAGGTGGCTGCTTCCTGGTGATGCAGCCTGGCTGATGAGATAACCCTGGCTCCACAGATGGCTTAGCAGGTGCTGTGATGATTTGGTTTTCTTCTCAATTAGACTGAGCTGCACATGGTGTTTATATTGCTTGGCACATGGTAAGGGCTTAATATTTGAGGTAATTATGTAGGGCGTACACTGACAAGTATCTGACCCCCCCTTCCTTTTTGACTCATAAATTGGTCATCTTAACCATTTAAGTGTACACTTCTATAGTGACAGAGTTAGCCCTCTGTCCAAGGGATTTGCATCTGTGGATTCAACCAACTTTGGGTCAAAAATAATCAAAAAGGATGGTTGTGTGTGTATTGAACATGTAGACTTATTTTTCTTATTTTCAAAATACTATATTTTCTTGTCACTTATTTTCTTGTACACTGCAGTTGTAACAGCTATGTAGCATGTACATTAGGTATTAAAAGTAATCCAGTGAAGATTGAAAGTCTAAGGATGTGCCTAGGTTATCTTAGGTATAAATACTCTACCATTTTGTATAAGGAGTTTAAGCATCTGGGGATTTTGGTATTTGAAGGGGGTCATGGAACCAATCATTGGTACTGCAGGAAGACTGCTCTATATTCTCATTGTGCATCAATCTCCAGAACTTCATCTTGCAGATGTGCTGCCCCTCCCTCACCTTTTTGAAAGAGCCTTTGATGATTATATGGATTCCTGTCTTTTTTATTTTTTGAGGTGGAGTTTTGCTCTTGTGTGCCAGGCTGGAATGCAGTGGTGCTATATCGGCTTACTGCAACCTCCGCCTCCTGGGTTCAAGCCATTCTCCAGCCTCAGCCTCCCGCTAGCTGGGATTACAGGCACCCGCCACCATGCCCAGCTAATTTTTGTATTTTTAGTAGAGACCGGGTTTCCCCATGTTGGCCAGGCTGGTCTCAAACTCTTGACTTCAAGTGATCCCCCCACCTCGGCCTTCCAGAGTGCTGGAATTACAGGCGTGAGCCACCGCACCCAGCCAGTTGAACTTACTTGAACATCCGCAAATTATTTTTTATTATTTTTATTTTTTGAGACGGAGTCTCGCTCTGTCACCCAGGCTGGAGTGCAGTGGCGCGATCTCTGCTCACTGCAAGCCCCGCCTCCCTGGTTCACACCATCCTACCTCAGCCTCCCGAGTAGCTGGGACTACAGGCGCCCGCCACCAAGTCTGGCTATTTTTTTTTGTATTTTTAGTAGAGACGGGGTTTCACCGTGTTAGCCAGGATGGTCTCGATCTGACCTCGTGATCCGCCTGCCTCGGCCCCTCAAAGTGCTGGGATTACAGGCGTGAGCCACCGTGCCTGGCCAAACATCTGCAGATTAAGTGCTGGGAATAGGTTAAGACTGTACTGTGCCGTATATTAGATTAGGTGATCTTTTAAATTCCTCATGAGTTTTCTCCAGTCCACTTGGAAGTTCAGCCGGTGGGAGAAGTTAGTGCTGTTAATTCCCACTAGGTGTTGCTGTAACAAAGGAAATGTGCAACAAGAGTAATAGCTTAAGGAGAAAGAAAGAAACTTAATGAATTGTGACAGAAAAGTATGCAGATTATTAGCGTAATAGATTACTGAATTATTGGAAGAAAGTGCTGTTAATTACCACTAGGTGGTGCTGTGACAAAGGCAATGTGCAGTAAGAGTAACAGCTTAGGGAGGAAGAAATAAACTTAATTGTGACAGAAAAATGAAGATTATTAGTGTATAGATTATTGAATTATCAAAGTGAACACCCCTGTGTAACCATTTAAAAATGCCAAAATATGTCCAGCTGTGGTGGCTCACACCTGGAATCCCAGCACTTCGGGAGGCCAAGGCAGGTGGATCACTTGAGCCCAGAAGTTCCAGGCCAGCCTGGACAACATGGTGAAACCCTGTCTCTACGAAGAGATTTTAAAAATTTGCCAGATATGGAGGCTGAGGTGGGAGGATGGCTTGATCCTGGGAGGTGGAGATTGCAGTGAGCCATAATTGTGCCACCACTCTCCAGCCCAACCTGGGTGACAGACCCTGTCTCAAAAAAATAAAAAAAAAACCCAGATTTGCCCCCTCCCTTGTATCTAAGAAGATATGGGAGGCCAGGTGCAGTGGCTCATGTCTGTAATCTTTAGGAGGCTCAAGTGGGAGGTTTTTTTTCTTTTTGAGACAGTCTTGCTCTGTCGCCCAGGCTGGAGTGCAGTAGCACAATCTCAGCTCGCTGCAACCTCAGCCTCCTGAGTAGCTGCGATTACAGAAGGCCGCCACCACTCCTGGCCAATTTTTGTATTTTTAGTAGAGACAGGGTTTCACTATGTTGGCCAGGCTGGTCTCGAACTCCTGACCTCAAGTGATCCACCTCCCAAAGTGCTGGGATTACAGGCGTGAGCCACTGTACCCAGCCTACTCTTCTACATCTTTTACAGAAAACTATGTAAGACAAATGTAGAGCTCAGGTGAGCACTTGGTAACCAGAGTTTGAGAAGTATAAATTATGCTGGGACTCCCTCTATATGCCACTCTAAACACAGCTCCACCCTCCATAAGTTACCTTGATTTTCTTTTTTGAGACAGGGTCTGGCTCTATTGCCCAGGCTGGAATGCAGTGGTAGTGGCACAATTTCACTGCAAACTCCACCTTCTGAGCTCAAGCCATCCTCCCACTTCAACCTCCCGGGTAGCTGGGACTACAGGCACGTGCCACCATCTCTGACTAATTTTTATTTTTATTTTATTTATTATTATTATTATTTATTTATTTATTTATTTTTTTATTGATCATTCTTGGGTGTTTCTCGCAGAGGGGGATTTGGCAGGGTCATAGGACAATAGTGGAGGGAAGGTCAGCAGATAAACAAGTGAACAAAGGTCTCTGGTTTTCCTAGGCAGAGGACCCTGCGGCCTTCCGCAGTGTTTGTGTCCCTGGGTACTTGAGATTAGGGAGTGGTGATGCCTCTTAACGAGCATGCTGCCTTCAAGCATCTGTTTAACAAAGCACATCTTGCACCGCCCTTAATCCATTTAACCCTGAGTGGACACAGCACATGTTTCAGAGAGCACAGGGTTGGGGATAAGGTCACAGATCAACAGGATCCCAAGGCAGAAGAATTTTTCTTAGTACAGAACAAAATGAAAAGTCTCCCATGTCTACTTCTATCCACACAGACCCGGCAACCATCCGATTTCTCAATTTTTTCCCCACCCTTCCCGCCTTTCTATTCCACAAAACCGCCATTGTCATCATGGCCCATCCCCAATGAGCCGCTGGGCACACCTCCCAGACGGGGTCGTGGCCGGGCAGAGGGGCTCCTCACTTCCCAGTAGGGGCGGCCGGGCAGAAGTGCCCCTCACCTCCCGGATGGGGCGGCTGGCTGGGCGGGGGGCTGACCCCCCCACCTCCCTCCCGGACGGGGCGGCTGGCCGGGCAGAGGGGTCCTCACTTCCCAGTAGGGGCGGCCGGGCAGAGGCGCCCCTCACCTCCCGGACGGGGCGGCCGGCCGGGCGGGGGGCTGACCCCCCCACCTCCCTCCCGGACGGGGCGGCTGGCCGGGCAGAGGGGCTCCTCACTTCCCAGTAGGGGCGGCCGGGCAGAGGCGCCCCTCACCTCCCGGACGGGGCGGCTGGCCAGGCGGGGGGCTGACCCCCCCCTCCCCCCTCCCGGACTGGGCGGCTGGCCGGGCGGGGGGCTGACCCCACACCTCCCTCCCGGACGGGGCGGCTGGCCGGGCGGGGGGCTGACCCCCCCACCTCCCTCCTGGACGGGGCGACTGGCCGGGCGGAGACGCTCCTCACTTCCCAGACGGGGTGGCTGCTGGACGGAGGGGCTCCTCACTTCTCAGACGGGGCGGTTGCCAGGCAGAGGGTTTCCTCACTTCTCAGACGGGGCGGCCGGGCAGAGGCGCTCCTCACATCCCAGACAGGGCGGCGGGGCAGAGGTGCTCCCCACATCTCAGACGATGGGCGGCCGGGCAGAGACGCTGCTCACTTCCTAGATGGGATGGCGGCGGGGAAGAGGCGCTCCTCGCTTCCTAGATGGGATGGCGGCTGGGCAGAGACGCTCCTCACTTTCCAGACTGGGCAGCCAGGCAGAGGGGCTCCTCATATCCCAGACGATGGGCGGCCAGGCAGAGACGCTCCTCACTTCCCAGACGGGGTGGCGGCCGGGCAGAGGCTGCAATCTCGGCACTTTGGGAGGCCAAGGCAGGCGGCTGGGAGGTGGTTGTAGCGAGCCGAGATCACGCCACTGCACTCCAGCCTGGGCACCATTGAGCACTGAGTGAACGAGACTCCGTCTGCAATCCCGGCACCTCGGGAGGCCGAGGCTGGCGGATCACTCGCGGTTAGGAGCTGGAGACCAGCCCGGCCAACACAGCAAAACCCCGTCTCCACCAAAAAAAAACGAAAACCATTCAGGCGTGGCGGCGCGCGCCTGCAATCGCAGGCACTCTATTTTTTATTATTTTTTGAGACAGTCTCGCTCTGTCACCCAGGCTGGAGTGCAGTGGCGAGATCTTGGCTCACTGCAAGCTCCGCCTCCCAGGTTCACGCCATTATCCTGCCTCAGCCTCCTAAGTAGCTGGGACTACAGGTGCCTGCCACCACGCCTGGCTAGTTTTTTGTATTTTTCGTAGAGATGGGGTTTCACCATGTTAGCCAGGATGGTCTCGATCTCTTGACCTCGTGATCTGCCCACCTCAGCCTCCCAAAGTGCTGGGATTACAGGCATGAGCCACCGTGCCCGGCCTAATTTTTATATTTTTAGTAGAGATGGGGTTTCACCATGTTGCCCAGTCTGGTCTTGAACTCTTGACCTGAAATGATCCTCCTTCCTCGGCCTCCCAAAGTGCTGGGAATACAGATGTGAGCCACTGTGCTTGGCATTTACCTTGATTTTCAAAGTAATTGCCTCCCTAGACAGTATAATGAAAAGTACTAGCAAGTATTTGTATTTTATTTTATTTTATTTATTTATTTTTGAGACGGAGTCTCGCTCTGTCGCCCAGGCTGGAGTGCAGTGGCGCAATCTCGGCTCACTGCAAGCTCCACCTCCTGGCTTCACGACATTCTCCTGCCTCAGCCTCCCGAGTAGCTGGGACTACAGGTGCCCGCTACCATGCCTGGCTAATTTTTTTGTATTTTTAGTAGAGACGGGGTTTCACCATGTTAGCTAGGATGGTCTCGATCTCCTGACCTCATGATCCACCCACCTCGGCCTCCCAAAGTGCTGGGATTACAGGTGTGAGCCACTGCACCCAGCCCTTAATATGTCTTAAGTGGGGAGGGAGAGTTGAAAATGCTTGTTGCTTGACCAAATGGCATTACTCTTCCAGCCAGGGCTGTGCCACAGGAGTGCTGTTCAGTAGAGGAATTAAGTGGTTCCCTGAATTTAGCTGCTGTTAGGGAAGGTGGGAAGACCTCTAAGGTAATTCTTAAAGGCCTTGTGGCTCTTGGTGAAGCAGTCTGACATTGTCAGTGTCCTTTAGGGACAACCATTCAGCCTTATGTGTGGTGCTGGACACAGCCAGAGATCTTAGCTTGTAATCTGTGCAAGTAGATGGAATCCTGCTTCAGTAGTGGTCATGGCCCCACCCTCAGGACTGCAAAAGACTTCCAGTTAAATACCCAGGTAAAGCCCATCTACAGCACCCTTGAAGGAAAGGCCAAACAAGGACTCATCTTCCCCTCTTTGTGCTTTTGTACCTGGCTGTTTACACTGCTTGCACCCTTGTGACTGACTCCAGTAGAACTTAGTTGAAACTTGCCTTTGTGAAGCCTTCCCTGATCTGGCTCTTGCTGTTGTGGACTGATTTATGTCCCCCCAAATTCTTATGTTGAAGCCCTAACCTCCAGCACGACTGTATTTGGAGCCTTTAAGGAGGTATTGTGGCACTGGCTTGGCTCTTGTCATGGACTCTATTGCCTTTCCTGGCTGGACCTCTCTGCAGCTCCATCTTTCCTACTTCCACAGTGGGGGCTTGATGAATGAGGAGAGACTTGCTTACTTGTAGCTCTCCTGAATGTTCTTCAAGCCAAGGCTATCATTACCTCTCTCTGTTCCTTTCCATTTCAAAATAGGGTTTGGGAGAAGGGGGCAAGAAGAGGCATTGAATATGCAGATGGGGGTACATACTGCCCTCAGGGACTCCTGCCTCCACCCCACCAGTGATCCCAAAGTAACTGGATGTTCTCTGCAGGAGAGTAGGAGGTTCAGGCCAAAGGAGCCAAGGCTGAGGGCCAGGGGTCACAGGAAAGTTCGAGAGTCATTTTCTTTCTGTCAGGGCTTCAGATATAAAATCTGATTGCCAGTGAAATAAAGATGATACTAATCTATGTGTTTTTATTTTTATTTTATTTATTTTTTCTGACACAGAGTCTCGCTCTATCGCCCAGGCTGGAGTGCAGTGGCGTGATCTCAGCTCACTGCAACCTGTGCCTCCCAGGCAAGTGATTCTTGTGCCTCAGCCTCAAGAGGTGGGACTGCAGGCAAACGCCACCATACCCAGTTAGTTTTTGTAATTTTTCATAGAGATGGGGTTTCACCATTTTGGCCAGGCTGGTCTTGAACTCCTGGCCTCAAGTGATCTGCCCACCTTGGCCTCCCAAAGTGCTGGGGTTACAGGCATGAGCCACCATGCCTGTCCTGTTTTTATTTCAACCTGTGAAAATTAACATGTGTTCCAAATAATATTTTAAAACATGTTAGTCTATTCATAAACATGGTAAAATCAGCCCCTCTCCCACTGCTGAGCTCACCCTTTGCAGAGGCGCTCTCCACTGTGTTTCTTGTATATATGTGTGTGTGTGTATATATATATATATTTTTTTTTTTGAGACAGTCTCACTCTGTAGCCCAGGCTGGAGTGCGGTGGTGCGATCTCGACTCACTGCGATCTCAGCTCACTGCAAGCTCTGCCTCCTGGCTTCACGCCATTCTCCTGCCTCAGCCTTCCGAGTAGCTGGGACTACAGGCATCCACCACCACGCCCAGCTAATTTTTTGTATTTTTAGTAGAGACAGGGTTTCACCGTGTTAGCCAGGATGGTCTCTATCTCCTGACCTTGTGATCCGCCCTCCTTGGCTTCCCAAAGTGCTGGGATTACAGGCATGAGCCACCGCGCCCAGCCCTTCTTGTATATTCTTAAAGAGATACAGTCCATGTATACACCACTGAATGTGTGTATTTTTATCTTTTCCCAGATGCTATTACCTTAAGTATGACAATACTGGCAGCTTAATGCACAGTTTGTTCAGAAGCCATTTTAGAAAGAGCAGGCCTGCCCTCTCAGGGTAACCTCACCACAACAGGATTTTAGGGAAGACTCCCACATTGGAGGCAAGAACCCTCTGAGCTGGATGCCATCCACAGCAAATTAGGTATTGTATCTGCAAGCAAAAGAAGAAACTGGCTAACATAAGCAGCATAGAACTTTATTGGAAGGATCTCAGGTAACTCAGAATCTATGAGAAGCCTGGAAAACTCAGCTCTGAAATGAGATCTAGGGAGGCTGGCATCAGGGAACGCAGCCAAGGTCATGGCTGAAAAGCAGTCTGGTCTAGGATGTCATCACCAGACTCCCTCAGTGAACGATTTTTCAGCTGTCCCTTTTTCTTTGTGTCACTCTGAGGTTTAAAGTTGTGGGTGTGGGCATCTGATTGGCCAAGCCTGGTGTCTGACCCAGCTGCTGAAAAAGATAGCTTTGGCTTCTACAGTGGAAATGAGGCCCAGCCCAGTGCCATACTCAATGCCCCTCCCCACCAACTAGGCAAGGTGTTGATGCTGGGTGGCCAAAACCATGTTGTGAAATTGTCCTTGGAACCCACTGGTAGAAATATGGCTATTGGCAACATGGAGACAAGGGCTGAAGCCTTTCATGGACTTCTCATCAAAGGTTACTGTCGGCCGGGTGCCGTGGCTCACGCCTGTAATCCCAGCACTTTGGGAGGCCGAGGCAGGCGGATCACGAGGTCAGGAGATTGAGACCTTCCTGGCTAACACGGTGAAACCCTGTCTCTACTAAAAATACAAAAAATTAGCCAGGCGTGGTGGTGGACGCCTGTAGTCCCAGCTACTAGGGAGGCTGAGGCAGGAGAATGGCATGAAGCCAGGAGGCGGAGCTTGCAGTGAGCTGAGATCGCGCCACTGCACTCCAGCCTGGGCGACAGAGCGAGACTCTCAAAAAAAAAAAAAATTAAAATAAATAAAAAAGGTTATTCTCAGGCTCTGAAGAGTTAGGTTCTAGTCATTAGGTTTCCTGGCAGCTGCTGACAGACTGGGAGCTGGGAGCTGCTTAACTGATCAGCTTGCCCATCAGGCAAGGAGAGAACACCTGCTAGTAATGTGAGCTCTTGGGGATAGACCCAGAGGGTGAGCCAGTCAGGGATGAAAACACCACCATTAGCGGAGAGAACCAGGAGAAGCACAATGTGTGCTGAGAGGACAGTGGATAAAGGGTTTTTTGGGGGATCCACTCCCAGACAGAAGCTGGGCTGGCAAGGCTGCTGAAGCCCACAGCGTAATGTGATAATCTGGAGTCTGCTACCTGCATCTGTGACCTCACACCACCAAGGGGAGGTCCAAGAAATTTCAGCCACAGACCCCACCCAGTCCACCACCTCCAGTCAGCCATGCTCCTCACTCTTACCTGGGAAATTAAGCAAAGGCTATGAGTATCTCAGTGCTGCTGTGGTGGTGAGGCGAGTGGGAACACCTTCCTCTGCAGTGCTTTACTAAGGGGACTTGAGATGCGGGGAGAAGCTGAGCATTGCAGTCAGACCTGGGATCAAATTCTGGCACCAGCACTGATTGAGTGGGTGACCTTGGACCTTTCTGATCCTCAGTTATCTCACAGGGCTGTTGTGGGAGTTAAAGGAGATGTAACTACTAATACGCATTTCTGTGTTTCTTCTCTAGTGTTTATCATCTATTCCCTCTGTTTGGAGACATTATAACAGTTAAGAGCCCAGCTCTGGCGGGGTGTGGTGGCTCACACCAGCATTTTGGGAGGCCTAGGCTGGTGGATCAGTAGAGGCCAGAAGTTCGACAACAGCCTGGCCAACATGGTGAAACCCTGTCTCTACTAAAAATACAAAATTTAGCCGGGCATGGTGGTTCATGCCTATAATCCCAGCATGTTGGGAGGCCAAGGTGGGTGGATCACGAGGTCAGGAGTTCAAGACCAGCCTGGCCAAGATGGTGAAACCCCATCTCTACTAAAAATACAAAAATTAGCTGGGCTTGGTGGTGGGTGCCTGTAATTCCAGCTACTTGGGAGGCTGAGGCGGGAAAATCTCTTGAACCTGGGAGGCAGAGGTTGCGGTGAGCCGATATCGTGCCACTGCACTCCAGCCTGGGCGGCAAAGCGAGACTCCATCTCAAAAAAAAAAAAAAAAAAAGCCAGGTGTGGTGTGGTGGCACATGCCTGTAATCCCAGCTACTCAGGAGGCTGAGGCATGAGAATTGCTTGAACCCAGAAGGCGGAGGTTGCAGTGAGCCGCGATCGTGCCACTGCACTCCAGCCTGGGTGAGAGAGCGAGATACTCTGTCAAAAAAAAAAAAAAAAAAAAGACATCAACACTCATTGTAGAAAACTTGGACAATAAAGGATAACATGGCTAAGAGAAAAATTAAAGAAAACCCCAGCTATTCAAGCCCGACAGTTTGGATTCAGCACCAGGTATACAACTTAGCAGTATGAGCGCAAGCACATCAGTTACCTCCCTGTTCCTCCCTTTGGTCATCTGCATGTAGAGTGCTTAGCACAATGCCTGACCTATCACAGCAAGTGCCCAATTAGTGCTAGCTGTTACTATTACCACTACTTAAGCATATCCTCTTGGATTTTAATACCTAAATTCATGATATTGGATTCTCCCCATCCCAACTGTACGTGCACTGACTACAGGTGCCATGCTTTCTGTTTCTGTTCAAAAGGTGGGCATAGCTGGGCAGATAATCAATATTCCCATTTTACAATGGTGAATTTGGCCTTTTACTGTGCCTTGTTCCATTTTCCATCTTGATTATTTCTATTTTTTTTTTTTTTTTTTGAGACAAAGTCTCACTGTCACTTAGGCTGGAGTACAGTGGCATGATCTCAGCTCACTGCAACCTCCGCCTCCTGGGTTCAAGTGATTCTCATGCCTCAGCCTCCTGAGTAGCTGGGATTACAGGCATGCACTAGCACACCTGGCTAATTTTTAATTTTTAGTAGAGACGGGGTTTCACCATGTTGGCCAGGCTGGTCTTGAACTCCCAACGTGTGGTGATCCGCCCACCTCAGCCTCCCAAAGTGCTGGGATTACAGGCATCCATCTAGTGATTATTTCTGAGATCTGATGTTGCTATGTATAAATGCAGCTGTTGTATTTCAAAGTAGGGCCTGCCAGCATCAGAGCTGGAAAACATTGAAGTATCATAGAGAGTGAATATTTTCAACCTCAGAGATTGTTTTTCTTACTGTTCTCCTCAGGGACATTAGATTTTGATATTATTTTATCAACCAAACCATTCTCTTTTTTTCCTTATAACACCCAGACTGGTATGACTCTCTGTTATTAGCCAAAGCTACATTTATAGCGTAAGCATGACCATGGTGAGAAGATAATTGTTATATGCCCTGAGCTTGCTGTAAACATTTAATCTTCCTGACATCCCTTATAATGGACAGATTTCATTACTAACCTCATTTTACAAGTTTAATCCATACAGTACATCTTAGGCAGAACTGGTGATTTTTCTTAGGCTTTAAGAAATATTGGCAGGGTATGGTGGCTCACATCTGTTATCCCAGCACTTTGGGAGGCCGAAATGGGAGAATCATTTGAGCTTAGGGGTTCAAGATCAACCTGGGCAACATAGCCAGACTCCATCTCTTAAAAAATTTAGGCCAGGAGTGGTGGCTCATGCCTGTAATCCAAGCACTTTGGGAGGCCGAGCCAGGGGAATCAAAGGTCAGGAGTCGAGACCATCCTGGCTAACACGGTAAAACCCCGTCTCTACTAAAAATACAAAAAAAATTAGCCAGGCGTGGTGGCGGGCACCTGTAGTCCCAGCTACTCGGGAGGCTGAGGCAGGAGAATGGCGTGAACCCGGGAGGCGGAGGTTACAGTGAGCCGAGATCGCGCCACTGCATTCCAGCCTGGGTGACAGAGTGAGACTCCGTCACACACACACAAAAATTTAAAGATTAGTCGGGCGTGGCGGCACATGCCTGTAGTCTCAGCTACTGGGAGGCTGAGGTGGGAGGATCACTTGAGCCTGGCAGGTAAGAAACATTGGCTGGTCTCCTGGCCCCTCCTGGGCCCTCCTGACCCCTTCCCAGAGTCACAGCCCCAGGCCCTTGCTTTCTGAGGTGCTGCTTGTCCCAGGGGACTGAACTGCTGGTGGTGTGCCCCAGGTGCAGGATATTGCCACTGGAAAGTACACCTGTAAGGGGATGCTGGGGTCTTGGGAAGGAAGGTGACTGTTAACCTATGGAGATCAGCTTACTACTGTGTGAGCATTGGCCAAAATGACCAGGCTGCCCAGCCTCGGCCCGGATCAAGATCTAGAGGCCAGGAAGGAAGTGGGCCTGCCTCTCGGTCAGATAAGAGGTGCAGATACGGGCTCCACCCCTCCAGGACCACCAGCAACCAGGGTGTTTGCAGCCTCACAGCCTGGTTTTCCACAAGTCTGCCCCATCCCTAAGGCCACACAGCTGAAGCTTTGGCTCTGCTTTCATTCCAGGGATGGGCAGGCTGGCATTGGGCCACCTGCTGCCCCTGGCCCCAGATTCTCTGGGTGGGGGGCCATGTGATCCATCTGGCTGGGGCAATGCCAGGACCACCCCACCCATTTCAGTGTCCTAATTCTTACTTTGTTCTGCCATTGTGGCAGTCTGGTGGTAAATATAACCTTTTGACAGTTTTTGAACTGCCTGGAACCCAAGATCCTAAACATTTTTTAACCGTATTTGGGTTATCTTTTATTTTGGTTTTTATCCCCAATGGAGAAAAATCAAGATGGAAAAAAGTTATTTTAAAATACACGATGGGTGGCAGCAGTGGTGGTAGGGAAAAAAAAGGTAAAAAAATTTTTTAAAAAATAAAGTACAGGATGAAGTGAATTGAAAGATTTGTTTAATGCACTCTTCTTCAAGGATAGTATTCCTGTGTTCATAAAATTTGAGAATAAATTGGTCTCGAATTAAAAAAAAATTTTAGAATGTCAAGATCCTAACTTCCAATTTGAGAACACGTAACGTGAGTCTCTGGATTGGGAATGACTTATGTGATCCCAAACCCTCATTTTCACAAAGAAGGTGGAGCCCTAGTAGCTCTGAAATTCAAATGAAGCCATGCCTCTGCTGCCTGGTCCAGTGCTGTGCTAACCCCTCAGCCTGCCCAGGTACAGCTGGGTCTTTGTCCACCGAGCAGGGAGTTCCACTGTGATATATGCATCCCACCCTCACTGGCAGGCCATTGACTACACCTGCAACCAGCCTATTCTCACAGCCCTTTTTGTGGTGAGCAGGAGAGCTGGACTCTGAGCCCCCCAGTTGCCTAGAGAGAGGGTAGAGCTGGCCTTTAATTAAGGACTTTTTTGCTTTTTAGAGCGAGCTTCCGGGGAAGCATAGCACAGCAATAGGGCCACTTTCCTGCCAGAGGGGGTGGGTGCCAAAGGATGTGGGTCTTTTGCTCACTGGTTTACCCTCAGCATACCAGGAAAAATAGTCATCCTGATTCACTGTTTGGTCCAAGTTTTTATCACACAGTATTGTGTGATGAAATCCTTTCTGTAGAATGATTTAACTGGATGAAAATAACCATGTTTCTTTTTTGTCTTTAGAAATATGTTACTCTGGCTGGGCTTGGTGGCTCATGCCTGTAATCCCAGCACTTTGGGAGGCTGAGGCGGGTGGATCACCTGAGGTCAGGAGTTTGAGACTAGCCTGACCAACATGGTGAAACCCTGTCTCTACTAAAAATACAAAAATTAGCTGGGCATGGTGGCACACACCTGTAATCCCAGCTACGAGGGAGGCCGAGGCAGAAGAATCTCTTGAACCCAAGAGGCGGAGGTTGCAGTGAGCTGAAATTGTGCCACTGCACTCCAGCCTGGGCAACAGAGTGAGACTCCTTCTCAAACAAAAAAAAAAAGAAAGAAAAAAAGAAAATCTAATATATCCATATGGTAATGAATGTTTCATTTTATTTTGTTTTTATTTTTATTTTTTATTTTTGAGATGGAGTCTCCCTCTCTAGCCCAGGTTGGAGTATAGTGACACAACCTAGGCTCACTGCAACTTCCACCTCCCAGGTTCAAGCAATTCTCCTGCCTCAGCCTCCCCGGTAGCTGGGACTACAGGCATACGCCACCATGCCCGGCTAATTTCTGTATTTTCAGTAGAGATGAGGTTTTGCCTTGTTAGCCAGGCTGGTCTTGAACTGCTAATCTCAGGTGAACCACCCACCTCGGCCTCCCTAAGTACTGGGTTTACAGTCATTTTTTTAAAAAATAAATCTTGTTCTTTGGAAGACCATTAAGAATAGTCATAAAATATCCTTACAAATAGAACTGCTCAAAAAAGAAACTCAAAAACTAAATTTGAGTTCAGTGGCTTCTGAGGGTATACCACGAGTGAAGTCTCTTATGTTCTCAACAAGGGAGCGAACGGCAAAGCCGCACACCTGAGGGCTCAGTGCTCTCAGGATTCATGGCCTGGCTTCCTGCTAAGTGGTAGCAGGTCCCTCTCTTTCATTTGGACTGAGTGTCCAAAGTGCAGTGGATTAGGAGCCAGGGAGATCCTCCATTTTTGGTGTTTTGGTTTAACCAATAGTCCTAGGAGCTTAGCACACCTGGGGTGTCACCTTTTGCTTGTGTTTGTGAACCTCTCTTATCAGGGACAAGAACCATGTGTCCATCTAGCTGCAGGCCTCTAGGGTGGGGACAGTATCCCATCAGACAGGGATTCCCCATGGTGCAAATGATGGTCTCTCCTCCTTCGACACATCTGTGCTGCACTCAAGCCATTTGTCAGGTTAGCAGAGCCTGGGGGAGGCAGTGTGGAGAGAGCTGGCTTCGGAGATAGCTGGGCCCAGGTCTGAATCCTGGCTCTGCTGCCACTTCCCAGCCCAATGACTTTAGTCACTTCACCTCACAAGGCTGAGTCTCTGTTTCCTCATTTGTGAGGGGGCAGGCGGGCGGCAATAGTGCCTGCCTTACACTATTACAAGATTTAGTGTAGTCAGTGGGAAGCCTTGTTCCAGGCGCTGGAGGACACAGGTGAAACTGACACCTTTCCTGCCTCAAGGGGAATCCTATGGGTGTGTCAGGGGAGACTAGAGAAGTCACATAAAAGAAAGACCTGGCCATGTGCCCGGTGATAGAGGAGGGCAGCGGATAAGGAAGGGGCACAAGGAGAAGAGGCAACTCGGGTTGAGGTTATAAGGTGGGCCTGGGCAGACAAAGGAGAGGGCACGTGCACGAAAGCGCACTGGAGGCACGAACAGTCAGCATGGGGTAAATGGGGCGCCCTGCCTGGCATGTGGGAAGGGTCCAGCCAACTAAGATGCCCACTTGTTTGGGAGGAGCGTGCCCTGGATCTGCCCCTGCCTTTTCCCTGGGTAGGCCAGTGATATGATGCCTTCTTTGCTTTGTCCTGAGCGTTCCCCATAGGGTGGGCGCAGGCAGGCTAACTGTCCCCACTCCCCTCCTCCACTGCCATTATCAGCTGTGTCCAGATGGTCACAGGCTCCCTAATCTGGGATAATCGGCGGGTCGGAGCTCAGCTGGGACCCGGGCCTTTACTCCTGCCATGATGGGCCGGCCCCAGCTGGAGAGACCCTGTAGACAGGGCCCTGGGGCTTTGGAAGATGGGGTGGGATGTGGGGCTGGCTCTGTGCTGAAGGGAGATGCAAGGAGCAGATGATCGCTCTTCTTCCAAAGGCAATCTGAGTACAAATGAGGGGGAGCCTGCAGCTGGGGCCTGGCCAGCTCCTCCAGGCCTCACAGCGATATGCACAGAGCCTCGCAGAATCTGTCTATGGTGTCTTTTGTTCCCTTTCTCTCCCTCTCTGAGCTCACCCCTCCCTACCCAGCAGTTTGTTGCTGCCCCTAGAGCCCCAGGCTTATAATGACATCAGGGGCTTGTGCCCCCATTGACGTTGGACACCTGACAGATTCAGGTGCAGAGCCAGGGTGACTGGCTTCTCAGAGGCCCATGGCTACGGTGCCCCCACCCTGGGCCTGCAGTTTGCTGTGAGCCTCCACTCCGTAGTTGTTCAGGGATCCATAACTGTTTTTGTTTTGTTTCAGCCTCTTCCATGAGTGGGGAGCCCGCTGCTTGTCTCCAGCTCCTAGCAGTGAGTCCTGATAATCTCAAATTTAAGGACAGTAACTTTGTCTGGGATGAGTGTGGGAAAGGATGTGTTTGGGAACAGACGCGAGCCTGCAGAGGTGTTTGTAACCATCTCTTTCTAAGTGGTGGGAAGCAGACATTTTATTCTTTAACTGTTAATATATATAGTGTGTGTTTTTTATGCATGAAATATTTTATAGTTTTTAAAAATGCCCACACTACTATTTTGAAAGTAAATGAGGTAATGTATGTGTCAGAACCCAATACCCAAAGCGATCGTAGTAAGAGGTGGGGCCTTTGGGAAGGCATTAAATTGCTTAGGGAATGAGGGTGGAACCCTCATGAATGAGATTAGAGCCTTATAGGAGAGGTTGGAGGGAGTTGCCTGGCCTCCCTCTCCCATGTGAAGACTCAGCAAGAAAACATTATTTAGGAAGCAGAGAGCCCTCATCAAACACCAGATCTGCTGGCCACCTGATCTGGCACTTTCCAGCCTTCAGAACTGTGAGAAATAAATTTCTGTTGTCTATAAATCACCCAGTCTAAGGTGTTTTGTGATAGTAGCCCAGACAGACTGCAATGGTATAAAAGTGCTTCATCAAGAGTAAACACAGGGAGCAAATATTAGACATTCCATCTCCAGGCAGGGCAGACTGCAGCTGGAACACAGACCCAACAAGATTTTATTTATACAAGAAAAGGGACCATTAAGTTAAGGGCTGTTTGCGTGGAGGTGCCATGAGGGAGCAGAGTGTGCATCTGAGCTCCGCCTGCCTCTCCGCCTCCTGGCTCAGGCTGTCCAAATCTGAATCACCTGCCCAAGCTCTGGATGATGGTGACACAGCCGTGGGAGCTGGTGCAGCGCTGCAGGGATGGCTGGACCTCCACCTGCCCACTGCTGGGGTCAAAGGTGAAGACCTTATCGGTGCTTTCTCCGCGATCATCCCGCCCGCCAAGGATGTGGACCTTCCCGTCACACACAGTGACTCCACAGCTTTCCTGGGTGGACAAACAGAAAGACAACTATCAGGTCCAGCCTGGGGCTTCCTCTGTCCCTGCCTGGCCAGGCCAGATAATAGAACCTTGACCCACAGACTGTGAACAGGCAATCTGGACTGTAGAGAGGCAGGAAACTGGATGGACCTGAGTTCCAGCTCTAGCTTGACCCTTATTCAGTGAATGGCGTTAGGCAAGTCACTTAACCTCTCTGGACCTCAGTTTCCTCATCGGCAAAGGGAGAAGAACTAAAGTGCCTTCTTCACAGGGTTCCCTTAACAGTTAATGGAAGTTAAGCATATAAAGCATTTTACATAGAGCCTGGAATGTGGTAAGCACACCAATAACAATAATCTCGACTGCCGCCATCTTAGAATCTCAGACTCAAGCCAGAAATCTCACCTCTAAGGTCACCAAAGGTCAGAACTGGCAGAGACCTCCAGTCCAACCATATCTGTGTAGTCTCTGGAGTTTCAGGGGATGGAGAAGAAGGTAGGGGAGGCAGGGAATTGCAGGGGCCAGAGCTTCCAGGACTTGGGCCTCCCTGCTCTGATATCACTAGAGCAGACCTTAGCAACTCCCTTCCCCACATCTTACCTCATGATTGGTTACTAGCAGTGGCCTTCGGGGCAGGAGAGACCACAGGGTCATTTGGACCAAATCCCCACTCAAAGCTATAGCACTTGGGACTGCAGGGTTCTAGGCTCTGCCTTAACAGGGCCTAGTTGTTGGCCTGGGCCAGGTGCTGAACCTCTCTAAGGCCAGTCTCCTCATCTGTGAAATGCATGGTTCACTATCACTGTGAGGATGAGCTAGAGAGTGATGTATAATAAAACCACCTAGGATGGAGTCACAAGATTCACAAGCTCCAAGATCCAGAGCCTTAGAAGCGGGTTCCGCTCTCCTGCCTTGAAGCCTCCACTTACCACAGGGCTGGGGAGGACAGCTGCCTCCCCCCACACATCTGTGCCTGGATCATAGGTGAAGATTTTGCTCATGAGACCCCCCATGACATAGATGGTGTCCTCAAGGGAGACAGCCTCGAGACACCGCTGTGAGAAGGGTGCTGGTGACCGCAGGCTCCACCGGTCCTCCTTGGGGTCAAAGCACTGCACCTGAGGGGCAAGAGCAGCAGTGGTGAAGACTCACCGCCCCCCCCAACAAATGCCCCACCGCCCACATGCTGCCACCTCTCCCCCCGGGGGCACTCATTCAAAACGACATTTGCCAGTGTCCACCAGGCCTGAGCCAGCATCTGGGAGGGAGGGGGAGGTCCACCGTCCCTGCCCTCAAGGGCTCTTCATCTAGTTCTATGTTCTGTCCTCTGCCTCTGGACTCCCTTTGTCAAAAGCCTCCTCATCTTTCGAGGTCCTGCTCAAATGCCACCCCATCCTTAAAGGTCTCCCTGGTGTTCCCCCCTCCCCTCACCCCTCAACACACACACACAGGAACAGTCTCTCCTTTGATGGAGAACACAGTCGCCTCATGTTAGATTAATCATAGAGCACATCATACTGAGCTGGGAGAGGTACTGTCTGCTTTAGGGTTATAGAGGGTCCTCAGAGCAGACCCCCGACGGGGATGTGTTCCTAGCTGCATACACTGTCAACTCCCTTCTCTTTTCCTGGTGCTCTCAGGTCATTAGATTCTAGCTGAGGTGTCTTGCAGCCCTATTTCTACAGCTGTCCACATGCCCATGGGTGTTTCTGATGCCCTTAACAGTTTCTGTATTTAGCTGCCTGCTCACCTCACTCTCTGTTTCCTCAACTGTTTCCTTGGAGACCCCCTCCCCCCACAGCAGCCTATAACAAATCAGTGCTGCATGGATGGTGTTAAATGGGGCCTCCCACCATGAGTGCCTATCACTCAGCTCCAGGAGGGTTTGCTGGAAGAATGTGGTCAGGGAATAAGGAAGCGTGGGCACCCTAATTTGGGAAAGAGTCAAGTCCTAGGACCACAGGCTTATGAGGCCATCAGGGGAGGGAAGGAACTGCTATGATAAATATTTTTATTTGCAAAAAGCCTAAATGTCCCAACAATAAAAGATGAGTAGACTCTAGTTCATCCACCATGTGGAATAGTACAGACATTGAAATGATGGCTGTAAAGTTGATAATCACGTGGAAAATGCTCATACCTAAATTAGAATAAAATGCAGAATGCAAAATTCTAACAAAACAAAACTGTAAGAAAAACAAAAATCAATTCAGTGGAAGCCTGTAAGGCAACACACCAAAATATGAATAGCAGCTCTGCCTAGACGGTGGGATTATGGGTTTTTTTTTTTTCTATTTTTCTGTGTTTTCTAAATTTTCAGTAGTAAGTGTATTGTTTTTGGAATGGAACAAAAGCATTTTAACTATCTTGCCCTCAATTTTTAAAATGTATGAAACTTACATGGCACCAGCCCAAACATTTGAGTCCCAGTGTGCTGCTGACCCACTGTGTGACCTTGGGGTCATTTTTCTGCTCATTTCCTTCCCTGAAACATGGAGGTGACTGGTCTGGGCTGTTGATGGGATTAAGTGAATAAATGGACAAGGGCATGGAAACGCCCAATTCTGCGCCTGGCACACAGTGGGCACCCCAGCCTTCAACGCCCTCTCGCGCCTGAGGCCCACGCCCACCTTGTCCGTGTTGACGCCGCCCTGCCTGGCGCCCCCAATCACGAAGAGCTTGCCCGCGCAGGACGCCACCGCCGCCGAGCTCACGGCCTCCGGGAGGGGCGCGGCGGCCGCCCAGGTGTTGGAGAAGGGGTCGTAGCGCTCCACGCTGTGCAGGCGCCTCAGGCCGTCGAAGCCACCCACCGCGAACAGCTGCAAGTGAGGACATGGGCCGGGGAGCCGGGTGCCAGGGCCTTAGGGCCCTCGGCCTCATCGCTTCAGTCCTTACAGTCTTTGAGCTGGAAACTATCCCTGTCCCCAACCCAGTTTCAGGACCAAACTGACCCCCGAGCCCAGTGCTGCCACCACCTGGGCAGCCTCCACCCAGTTGCTGTACCTCCCTGAGCCGGTTTCCTCTCATTTAGCGGGGATGAGACCTTAACCTGCATGGTTACAGCTGTAAAATACCTGGCACCAAGCTGATGCTTAATAATAATAGCTAGTATTGAGACTTTACCACCCCACTTAATTGATTCTAAGAAGCATCTTTGTTTCTGAATTCGGGATGTAGCTTACAAAGATAATTGACTTTTTTTTTTTTTTTTGAGACAAAGTCTCGCTCTGTTGCCCAGGCTGGAGTGTAGTGGTGCAATCTGGGCTCACTGCAAGCTCCGCCTCCCAGGTTCATGCCATTCTCCTGCCTCAGCCTCCTGAGTAGCTGGGACTACAGGCACCAGCCACCACGCCGAGCTAATTTTTTGTATTTTTAGTAGAGACGGGGTTTCACCGTGTTAGCCAGGATGGTCTGGATCTCCTGACCTCGTGATCCGCCCGCCTTGGCCTCCCAAAGTGCTGGGATTACAGCCACTGCGCCCGGCCGACAGATTCTTTTATTCTTGAGTGGCACAGTCAAGATTCAAACCTAGACTCTATGGCCCCAGAGCCCATACCCTTGACCATCAGGCTGTTACTATTACAGTAATTGCTATTATTATTAGCATCAGCCATTATTATGTGACCTTGGACAAGTCTCCTTTTTTGGGGGGCTTCAGACCCCTTCTTACAAAGAGAGGGTTTTAGAGAACCTCCCTCCAGCACATCCACAGATCTGTACCTTGTGTCCCAGGGCAGCCGCTGCAGCTCGTGCCTACCTGCCCCTGCACAACTGCCATCTTGTGCCTCCACCTGCCCTTGTGCAGAGAGGCTACCTTGATCCAGGTGTGCAGATGGGAGCTAAACATCCACACATCATGACTGTTGATGTGGCCTCCTAGGGAGAGAGAAGCAGCTGTTGCCCATCGGCTCTCTTGCTATCCCAAGCACCCCCAAAGAGCTAGAAACTAGGGCCCCCAGATCCAAAGGAAGGGTTAAGGGAAGGCAGCAGGAGGACTTCTTGAGCTGGTGTAAGACTCTGGACCTGTGACCCAGTGTGCTTTGAATAAGTGGTGGGAATGTCTGAGTTACGACCCTCGAGGGGAGAAGCCTGACACATTCAGGAAGAAGGGGCTGGTTTTCGCCGGGCACCTTGTGGTGGTGGTGGTGGTGTGCCAGGCTCTGTGCTCAGGAAAGCAAAGAGGGGGCCGCTGTACTAAAGGTAAGAGTACAAAGGGTACCTAAGGCAAGCATCTGGAATGTACTGGGGATCCAGGAAAAGCAGAGCCAGCTGCACTGGGAGCCAGGATAGGTAGAGGGTGACCCAATAACCCTCCCTCCCTTCTGCCTTCACCTGCACAATTTCATTTCTGATCTCATCCCTCCATGAGGTGTTGGGAATATTAGACCCAGTTTACATATAAGAAACTCAGATGAGACTTAGAGACCAACAATGACCTGCTGAAGACTACATGGCCTTTTGTCAGAGCCAGAACCAGAGCTTCTGGCTCCAGGCCCAGCATTGGTGCTGCTGGAGGACATGGCATGCCCTATGGGGCCAGGTACTGGGGATGCAGGATGTGGACTCTCCCTTCCCATGTCTGGCCACCCTGGGGATCTTGGCCAGGGATTCACCTCTCAATGGGAGCCTCCCTGGGGACAACCCTAACTGCACCCTTCAGCCTGAGCCTGTGACCAGAGCCACATCTGTTTGGTAGCCCCATCTTTGTTTATTCCTAGTGGCACCCAACAAAGGCCCCACATGTTGCTCAGAGCCATCAATGGCCTTGGATAAATTGTCCAGTGGTAATCTGTGGCCTGGATGGTCTGTGAGGCCTCCCTGGCTTATTCTCCTGCTCCTTACTCTTTGCAGGCACCCATAGTTCTTTACAACATTAAGGTCAATCCACCTAGCCCCAGACTCAAAGCCTCCCTGATCTGACTCCTGCCTCACCTGTGATACTCAACCTGCACTTCAGAGCCCTGAGTCCCCAGGGTTCCTTTCTGCATGTCCCTGCCCTTGTGCCTTTGCCCATACTGTTCCCTCCAACTTTCAAGGTCCAGCTGAAAAGTCATCTCTTCTATGAACCCTGGCTAGATTCCCTGAGTGGCATTCCAGATCATCTGGGGACTCTGAGAATTCTGATCACATTCTGCCTGGCAGTAAAAGTGAAGTCTCTCTCCTCTCCAGGACACTCCAGGGGAGCAAGGACTGTGTTTTATGCTTCTCTGAGTCTTTAGGGCTTGAGCCTTAGGGAGGACACAGTTTGTTGGTATCAAACAGATGTGTGTTCCTCCTAGCTTTGCCATTTTTGAGACAATGGGGGAAATTCTGAGCCTCTCCGAGCCTTTCTTATCTGTAAAACAGCATTGTAGGGGGATTTAATGATAACGAATGTAAGCTTCTTAGCATAATGTTCGGCACATAGTAGGCTAGTTGAAGTGATTATTAATACTAATACGAATTGACTTCCTTAGGAAGCCGGTTCAGAACAAAAAGTAATCATATGTATTGAAGTTAACATTCCTGAATAAAGGGCGGGTCACACGCGTAGTTAGCCCTGCTCACTTCAGCCAATAACTGTAGGTTATCAGAAAACATCCCGCCCCTCTCTCCCGATTGGAGGGAAAAGCAAAGGGGGTGGAGTGCGGAGGCTACTAGTCAATCCCGTGTGAGCTCCCGTTGCGGCTCCGCCCTCACCGGAGACGTAGACGTCATTGCGGAGAGCACAGGCGGCGAATTCTGAGCGAGTGTAGCCGGGCAGGCTGGGCAGTGGGGTCCACCGCTGGCTCTCTGGATGGTAGGCATCGGCGAAGGGCAGCTTCAGGAGACCTTTGCGGTCGCAACCGCCGATGACCACGATCACTTCAGCTAGGTCCATGAATCTGGCGTGCGGATAAGCCCAGTGCCTGTTGGGCCGCACCCAAGTTCGGCCCTCTCTTACCCTCTCGACCACACTGCACGGTCCCGCTGCCCTTTCATGCGTTTCTGCCATCACCCCCGCCCACCCGATCCCCCGGCCTCAATCCCGCTAGACCCTGCCACTTCCAACTTTGCCTGTGGGTACTGGGAAGAGAATCGCTAATGCTTACCGCATTCTGCTGACCTCTAAACTACAGAAAAAAAAATCTTTACAGAGCCCTTGCCCTCACCTAGAAAAATCACCTCGTTTAATCTGTATGGCAGTTCTATTAGTAGGGATTATTACCCCTTTCTCAGGGGAGGAAACTGAGGCTCACATACCATGGCGTGCCCAAAGCCATTAAGCGTCAGAGCTGGAATTCAAGCCCAGGTTTGTCTGTCGCTAACTCATCTTCAACACCCTTTTCTCACCTCCAACCGCTGATTCTGCTGCCTCCCTCCTCCTATGACATCCCCTCATCCCTAATTCCATTAAGCCGGATAACTCACCCTTTCAGTAAATCATTCTTCCCTCTCACTGACCCCACCATCTGACGCCACCAGAATTTCCATACCCTTTTAGCCATTGGTTTTCTAATTCCTTTGGCACATATTTGAGGATCTCTGTCCCAGGCCCTGTGCTTAGTGTTAGAGAGAGTGTCGTCTCTGGGGGCATGATTAAGGGCTACTCTGCCCAGAGCCTCCCAGTCTGGCTTTCCAAAGGTGGGGCAGGCTGCTTTCACTACTTCCCCATGCCCCTGCCTATTTCTATCCCTCATTAGACTGCGAGCTCCCAGAGGGCAAAGAGTGTTTTCAAATCACTTCCGCATCCCGGCACCCTGCACAGAACTTGCGTAGAGTAGTAAGTACTCGGAATTACGGTTGCATGGGCCAAAGAGAGTGTGCGCAGCTGTGGGGTCTCTGCATCTCCCTCACTGGCTTGTTAACTCTTCAAGGGCAGAATTATGGGCACCGAGCCTCTAAAATGTTGAACGAATGACTGAATATCATCAAGAGGCAGTACTAAAAGATGATGAAAGAATGAATGAGCGGTGGAAGCAGGCGGGAAGAACGGAGGGCGGGAAGCTAGGGGATGGCGGCCCTACCTCCGCGGCCGGGTCCGCAGCGCACCGGCCTCGCGGCCCAGGATGAAGCAGGCGCGAGCCTCGAGCAGCAGCGGGCGGCACTCGCCGCAGGCCTGCAGCAGCTCGTCCGCCTCCACCTTCTCCAGGAAGTAAGCGGGCGCCAGTAGCGGCAGGCGCACGTGCTCCAGCAGGCGTCGCAGCTGGCCGCGGCGGGCCGGCGCGTCGTGGCGCACCCAGCGCATGGCCGCTTCAAACACGGCCTCCTCGCGCGCCACGCCCAGCGCGGGGTCCGCCAGCAGCGCCACCACCTCGTCAGGCGCCAGCTCCAGGAAGTCGGCGTGGCGCGCCACCTCGGCGAAGGCCTGACGCAGGACGCGGCCGCAGCGCTCGGCCAGCGGGGCCAGCGAGAAGGCGGCGGCCACGCGGCGCAGCGCTAGGCTGTTGGCGGCGCGCAGGCGGCCCTCGAGAAAGCGCACGCAGGCCTCGCGCAGGCCCGCCACGCCCAGCCGCTCCGCCAGCGCCAGCACGGCCGCCGCCTCGTCCTCCGCGCGCAGCCGCACGCCCGCTCCGTACACGTAGTCGAGCACCACGGCCAGCGCCGCCGCCGCCCCGGCCGGGCTCGTGCCTGGCGCCTCGGGAGCTACTGGCACCACTGGCACCACGGCCGGGCCGCGCTCGGGCCGCCCGGCCGCGAACAAGCTGCGGAAGTAGGCGCTGCCCGCGCTGAGCGCCGCGCGGTGGCACGGAAAGTCGCGCCCGCCGGCGCGCAGCACCACGTCGGTGAGGGTGCCGCTCCGCCGGTAGGCGTTCAGGGCCTGCAGCACGCGCTGCGCGTGGCACGGACCCGCGCACGGCGCTTCGCAGCCCGGCTCCGACTCCTCCGGCGCATGGCCTTGCCGCATCCTGCCGGGGAGAGAACACAAACAGCGTCGGGGAAGCCACCTGGCTGCGCCCGGGAGAGGCGACAGCCCTCATCCGTTTATTTCCTCTCTTGACCATTTGTTCAGCGACTCTCCCCTCCGTTCAGCATCCAGGTTCCTTACGGCTACAGTGCCCCAGCCCCGCCTCACCAGCGCGACATTCTGCCCTGCCTACCCACTCAGACACAGTGCCCTTTTCGGTTCTTCAAACTTGCTAAGCGTTTTCCTATCGATATCTGCAGGTAACAGATGGCACGCTCTCAAACAGGGTAATCGGAGGAGGGTCTAATAAAGGAACTATTTTCAACAGCGGAGTAGGCGTTAGGGACTCCAGTAGGAGTAGGGCTGTGTCCCAGGATACTAACAGCAGGGCGCCTTGGCCGCCCCGGGGTCTGTAGCGGGAGAGCAGGGAAGTTACTGGAACCTGGAAATATATCTGTGTAAGGAGGGTCCCGTGACAGGAGCTGAAGCCCTGGGTCAAGGGACTCAGGCTGCCCCACAGAGACCCAGTGTGTGCATGTGCAGGGGAGAGAGGGTACAATAACTCCACCGCCCTCTGCTCAATCCAGCCTGTCTCCTGCCGATCTCCGGTAGGTGCTGGACACTGACCACACCCTGAGCACTCCCCTGACAGACAGCATCATACACACAGCTTTCGCGCAAACGAATTCGACAAGTATTTATTGGGAGCCCTTTCTGTGCCAGGCAGTGAGCAAGACAACCATAGTTACGGTGTGCCCGGAGCTCCCAGCCTGGCGGGGGTGCCATGGGGAGGCACCGGGTGTTAGGGGAGTTCATAGAAGGGCCGCTGGACCCAGGTGGAGGGGAGTCAGGGAGGGCGTCCCTGAGGGGAACCTTCCAGCTGAGAAGGATGGGCGAATTCTGAAAGGTTAGAGCCCAGGCTGAGGGAAGCTGGCCCTCTCTCTAGTGAGTTCTCTTGGTGTTCTCCAGGTAGCACCGTCAGAAAGTGGAAAGAACTCTAGGGACAAATGGGGATTCTAACCCAGTGCCTGCCACAGGCTTACGGTGTGGCCGGGGCAAGTCACTCCTCTCACCTGCCCGCCCTGGCCTCAGTTATCTCATCTGAAATGGGATCATCATCCCTACCTCACAGGGCTGTGGCTTCATGACTATTACATGGGCTGTATGAAAAGTGCTAGTACACAGTACGAGCTACATGGGTGTTTCCCTATATTGCTTTTACTCAAGAGGAAGGGAGGACACTGTGTGTGCCAGTTGCTTTTATAGACATAATTTAATTTCATCCTCACAAGCTGAGAAGTTTCTTTAGCCCACACCTGCCCCTTTAGTTTGTCATAAGGGAAACAAGCACACACAGGACACCCGCCCTTCAGAAGTTTGCGGCGAGGCTCAGCAGAGGGGTGTTTGTGAAGGCGCTCTGCAGACTGAGGGGCTGGGCCATGCTGGTTATGATTTGGCCATTATGAACACAAAACCTCTGCTTGCACACCTCCAGGGACAGGGAGCTCCCTCCTTTCCATCAGCTTACTCTAGGGGGCTCAGGTCCACCCTCTGCGCCCTGCCTCTCCTTCCATCCTCCTGCTCCCAGCTGCTCTGCTGCCTCTGGAGGTCAGATCCCGCCTAGTGTCAGCCTGGCTTTCATGCCCTGGTCATCCAGGGCAGCGGATCCCCTGGTCAGCATCATGAGAGATGAGCTCCCTGGTGGGCAAGAAAGTTAACTACTTTTGCCCAAGTAGAGCGACTGGATCCTGAATCCACCTGGCTCCAGGGTTTGCATGCCACACTTGCCAGGGTGGGGGTGTGTCCCAAGGAGCAGCCAGGACCGGTGGAAGGAAGTGAGACCGGTCATCACAGCACGCTGCAACCAGTCTGTCCTCCACTGGCTCAGAAAGCACAACCATGCTCTGAGTTGAGACTCAAGAGGGCAGGTCTCATCAGCATAAGGATGGACTTCTTGCAAAGGTGCCCCACAGCACAAGCAGCTCCCTGGGGGAGAAAGAGTCCCCTCCTAGGAAGTGTGTCAGTACTTTTTCATTTTACTGTCTACTGCGCTGGGCACTCTGGACACACAGTGACATCAGATCCAGCATTCACTCTGGGGATCCCCAGTCTGGGGGTCAAACGACACCCAGTTGGAACACAGAAGGTAAAAATTCCCAGGTAGGGCTCAATGGGTATCCTCCCTTCTCGGCTGAGTCTAGGCACTTCAAGCCAGGGGTCATGATGCAGATTGAAGGGCCCAGCCTATAGAAGCTGACTCGAACATGCCACCATCACTCTTTTACACACCCACATCCACTTGAAGCCATTACCCAAGCACCTCCTCCGCATCCTCCCCATCTCAGACTTGCGGACACCACGCAGCCGGGTCAGCCCTGCAGCCTAAGCCTTGCCCCATGCACCTGGCACTTACCTGGCCATACCCTCTCCCAAGTGCTCCGCAGCTGCTGCTCTCACAGGTATCACTCCCGTTTGTGCCTGCCGCCCGCACCCCTGGCAGCCCAAGCTCCAGTGTTCATGCTGCTCTGCCCAGACTCCCGTTTGCTGTTCGCTCGGGCTCAGCTGCGGGAGGACAAAGGGGCTGGACGCCAGGAGGGAGGGGAAGGGAGGGGAAGGGAGAAGCGAGCAGGGAGGGGGATGCTGGGCTTTTGTTCCACTCTTGGACTAGCCCTGGGAGGGAGGGAAAGAAAGGGGGGGCATAAGAGTGGGATTGACTGTGTGTGGAACTCCAGGATTTGGTATGCCTGGGTTTGGGGGTGACCTGGTGCTGGCCTTGTCCCGGAATGACGATGGGTTCGAAGGTGTGTGGTGCTGGAGTTGGGGTGTGGGAGGGGTGTCATCATGCAGTTGTAGGCATGTAGGTTTCAGGGTGACTATGCGTGATTGTGGAAGTACATGGAATGAAGTGACTGTGTAGCATTGGGCTGCGTGTGGACATGTGGCTGTGTGACCATGTAGATGCCAATGTGACTAAGCATGTGGGGCGGGGGGCACAGTGGCTCTGAGTCTCATTCCCTTGAGCTCAGGGAGAGGCGGGAGCTGACCTCTGCCCCAGGAAGCAGAGCACTTGCCAGACATTCAGTAGCAGGGGCAGGAGGGCCGGTCCTCGAGGTTACTGTGGGGGCCCAGTGGAGCTTCCAACATTTGCAGAGGGCTCTTTTCTTTTTTACCTATAAGGTGCCAGAATCTCCTAGACCCCAAGAATTCTATCCAGAAGATCCCTGTTTGGAAGAGACACGTCCCTTGGCTCCCAGGAAGCATGGAGTTAATTTGATGCAGGCTGGAGCTGGGGCTCAGCTTCCCCCTTTTCCCTCAGGTCACACCCATGACCAGGCAGACTCTCAGGACAAAGAGGGGAGTTACAGGCCTGCTCTGACACCACCACTGACTCCTGCCCACAGACAGCAGAGGTCCCAAGGACTGGAAGGAAAGGACACCTGTGGTCCCAGGGCTGTACTTTGGCTTTCAGCTCAGGTGCCCCCAGTCCTGGGCATGGGCATGGGCCCTCCTCAGGCAGGTCCAAAGCTCGGAGAAGTCAAAGCCAAACTCCTGGCATGGGGAAGAGGCCTCCCTGTGCTGAGGGCTTGTCCCAACATAGCCGGGAGGTTCAGAATGCCTTCATGTGGCTGTGAGGGCACCTGCCAGTCCCACTCCCAGCCCTACATTGGACCCAGGAGCCCTCCCCCTCTGCGTGTCATTCCTAGCTTATGGGAGGCACACATATGCGCTGGGGCCAGAGTCTGGATGGGATTCTGGCTTGGCCTGTTCTAAGCTGTGTGGCTTTTGGAGGTCACTTTACCTCTCCAAGACTGTCTCCCCATCCACCATATGAGGATACCGGCTCCCAGCCACTGGCACCATGGCGGACCCAGGGAAGGGGAGGCACCATTCTGCCACTTTCCCATTCATTCCTGAGAATGGTTCCTCCTCAGATTATAGGGTCAGAACTGAAACCTAGACCCAGCGCACTTGTCCCCACCCTCCTGCTGGCAATTCAGAGACAACACACATCAAGATGGCAGCTTTAATCACATTGGCCAAGGGCCCTAGGTTCCCTCTGTTCAGGCCCACTTAGCCACACACCCACCCTGGCCATATCCAGAACACTTCTACCAGGTGGGCCCTGCCCTGTGGCCACTGATGTGGGAACCTGAGGTCACATCAGTCTGTGGACTCCTGGGTTAGGTGACCCTTCTGCCTTGAGGTCTGCTGGACACCTGGGCATGGGATCCAGTAGTCCTGAGCTCACTCTTTTGGCCATCTCCAGCTGCTCCTAGAGGACGTGGCTCAGGCCCGCTCCTGGGGCAGGGGGTTGGCGGTGGCATGAGGTGGGTTGGGGAGGAGGACGTGTCTCCACATTGCAGCTGGCTTCCTCCTGGGCTGAACCTCCTTGTGCTTTGAGACTGACAGGAAGAGCAGAGTTGCTTCAGGTAGAGGCTCGGCCCAGGCCCTTGGGGCAGGATAACAGCAGAGAACTCAGGTGCCTCCTGGCACAGACAGGAGGACAGATGGCACAGGTGAGCATCCACACACTCCATTGCCACAGGGGGTATGGCATGGCCCATGACCCATCAAAGCTTCCAGGTCGGGATACAGGAGAGGGCCTCAGAAGAGGGGGACCAAGCCCTAGGCCCCATACTTCCCAGAAGGAGCCCCAGGCCTGCAGGGGCATCTGAAAGGATGGAGTCCTGGCCCAGCTGGGCCTCAGGAGACAGGGAGTCCCCCTCAAGAGAGGCTGCGGCTGACAAGGGGCTGGAGCCCACAAGGAGGCTGTGGAGCCCGCTCCCAGAGCACTCCGAGTTCAGACACACTTCCACCAGCTCTCCTAGGCTCCCCAGCTTCTGTGTCAGGTACAGGTGGGACAGACATGTCTTCAGCTAACGCCCACTCCGCTCTATGAGGGTCTTGGTGTGGCTGCCACCCCCTCGGGGGCCCACAGGGGTGGCGGTGCTGTTGGCATATGTGTCATAACTGTTGTCTGAACATACGGAGAGCACATCGGAGACCTCTACACCATCGCTGATCTCTGCTGGGCCAGAGGGAGACAGAATGTGAGTCGGGGAGGAGGCAGTCGTGAGGATGGGTGACAGATGGGGCAGGAAGGCTGCACCACCCAGCGGGGCACTTGGAGGCTGATGAAACCACTGGGCTCAGGTCGACATTGAGCCTGGCACTCAAGGCCCCTTTGGTGTCTGCTGAGCACTCTAGCTTCGCCTTCATCTGCTGTCCCCTGGGACTCTGCAGCCACAGAAAACCACCTGTGCCCCTGAGCTTGGCACCCATGTGTCCACTCTCCTCAGGGCCTTTGCATGTGTCAGCCCCTCTCTTAGGAGTGACTGCCCCAACAACACCTCCTTTTCCTACAGTCTGGCTCAAGTCTTCTCATCTGTCACTCAGCCTCCTGGGAACCTCATCGGAGCCCTGGGCCGAGTTAGGGCCTCCTCATGGCAACTCCAGACCCTGCTTCCTTCTGCCCTGGCCATATTCTGTATGGTTGCTGCCTGGGCCCCCAAAATACCTCAAGGACCAGGGTGGGTTCTGGGCATCTATGTCCCCAGGGCCTGGTAGAGTGCTGGACACAGAGCAGAGGCTCAAGAAAGCTCTGCTGAGTGGAGTTCGGCCATATAGAGGGACACTTCATTCTTGGTGCCCAGGCAAGCGGTGCTCCCTTGCCACCTCTGCACACATGCCGTGCCCACCTGGAATGCCCTTCCTTCCCTCAGCTCACTCGGCCCTCATCTTGAAGCCATTACCAAAGCACCTCCTCTGCATCCTCCCCATCTCAGTGTATCAGGCGCCCAAAGCCTTCCTCACTGCCCAGGCAGCTCTGACCACGTCCTCCCGCCCCCCGCCCGGCACTCCCATCGCAGGAACTCGACTTTCCCTGCCACTGTTTATATACGTAGCTGCTGCTTCCATCAGACTGGGAATGTTGACAGGGACTGGCAAAGAGCAAGGGTGAGGCCAACATTGTAGGATCCAAGTACGAACCAGGCAAAGGGGGATGGGCCTTCAAAACAGACTCCTCTCCCTACCCCACCCCTGCCCACCAACCATGGCACTGACACCAAGCCATGGTGGATGACAGGGTGGATGACTGTGTGTGTGGGGGTGTGTGTTTTCACACGTGTACTTATGCCTTTGTATGTCTGTGGGTATAATCCCGGTGGGTTTATGTACGTCTGTGCCCTTGTCCCTACCCATATGTGCCACATGTGAATGTGTGTGCATACACATCTGTTTGCATGTGGGGGTGCAGAAAGCTGGGCCCAGGGCCTGCCTCCACCTGTCTGCAGGGCTGTGTACCTGAGAAAATAAGCTTCTCCTTCATGATGCTGACGTCCCGGCTGGTCCGGCGCACCGCAGCACTCAGCATGATCTGCTCAGGGTTGTAGCTCCGTATGCCACCCAGGCGCCACCTGCAGAGATGGCCCCGTGGGCATCAGGTCTCTCCTCAGCCCTCCCTTGGAGCAGAGACCCTGCCTACTTCCAGAGCCTCTCTGGATGTGGCCCAAGAGACCAGCAGGACTCTTGTCCCACTGTACAATGGGGAAATAGGCCCAGAGAGGGCAGAGTTGGGGCTTGAATCAGAGCCTACTGACTCTCGGCCAGGGCTCCCTGGCCTCCCTCTTACCTCCAGAGCCGCCAGTCAGCAGCCCTGGCCCAGGACTAGGGTTGGTTAGTTCTGTCTCAGGTGTCCCCAGTAATGCACCTGGCTCTCTTTGAATGGGACAGATTTGGGAGCAGGAGGAGCTTAGTAGGCACGACTCTGTTGACCTAAGCTGGGGCACACACCAATCTCAGGGAGTCCCAGCTGATGTCTCTTATAGCTCCACCATCATGACCAGACTAAGTGAAGCCATTGGGGAGACCCCTTGAGAGGGAGGGAAGGAAAGCAGGGGGGTGGGGCCAGGTGGTAGGGGGCTTTGCCCAGAGCTGGTCTGCACAGGTTCCCAAGGCAAGGGGGTTAGAGTGACTTGGAGTGGGGCCAACTGCTGCTCTGTCCTGGCAGTCCTAATGCGGAGGGAGGTCAGAGCATGAATCCCTCTGATGGCTGAGACAGGTGCAAGGTGGGGGTAAAATTACTCAAGAGTGGGCTGGGAGGTGGAGCATGCACAGGGCATGAAGGGACCAGGCACTAAGTGGAAAGGACTCAGGTTTCTGTGCCCAGCCCAGGCCACTGTCTTCACTATTGTCATTCCTCTGAACTAGCCCCAGTCCCTGGCCTCTGAACTTAGACCTTTCCTGGGATCTAGGCAGAAGGATCACTGGACTCTCACCCCTGTCCCCACCAGGAGGAGGGGGTGATCAACTTGGGAACAAGAACCCAACTGCCTCAGGGACTGAACCCTGCTTGGGGGATGGAGAGAGCCAAGACTCCACAAGAAACCAACTGTGAGTTACTAGATGGGGTCAGCGCAGCAGAAGTGGACAGACAGATGGACAGGCGGATGGATGGATGAACAGAGCAGGCAGACAAGGGGAAAGCAGGAGGCGGGGGGTGGCACGGACACCCTGGCGAGGCTGGCTGCCCTATGAATCATTGAGGGCAGTGAGCAAATCTCTCTCTGTTCATCGCTGTGCCCCAGTACCATCAGTGCCTGCCGTGTCCCGGGAGCCTGACCTGTACTTGTTGAGTGAATGAATGGAAGAATAAGGCCCACAGGGAAAGAGTATCCTCCCCCGGCCTTGTCCCCCAGGGTACCTTCCTCCACCAGGCCTCTCCTGATCCCCAGGAGACAATGACACTGCCCTGGCTGTGTCTGAGCAGACCCAGCGTGTCTGTGCCAGCCACTGAATCACCATGGGGTGGCCTCCCCAGCACCCTGGGGCTCCATGTGAGAAGGCCCAACTCCTGCTGCAGACAGCATCAGCAACCAGTGTATGTGGATGTTGGTCAACTGGGCGGACACAGGAATGACTCAAGGAATGTCCCATAGCCAGGGACAGCATCTCCTCCTAGAAGCTGATTGGTGAAGCTGCCTGACCCAGGAGGGGCTAAGGCACTAGACGGAGGGAGACGTGGGTCCCTAAGCTCTAGGTCCCATCCTGGAAATTCATGTTGAAACCCAGAAGGACAGTGTCAGGCCAGGGTCTCTCGGCCAGGCATATCCAGAACAGGAAGCTCAGCCACTGTGGGGTCCTCTGAGGGGAATGAGGAAAAGGCTGTGTGTTGCGGGGAGCAAAGCAGGGATGGGTGTTAGAGATAGAATGTAAAGAAGAGAGAGAAAGAGATGGGAGAGGCAGAGAAAGGTAAACAGGAAGAGTGAACAGTGGGAGAGGCAGAGCCAGGGAGGGAGAAGATGGGAAGAGAGAGGCAGAAACTTGGTAGGGTCTGCCCTGGGCAAGTGGTGAAGGCCCCTGTAAGTGCCAGAGGCAGGGGGATGGGGGTACCCAGGCAGGGTCCCCTCCCCCAGGGAGACACTTTGGTGCAGAGAGGGGCCAGGTCAGGAAGCTGTCAAGGAAACGCTGGTCCCCACCTGCAGAAACGGCCGTGGGAACAGGGAGCAGAGGGACACACACGGCAGTGGGACGGGAGGAGCAGAAAAGAGGATTGCGGGGGTAAGGGAGGCTTCAGGCGAGCGCGCTGTCTGCGAGGTGGCCCGGGCACAGGGCTTGGTGCACGGTGGGTTTTTAGACAGAACTGGAGAAGGGATGGCAAGAGGGAGAAAGAGGAACAGAAGGAGGAGGAAGACCACACCAGAATTACCTGATCAAGTGATAGCTGTGAGATGCCAGAGTGCAGCAGAGAGAGGGGGAGGGGGAGAGAGGAGGGACATGCGCCGATCAGAGCAGGATGGGACAGAGAGAGAACATCAGTCAAGAATAAAATCCCAGCCCCTTGGTTCCTGGCTGGGTGGGGGCCCCAGGCTGGCCCTAGACCCTCCCTGGGACCAACCACACCTCCCCACTGCGAGCACACCCCAGCTATCTTGCTGAGGGCTGGTGGGAACCCATGCCCTGGCTAACAGATGAGCAGGCCAGCCCGGTGAGGAGCTGAAATTCACCTAAGCCCACATAGCCACCCAAGGCAGAGCTTGGCTCTGGGATCCCAGCTGCATGTTCATTCCAGAAGTCACCCAGCCTCTGTCTGAGGGAGGATGGGGCCACCGGAGTCCGTCCTTCTTCCCTGGTCAGGCCTGCTCCTGGCTGAGGCCCAGGGCTCAGGAGAGGGTTCACCTGGCTGGGGTGGGGGCTGGGCCTGCTGCAGGGTAGGGACAGCCACGGAAGTGGTCAGATCCTACTCACTTCTGGAGCACGAAGATGCCCACGATGAGGGTGAAGGAGACCAGGTCGGCAGTGACCCACATGAGACAGTACTCGTCCGGGGGCTGTGGACAGACGGCCCGAGGCCAACTTCCAGTCATGGCCAGTCCAGACTGAGGCTCCAGACTGAGGGTCCGTGGACCAAAGGACCCCACATGGCCACTGGGGAAGGGCAAGGGAGGACCCTGAGAGGGTCTGGGGGCTGAAGATGACATTTTGCAGGTGTAGGCTCCAGGCGCTGTGGGCCTGGGGGCCGGGGCGTGTGTGTGCACACGTGTGCACTCTCAGGGTAGGAGGGGACTGTATGGTGCTCAGGGCAGAGGGGTTGTGTGCTAGGCCTGCAGGGTCTGTGTGTCTAGGGTCCTCAAAGCAGGAGCCAGATACTGAAAGACAATGGCTTTGCCGCCCCCCGCTGCCGACTCTCATCCATCGGTCTCGACCCTTTCCCCAGGCTGCCTTCCCTTCACCCTCCTCTCCCATAGAACCATCCACAGCTTAGGTCTGATTCATTGGCACTGCATTCTCTCAGCCATAAGGATACCCTCCACCTGCCTTCTGCATGCTCAGGGTGACAGTGGAGCCACCACCTATCTGCAGGTGCCCAGTCAACCAGCTAAAATATTGCTTTATTTGCTGTTCTCTGAGCAGATTTTAATTGTTTCCTATTCTTTTTTATTTTTATTTTTTGAGACAGGATCTCACTTTGTCATCCAGGCTGGAGTGATCACAGCTCACTGCAGCTTTGACCTGCTGGGCTCAAGCAATCCTCCCACTTCAGCCTACCGAGTAGCTAGGACTACAGGCGTGTGCCACCTTGGCCAGCAAATTAATTAATTATTATTATTTTTTTTTGTAGAGACAGGGTTGCCCAGGTTAGTCTTGTACCCCTGGGCTCCAGTGATCATCCTGCCTCTGCTTCCCAAAATGCTGGGATTATAGGCGTGAGCCCCACGCCCGGTCAATGCTTCCTATTCCTGTCCTTGTTACCCTCCAAAGCAAAGAAACCCAAGCAGCTCTTTACTTCTTTAGAGCCCTTAGTGATGCTTTTCTCCCTGTGGATGAGGCCCAGGGTCCTCCCAGCACCTTAGTGCAGATCCCAGATGCCATGAAACCCTCATGCCTCAAGCCTGCACGCCCACCATGGACTCCCCACCATGCTAGAGACCTCCCAGGGACAGCTCCAAGCACAGAGCTTGCCGAGTGGTCAGGGCAGGCTATAGGCAGCTCCAGCACTGCCCCCCAGGGGCCCTCTGCCCCCCAACTCACCATGATCCAGAGGGGGGAAGGCACCTGGGACAGGGCGTGGGAGTTGTCAGAGGTGACGGATGGGACCCCCGCACACCACAGCAGGGAGAAGAGCCACGGTGCGTTGACTGTGTAGAGGTTCACACTCAGGTTCCAGGACGCGTAGTCCCTGTGGGGCAGGGGAGAGGCAGGTCAGCATGCGGACCCTGGCAGCTCCAGGCCCAGTGTCGGGGCTGGTAAAGCACGTCCTGTTCACGACCTCACAGCCATGCCCGGGGCAAGGAACATTGGCTCCAGAGGGCCAAGCTCCGGGACAAGCCCGGGTCTGCCCGACACGCTCACCCTCTTGTCTTTGAACCATGTGTGCCTGATTCCTCTGTGTGCCCATCCCTCTGCCCGACCGTGTGTGTGTGTGTGTGTGTGTGTGTTGGGGGGTGGTGGTGGCAGGACTGGGAGAGACTCAGTCCCACCCTCTCCTGGAGGAGCCCAGGGCAGGGCAGGCACCTGAGCTCCTGGCGGGACACCTGAGTGTAGCGCAGGTTCAGCCGCTGGATGTGGCCTCTCCGCAGGCTGGCGACTGCCTCCTTGGAGCCTGATGTCTGTTGGAAGCCGGGAGCCACCTTCCGCACCAGGGGCCTCTGCCTGCTAGGCAGCCACATGACCTGCAGGCAGAAGAGAGGCAGCCTCAGACTTCTCTTCTGCACGATGCGTAAGAGTACCTACTCCTCCTAGAGCACCTGTGGGGTTAAGAGACAGGACCTGGCAGGCGGTGAAAGCTTAGATGAAGTCATTAGCAGGGCAGGACTCAGTCCCAGCCAAGGCTGCAAAGTGCACTGGCAGCAACTCAGGAAACTTCGCTTCTGGCCTGCTGTCAGTACGGGAGGGAAAACCCAAACAGCCACTACTCTGCACATGGCCACTAGCACCTAGTGTGCCGTCCTAAACTGATGTCAGATTTCTCTGGTCCCAGATTATTACACCAAACGACAGGGCAACACTTCACTGAAATAACTTGACCGCCTGGACCTTTATACATTTTAAAGTGTTTTCTTGTTCCCCTCTTGTCCCATGATGACCCTGCCAGGGAAGTGAGCAGTGTGTGATCCCCATTTTACAAATGGGAAAGCTGAAGTCCGGAGTGCAACAGGGAAAGGCTATGCAGCAGCAGGGCTCTAGCCAGGCCAGGGCTCCCGGGGGCAGAGCTGCGTTGCAGGGCCTCACCTGGTGCTGGGGGAAGCCGGAGTGCAGCACGGCCTCCAGAGTCACGTTGATAAAACTGCTGCGGTAGGGGTGCTCCCGGGGCGGGTCACGCAGGTTGAGCAGCAGTGTGGCATTGCCCTTGGCCAGCTCCAGGAGCTCTGCCAGGCTGCAGATGGACTGGTTCTGGGCCTCTCTGTGGTCGGAGGGTGACAGGGAGCTGGCTGTCCAGAAGGGGTCAGTCTGGCAGGGACAGGGACACACACATGGCTGCATCATCAGCCCTTTGGGGGCCCCCACATACCCTTCTGGCAACCAAGCGTGGAGACCCCTGGGCTGCCAGAGTCTGCTGGGGTCAGGCAGATTGATGGCTGTGGCCATGTGGAGGCTGTAGGAGGCCCCAGCCCTAACCTTTCTACCCCACACCCTGCTTACCAAGAGGACGGAGGACGGCTTGCTTGGAATCGCTCCCAGACCCACAGCATTTCTCCTTCTAGAGCATTTCAGATCAGAGAGCCAACCCCTCTCTAGAGTTTTACAGAGTTAAGAATTCTATTCACTGCTCTCATCCCTGTCAACCTTTTCTAGTGAGGGAAATGGACCCAGAACAAGCAGTGACAACCATGAGTCTGGCAGCAGTGGCAGGAGCCTAGGAGGCCACTAAGCAGCTTGGGTGGAGGTCGCGAAAGCTCTGAGAGTGGGGGTCTCGAAGCTGATGGCCACCCTTGCACCTCTCACTCCTTGCAGTCCCTGCTGGTGTTTTCCATGCCTAAGATTGGGATCAGGTGCAGCCAGACCTTCAGGAACCACTGGCCAGCGTTGAGTCTCTGCAGGGTGGTCCAGTTAAGCATGGAGGCAGGCCTGCGGGCCAGCTCCGGGAACTCCTCCTCCACGTTGGTGGTGCGCCGCAGGGTGGTGTCATGCATGAGGAAGGGCACGCCGTCCAGGCTGCAGGGAGGGTGGGGCCACCGAGTCAGTGACCCCCCAGATCCTTTACCTGCCCACCAATGATCGTCACCCCACACAGTCCTCCCCACCCAGCACAGGATCCCGGCTGGCTCTGCCCCTCTCTGGGCCTCAGTCTCCCCATCTGCACAGGGAAGACAGTGGGCTGGTGGGTGACCCTGAAGGTCCAATGCCTTCTGGCTCTCTGTGAGGGTCAGATGGGGGTGGGGACTGCCAAGGAGGGAGGGCTGGGAAAAATCTGGACCTACTCTCTTAGCAACCTTGGAAGGTAGGTGCTGCCTCATTTGACAATGGAGAAACTGAGGCTGAGAGAGGGAAGTATCTAGCTCAAGGTCCACAGCCTGTAAGTGGTGGAACCCAGTTTGGAACCAAATCCCTGTGATGCTATGATGAGAACAGTGCAAATGTAGACCTCTTTGGCAAATTCCACCCAACCCCAATCCTTGTCTACTCTACCAGGGTTGCAAATAGCTCATATGGTGCCTTAGTGTGAAACAGTAAAAGGTACCTGTGCCCTCTGTTCCTCAAGGCATTTTACCACCATCTGCTAGAAAGTTGTGATAAACACACAATTCTATGTCTATACTGGGAACAATGTCCTCATTTATGTGATGCCCTTGTTCAGTATGCAACCTGTACAACTATATATGACAGTTCTGCCCTTCTTCCCTTCTCAGATAACCTCTGTTATGAGATTAGTATGGATTCTTCCTGCCATTTATACTAATATCTACTTATATATGTACATGGAGAAAGTGTATATGTCACTTTTTTGTGGTATTTTAAAACGTAACTGGAGTCACAGTGAATGTATCACTCTGCAACTTGCTTTATTTCCCTCATGAGAGTGTTGTAGCTCTATCATCTATTTTTCCCTTCAAGTGGCTCTGTGGCAGTGCTCCTGCTTGCACCAAGAGCATTTGTTCTTTCCTCTATTTTACATCCTGGAGTCTGCAGGAACAGGGTGCCTGCCCTGCTGTGGATAATCTAAGTCTTCCTCCTCCCATCTCAGAGGCTCTGAGACCAGAGGTTCCCCCAGCAGAGACCCAGGTGGATGCCGAAGCGTGTGGGAGGGGTAGAGGAACTATCTCCCCTCCGCTACACCTACCTGATGGTAATGTCAGCCTGGAGCCCGTACAGCTTCTGCTCGAGGGCCTTCCGGAAGGACATGAGCGTGTGCTCTGGAGCCAGCTGGGGAAGAAGGGGTGGTGAAGGGAGAGCCAAGATTCAGCTGATGTACCCTCCCCAGCCAATGGAAAGTCTTTCATGTTGGGAGGCTGGGCTAGGCCTGGTTCTAATTCTGGCCCCTCCACAGAGTAGCTGTGTGACCCTGGGCACCCACTCAGCTTCTCTGAAGTTCAGCTTCCTCATCTATTAAATCATGCCTACCTCATTGGTTTTACTGGGGGCGGGGGAGGCAGGGCTGGTTAGTGTTGATGCATATAAATGCCTGACATGTAGCTAGCACTTGACACATGGTAGCTATGGTCACTATGTTATCATTGCTCTATCCCAGGCACTGAGCTAGACACTGGGGCTGGAGGGCTTTTTTACAGTCCTCTGTGGCTCTCTGGCAGTCTTGGGCTGGGGCTGAATGTGAAATTCAGGTTATACCCTTGGTTATACCAAGGGTTATACCCTGAGACAAGTCCAGGGGGGAGACCTGGAAGAGAGGGTAGATGGGATGGTAGAGTTTCAGTGCGGGACCAGTTTCCTCATCTATATAAACATGACAGCATTATTTCCCTCCCTGGACTGTTACGTGAATTAAAAGCCTCTAGCACACTGCTTGATATACACAGTAAGTGCTTAATAAATAGCAACTGTTTTCCCCTTACATGATCCTGGTTCTAGCATTTTTTTAAGAGACAAGGTCTTGCTGTCACCCAGGCTGTAGTGCAGTGACACAATCACAGCTCACAACAGCCTCAAACTCCTGGGCTCAAGCAATCTTCCCGCTTCAACTTCCCAAATAGCTGGGACTACAGGTGCATGCCACCACACCCAGCTCTGGTTCTAGCCTTGACTCTGCCATTAACTATTGTCCTGACTTTGGGTATATTTCTCTGTGGGTCTCAGTTTCCCCATGTGCCCCTTAGAGATGTGTACTCATGAGGGTCTTTATGCTTAGGACAGTTGGGATTCAAGCCTCCCTAGTTGGGTCTCATCTGAGGACTGTCATACCCGTTGCTGCCACTGGGGGTCAGCACCAAACCAAGGATTGGGCGAAGACCAGGTCCATGAGGGATGGTCGGAGGGAAGGAGGGAGGGAGGACACCCCCGATCCCCCTGCCCTGCTCTGTCAGTGAAGAGGTGAGGTGGGAAGGATTCCCATGGCTGATCTCATTCATTCCCACTGAAGACAATCCTGTTCCCACCTTCTCTCCCTCTGGCCACGATGTTCCCCAGCCACTCCCCTCTTTTGTGACACAGCCTAGCACTGGGGAGCCAGGGAGTGGTGAGGGCTTTGGAACGGACTAAAAAGGTGCAATTTCACTTCCCAGACACAGAGCTGGGGCCTCAGTTTCTTTAGCTGTAAAATGGGCTAACATTATCAACCTCACAGGTGAGATAACAAAAGTCACAGACCCTAGCCCAGGACCTGGCACACAGCAGGGTCTCAGTAATGAGTTTCTTTCTTCTCCTGTCCCTGGCATACAGCACTCTTGGAGGACATGTTACCTGTCTCCCAGTCCAGTGGGTTGTGTGAGGCACTCCCAGGGGAAGCAGGACTACAAAGGCATGGAGAGAGAGGCAAGGACTCAGTGGAATCCCACCCATCTCTGAATATCCTGCGGCCAGGCCTTCCATCAGGGACCACTTGACAGGGGTCCACGCTCCCTGCTGCATGGGCTGGGGCTGCAGAAGGCAGAAGCTTGGAAGGGGTTGCGAAGACCCTCAGGGCAGAGGAAGTGTTTGGGAAGGGGAAAGTCTTTTTTGGAAGCTTTTAGACACAGTTAAGTTCTCTCTGGGTTAGGTGCTGACCTCCTGGAGAAAGAGATATGGAAACCTGGCCCTCCCTGGCCAGGCTCAGGACTCCAGGAAGGCCCCAGAAGCATACACGTTGCTGGGGTGAATTCTTAGTCCCCGTCTCAGAGCTCGCACCTGCCTCAGGCCAGTCCAAGTGGGGTTCTGTTGTCAGGAGGGTGTGCATAGGGGGGTGGTGGTTACTCAGGTGGGTGGGACACTATGGTTAAGAGACCCAGATTTATAAAACAGCAACTCAAAGTACTATTAAAAAAGAGTCTTAGCTTCAGAGTTAGTGCAATCAAATATTAAAGTACACGTACACACATGCACAGAGGGACAGGCCACATCTGCATAGGAACAACACATCCAGGGACACACAGACAGTCTCCAAGACAGAGATGTGCACTTGGGCTCACCACACACAGACATGTGGACCCAGAGTCAGAGCCCCCCAAGGCAATGCACAGGGACACACAGAGGGGACCCTTGCCAGCCCCTCAAAAACTACCACCAGGGCATGATCAGTCAGATGCAGAATGTGAAAAATCCCACAGGACAAATGACTCCATTTCTCAGGACAAATAAACAGCTTAAGGGAAAAAAGGGACGGGGAACTTTTTTTTTTTGAGACGGAATTTCACTCTTGTTGCCCAGGCTGGAGTGCAATGGCGCAATCTCGGCTCGCTGCAACCTCCGCCTCCCGGATTCAAGCAATTCTCCTGTCTCAGCCTCCCAAGTAGCTGGGATTACAGGCATGTACCACCACATCCAGCTAATGTTGTATTTTTAGTAGAGATGGGGTTTCTCCATGTTGATCAGGCTGGTCTCGAACTCCTGACCTCAGGTGATCTGCCTGCCTTGGCCTCCCAAAGTGCTGGGATTACAAGCATGAGCCACTGAGCCCAGCCGGGGGATTGTTACAAATCAAAAGGCACTCAGGAGACACGCCAACCAGATGCGTGCTGTGGACCACATTTGGATCCTGATTTTTAACAACTAAACTGTAAAAAGATATTTTCGAGACAATAAAAGGAAATTGAACATGGATTCCATTTTAGATAATATTAAGGAATCATTATCCTTAATATTGGCTGGGTGTAATAACAGCATTGTTGCTATGCATCTTTCTGAAGTCCTCATGTGTTACAGATACATCCTGAAGTGCCTATGGGTAAGACGATGCGATGCCTAAGATTTGCTTTACTACCCCAGAAAAAAAAGTAGGGAACAGATGAAGCAAGAATGGCCAAACGTAGATAAGTATGGGATTGGATTCATTACATCCTTCTTCATTATGTGAGTCATTATATGCTTTTCTCCACTTCTGCATATATTTGACCTTTTTCTACTAAAGAAAACCATCCTCGCTGGGGCCACCTTCCTGCTTCAGCATACCACTTATGTCCCCTGGCTGCTGGAGGGAGCCCAGGAGATGGTAATCTGAGTCATGGAGACAGGAGGGGCCATCGTTTTAAGCCCCTCAGAAGAGTTCCCCTGCCCCCACTGGGAAGGCTGGGCTCCAATTGGTCCTCACAATAACCAGCAGCATGGGCATCCATACCTTTGAGGCACAGAGGGGACTGGTGACCCCTCCAAGATGCACAGGCAGCATGTGGCCAAACTGGACACCAGATCCAGATCCCCACTGGCTGCCTCTGGGAGGGACTGGGGTCAGCACTGGAGTCTGGCTCAGGGGCTGGAGTCTTATCGAGAAAATAATACCCACCACATGCAGGGGGCCAGACTTCCAGAGTGAGTGGCAGCCCGGCAGACCCAGCACCTCCTTCCAAAGCAGTTATGTGAGACCCCCTTACTACCCTGAGGTCCCACAACAGCCTGGAACACCAGGAAGCCAAGCCCTCAGGAAGTGCTCACACACACCCCCACTTGGCAGGGTGGGGGTGTGTACTACCTCTGCTAAGAAGCCTGGGTTCAAGGCTTTCATGGAGCAGGAGACCCTGCTCCAGAGAGATGGCCCTGCCCAAGGTAACAGCAGTGTCTGCCTCTTACTTTCTGTGCACCATGTGCATATTTGGGCACTGCACACATGCTAACTCCTGCTCCTCATAGCCCCACAGCAGGTGCTCTCACTAGTCCCATGGTACAAGATGGGGGAACCAGGCAAAGAGATGGAAACTGTTGGGCCTCCCACAGCTGGTGAGGAGCTGTGCTGGGATGCTAACTCAGGCAACATGGCTCTGGAGCCTGCCCTCTCACCGAAGCTCTCCTGCAGGGCTATGGAGTGCACTGGTGGCAGAATGCGGCGCTGACTTTGATCCCTTCGTCTTTCTCCAACTCACGTCGGTTCAGCCGTACTCACTGTCACAGTGGGCTCTGAGCTGCCTCCCAGCTCTCCTGGAGGGTTCTCCTGATGCCTGGTGGCAGACCCCAGGCCCCACACTCAGCATCCATCTCCTGGGCCTTCCTAACTGGCACCTGGGTCTAGCCTGGGCCTAAAACCCTCCTGCATCTTTGCAGGGCACTTAGGACAAAACTGAAATCTTTTTAGCAAGATGCCTTCAGGACGCTTCAAGATGTGCTTCCATCCCAGCACTCCCGGCCTTTTTGCCAGTCCTTCCCATGTACCTCCCCTCAAAAAGCTACAAATGGTTGCTACCATTACATATATCCATTTCCCAAGAAGGTCCCCCCCATCGCACCCCACCCCAACGGGGCTGTTAGGACCCTGAGGTGGCACTCACCATGGGGGCCCCGCGGTGGCCAATGAGAGCAGGCTTGGGGCCGAGGTCTTTCTTCTCCATGATGCAGGGAGAGGAGATGGTGAGAGGGGCCAGGTAGAGGGCAAACACCACGGTGAAGAAGGTACAGAGAATGGTCACCTGGGAGGCTGCAGATAAGGGGCCGTGAGTGCTGCCTGGTGAGCCCTGGGCAGGTTGGGGTGCAATGCTGGACCCCTCTACCCCCGACCTGTCAGGATCCAGGTGCTCTAGGGGGAAGCCCTTATTCTTGCTGGGAAGATGAACCCCGCCTCTAACTCACACAGACACAGGTGCATACATGCAGAGAGAGAGACATGGAGGAGGAATACAGTGTGAGGCCGACTGAAGCTGTGACCCTCCGTGGACTCTGTGGGCCACTCTGAGCCAGAATCCCCCTCACTGAGTGCAGGGGCCCCACCCCATCCCCAGGCCACCCCCAGGGAAAGCCCAGGTCGGGGCAGCACCAGCTGGTCTTGGCACCTGCAGGGATTGGAGGGGCAGGCCCTTCACAGTTCTACTCACAGGTCCGCTCTGCGCGGGCGAACTGTCCTGCCACGATCCAGGAGAGCATGGTGACTGCTGCCACAGCCCCCACATGCAGGAATGGCGCTGTGCCCTGTTTGCAGGGAGAGGGAAGGGAGACCAGTAACGCCCAGCTCTGCCCAGACCCTGTGTCACCAGCCTCCTACTTCTACCTATGAGGCAGGCAACCCTGTCTCCATCTGCCAACTGGGGACACTGGGAGCCTCAGGACCCTGGTGTCCTCCCTAGTTCTGACCTGCTCTGTGACCCTGGGCGCCTCCCTGCCCTTCTTTGGGCCTTGGTCTGGAGAAAGGGAAGTGACAGAAAGGCTCTTGTTGTGAGGGTCCTGGGGGACCCTCCTCACTCACCTGCAGGGAGATCAGCAGCACCTCCCACTCGTCCTCCCACAGCTGGGCCACGGCCGACATGGCCACCACCGTGGAAGCCAGGATGACCACCAGCCCGATCTGGAGGGGGAAGAGTCACCGGACAGAGGCTCAGAGCGGGTGGGAGGGTTCCCAGTGTGTCTGAGAGAGGAGCCAGAGGGAGAGACAGAGAGGGCAGGAGAGGCCGATGGAGCAGGGCAGAGGGGAGGGAGGAAAGAGACAGGCATGGGCTGCCAGGAAACTAGAGGCCGGCAGATAGACACGGCAGGGAGAGACTGAGGCAGGAGGAGGCAGCAGGAGGCCGGCAGACCCAGCGAGGAAGGGACAGCGAGAAATGGAAGGGAGGATGGGGACAGGAGGAGGAGGGAACTGTGAGGAGGGAGGACATTCAGTAAGGGGGACCTCCCTGGGCCTGGCAGGTTAGTCACATCCAAGGTCCCGCCCAGCCTCCCTGCCACCTCAGCATGGCACAGCAGAGGAGGAAACCCACTTGTCCAGGCCATGCCCAGGCCTCAGGGGAAGGAGGCTGAGGAACTGGGTCTGCTGCAGGAGCCTGGAGTGCAGCCCAGCCTGGCACCCTGGGCTGGGCTCACAGTGGCACTTCAGGCGGGAGTGGGTGGTGAAACACATCGCCACCTGCCCCATCTCCACGGCCTGCCCTCTCCCGGACTCCCAGCATCTAGGTCCGCCGTGATGGGGGCCATCCTCCTTGCAGCCTCCAGAAGAAAGCAAAGCACAGCTCTCATGGAGGATGAGGTGGCACCTCTACGGGACAGAGATCTCTGGTGACAGGTAAGACCTGAAATCTTTAACCACGTGAAGCTCGGCAGAGGTTTTCGGCTCCTCGGCCCCCAGCCCCTCGCCCCTAGCCGTGGATCTCACTCCACCCACCCCCCTCCACACCCCCAGGCGTGCCTCCCCGAAGCCCAGGTTGTGGCTCTCCTCCAAAGCCTCCCGCAGATCCCAGTCTCTGGAAGGGTCAGTCAAAGCCGCCACCTCCGTCCCCCTAGTTTCTCCAGACTCGTCTCCCATCTCCCTCCAAAGGCCTGTCCTTCTCCCACAGCACTGCCGGCCGCCCTGCCTCCCTGGAGCCGTTCTAGCTGCTGGCAGGGCCTTCACCCCCTTTCTCCCGAGGCAACCTTTCCCAGAGGCAGCAGCGGCCAGGGCCCTCTGATGCCGAGCAGGGACAGTGGCATTTCTAGACGATGAGGGTGGGGCGGTGGCCAGCATCTCCGCTCCCTACCCAGGGACCTTCACTCGCCGGCGGGGAATGCTGAGTCTCGCCTGGGATGAAGTTTCCCTTTGGAGGCTTTTCATTCCAGCCCATCAGCCTGGAAACAAATGTTCCCCCAAGAGACCTGAGCGAGGCAGGTGAGGAGCTGGAAGGGCTGTGACATGGGGGCTCGGGGCGGGAAGAGGCATGGGCGTGCCTGGGCCTGTGGGGGCGCTTCGCGTGGTCCCCAGGTTGGTTCCGCGGAGGCACGAGCATCCTCATCTCACACACGGGAAGCGAGGTTCGGGGAGAGGAACAGCTGGCTGGGTCACGGAGCTTTGAAGGGGCAGAACCAGAAACGAACACCTTCTGCCCATCTCAGGGGGTAAGGGGGTGTGCGCTTTCTCGGACAGACAGCACGCTGGTGTCAGAGAGGCTGCGCAGTCTCTGGGAGGCCCAGCTGCGCCTCCGAACCCCTGAGAACCCCGCCCTCGGCACTCAGGCCCCTTCTCCCGGCTGCCCCCGGCGCGCAGCTCCCCCTTGTGGCCATCGTGGGAGGTGGCCCTGCACACAGTGAGTTAAGGATGGTTTCCAGGAGCATCTCATCACAATACCTATTAATGGAAACGACTTGCAATAAAACTGATTCCCCAAACCCTAATACAATTAAAAATGTTATTATCTCTGAGTTCCACAGTTGCTTTGGTGCTAATCAACACACTCAGCAGCATCACTGCATGTTCAGTGTCTGTGGGACTTCCCTACCTTGCATCATTAAGTTATAGCAATAGCACTGACACCCAAAAACGCAACCACCATCGCTCCTGAAATCTGACTGAGAAGGATGAATCCCACCCTAGAGGCCCAGAGACAGATCACCGTCCTCCTCTGAGAAAGTGGCCTTGGGTTCTCTGTCTTCATGGGACTGTGGCTTGTGATAGCCATGGTGGGTACAGGGGATACAACAGAGTCTTTCATTCATTCGATGAGTCTGGCCTAGGTGCCGGGACCCGAGAGGAGGTGGAACCCCGCCTTGCAGAGGTGCAACAGCTGGCCTCTTAGGGGTATCTGGCCTCTGGGTTTTGCAGTCCAAATGGCAGACAGCTGGCCCAGGGTTAAGAGCCTCACTTGAATCACGGTCTTCAGTCGAATCCTGGCTCTGCTACCTACTGGGGATCTTTCCACATCCTCTCCAGGGACCTTTCCAGAGCTGTGAAATAGGGATAGTGAGTACCTACCTGGAAGGGGGTTGGGGAAGATCAGTGAGGAAATGCAAGTGAAATGCTTAGTACAACGGCTGGCCAGAAGAAAATGCTTACTAAATCTCAGTGATATCATTTTAAAAAGTGAGCATGATATGGGAACAGGATTATTGTGAGGAGTGAAATGACTGTGAAATTCTGAGTGAAAGGTGCCTGACACATGTGGTCAGCACCCAATAAAGGATGGTTACTGCTGTTATGGTGAACGCAGTGCCTGGCACACACAGGAGGTGCTCAGTGAATGCGCCTTCCTTAAGCTGCTGCTGGAGGGACAGAGGCTGGACACCAGGAAAAACCATAAAGCTGGGGCCAGTGCATGGAGAGAAGTCTGAATTCACCAGGAGAGGTGATGAAGTAGACATAGCAGATGGCAGGTAGAGGCTGATGGAGCCTTGGTAGGAGGCAGAAGCCCCAGCCCCAGCCCAGCCAGTAACTTGCCTTGGGGCTGTGTGGTACCCAGTGCTCCTCTCTGGGGCTCAGGTTGGGTCGCTGACAGACGCCTCCTCTGTGCAGGTCCTGGGCTGGGGGCTGCTGCCACTGAGGCAGGGGAGTCAGGCGAGGACAGAAGAGCAGTGCAGTGTGCTCAGGGCAGCCTGGGGAGGTGTGAGCTGTGACCAAAACACCTCACAGAGGGCGGTGGGTGGGGCAGGAAGGGGGGCATCTCAGGGAAAGGGCCTCCTGTTTACTGTAAAGCTCCCAAGAACCCTTCAGCCTGCTCCCTCACCTCCTGGGTACCTCAATTTCTCCTGAACACTCACCTGGGAGAGATTTCTGGGAAACAGGAGATTTTGGCAGACTGGGGAGGAGGAGGAAGGTCCCCACATAAGCACCAGATCTACTCAGCACCCAGCCTGCTGTGAATGGCTCCCTCTCACCCTGTCCTGAGCATCTCTGTCCTCCCCTCCTCAGGACCCAGGGGAACCAGAGACTCTCAAACTTCATGATTAAAACATACTATAGGCCAGGCATGGTGGATCATGCCTGTAGTCCCAGCACTTTGGGAGGCCGAGGTGGGCGGATCACGAGGTCAGGAGATCAAGACCACCCTAGCTAACACGGTGAAACCTCGTCTCTACTAAAAATACAAAAAAATTAGCTGGGCTGGTGGCCGGTGCCTGTAGTCCCAGCTACTCGGGAGGCTGAGGCAGGAGAATGGGGTGAACCCAGGAGGTGGAGCTTGCAGTGAGCCAAGATCGTGCCACTGCACTCCAGCCTGGGCGACACAGCAAGACTGTCTCTAAAAAAAAAAAAAAAAATACAAACATACTATAAAACTGTGGTCTTTAGAGTGCTATGTTGCTGATGTAAGACCAGATAGATAAATGAAAATAAGCAAAAAATTCATAAATAGATCCAAATACATAAAGAAAATTTAGTATATGATAAAAATAGCATCTCAAATGAATAAAGGACAAATTCTCAGTAGAGAGAGTTGGAAACGTTGGGAAGCCATCTAAAAAGAACAGAGTAAGATCACACTATACCCCAAAATAGCTTCCAAAAAGAGAAAAAATTAAATGTTAAAAACGTGGAAATATATAATTACCAAGTGACACCATAGAAAAATTTTTATAATCTTGGAGTGGGAAAGACCTTTCTGAGTCTGACACAAAACCAAGGAGTCATCAAGAGATGACAGATTCAAGTATGTAAGAATAAAAAAATATATATCCCCATGGTAAAAACGCAATGAGCAAAGTCCAAGGATGAATGACAAACTAGGAAGAATTATTTGCAGTTTGTTAGCCAAATGGCTAATTTCCCACATCTATAAAGAGTTCCTGCAAATGAATAAGCAAAAAGCAATGGCAAAAATGGCAAAAGATATGAAGAGACAGTTTTATAGAAAAGAAAACACAAGTTACTCAAACATGTGAAAAATGCCGAATCTAACTCACCCGAAGGGAAATGCAAATGAAAACTACAGCAAGGTACCACTTTTCACCCATCAGGCTGACAAAAGCCAATAAATCAGCTGATGCTTTATGGGCAAGGGTGTTTTTATAGAACAACTATCCATTGCTAAGAGAGCATGAATCGGAGGCACTTGGCAAGGAGGCCATTTGGCAAGATCAAAATGATGAAAGTACACATTCTTCACCCAGAAATTCCTCTCCCAGGTCACCACCACATCGTCCTGGCAAAAGACAGAAAGCAGCTGGGATGTCGATCCGGTCTATCAACAGGGAACTGGCTAGACGCCTAGGGAATCAGGGAATATCCAGACCAGGGAGCAGGAGCAAGGGATGGATACCAACAGGGATGCTTTAATGCAGCGAAGAAGGAGCTCCAAGAATTCTGTTAAGGTGCGGAACAGAGGGTGGAGTAGGCGACTGTTTGTGTTTAAAGAAAAAAGAAAAAGGAAATGCATATGTACATGTGCATGTGCTTAAAATCTGTCTGGAAAGATAGTGAGGAGACTTTCTTTGTATACTTTTTTGTGCTTTTTGTATTTTGAATCATGTCGATGTATTACATGGTCAAAAGTTAATTAAAGCAAACAAAAAAGAATAAAGAGTCCTTAGAATTTTAGAATCAAATGGCAGAATCTTAGAAACAGAAGAGAATTTCCAGGCCCTGCTGGAACACTCTGAGCTCTGGGGAACTCCCTCCTGGTGGGGCGGGTCGAGCTCTGGGTCAGCTCCACCTGAAAGGACCCTGCTCATGCTGCGATCTCACATAGGGGGCAGAGGGCAGAGGAAGGCACCCTGGGAGCTGGCACCAGCATGGACAATGGGATCTGCTTCCTTGCATTGATCTGCCAGCTCCAGCTGGCTCAGCGGCTCTATAGGCCTCTCCACTAGAATCAAGCATGTGTGACCTTACCTGCTGAGAGCCAGGCATGGCCCCAGAAGGTGACCACAGCATGTGCCAGCCCCACCCGGGGTGCCAGCTGGTGCAGTTCTTTCAAATGCCAGCTTTGCAGCCAGGAGAAGAAACTCCCTCACAGAGGGGATAGTGGAAGCCCAGAGGAGGCCTGTGAGTAGAGTGAGGGCAGGAGGAAGGTGGGGGGACCAGGGGCTGCTCACGGCTCCTACCACTCTAAGACTTCAGTCTCTGGGGTCTGACTCCCAAGCTCCAGGCCCATGTAACAAACCGGCCTCGGTGCCTCCCTGGATGCTCACAGGCACCTCCCACTCCACACAGCCCAACCCAGGCTCATGCTGTCCCCTCTTCCTTTCCTATTCCACATCCGTCTTCTAGCTAGAAGTGAGCCCCTCCCCTTGGAGTCATTCTGGCCCCATCTCATGGGCTCATGGTAGTTTCTGAACATTTCTGCCCTTTCCTAAATGGCAGGCCCACGGGGAGCCAGGCTCTGGGGAAAGGGAGACGATCCAGATGTTCCTGGGAGGGAGGGGCTCTGCCTTGGTCAGCTCGGTACCACTCTGTGCCCACCAGGGCCCCAAGAAGGCCAGGCATCAGAAACACACTTCAGCACTATGCCTGCAATGGACGTAAGGCAGAGAGTTAAGGCTCCGGAATGGGTGAAGCCTGTCTGCTTTGGGCCCAGCCCTGAGGGGGGGCACTGGGAACAGGGAGATGGAGGTTAACTCTGGCCTGCAAAGAGCACCTTGACTGGGTGGGTCGGGGTCAGGGAGCCAGACGAATACTGAAAACACAAAAACATAGCTGTTCAGACATGTAGCAGGGGAGGCTGCAGGGGCTGAGGAAGTCCCGGGAGAGAATCCTGTGTATGTAGGGGAGGTACTGAGGAAGGGGTCCGAGAGAAAAAGGGAGGGCAAGAGCAAAGTGCTAAACGGGGGAAGGAGGCAGACATGCTGGGAGAGCATGAGATGTCTCATGTAGCAGAAGCTGAGGGTGACTGTCCCATGATGGGTTGGGAGATCAGCAGGGGCCAGATCATGCCAGGTAGGGAAGTTTGGGTCATCCTGGGAGCGGTGGGAGTGGTGGAAAGGCTTTAAGTTGGGGAATGCCATCGCCAGATCAGGGTTTTCAAAAGAGCTCACCAAAGAAGGAAGAGGCAGGTGAGACCCGAGGCAGGGCCCCCAGAGGGTGGGTGCCACAGTATGAGCTGTGAGCTCTGCTGGTTAATCACATGACTGCGGGACCCTGGATCTTCCATGTTTAAACTGGGAGACCTTAGGCAAATCACTTAACCTCTTTGTACTTCAGTTTCCCCAACCACAAAATGGAATGATAACAGTACCTACATCACAAGGTTGCTGTAAGGGTTAAGTGAATGAAGACGGGTGAGGTTGTGAGAAAAGTGCTTGGCGCATAGTGAGTGCTCAGCCTTAGCTATGAGAACAATTCTAACGGTGATCCAGGGGAGGGACATGGTGGCCAGGCCCTTCCTCTGCTGCTGCTGCCTCCAGCTTCCCTTGCTCTCTCCCAGCCCCGGCCGAGGCGGCCCTTACCTTGTGCAGCCAGTGCAGGTTCATCTGCTGCCCCACGGCAATGTGACATAGTGCCAGGACCTGAGGAGGGACCCACAGGGTGATTGTCAGGCCCGTGTGGGCGGGAAGGCTTTGCCAGTTTCTCAGACACCCTGCTCCCCACTGCGGCTCTGGGCCTGACCCTGGGCAGAGGCAGCGAACCTCCCTCCAGGCGATGGGAATGCGCTGCCCTCCCCAGCCCAGCCCAGACTAGCCAGCCTGAGCCTGGCCTCCTCCCAGATGATTCCAGGCCTCTAGGCTCTTCCTCTGTGTGATTCCCCGTCAAGAGGTCACTGGGTGCTGCTGTACTTGGACTACTCAACTTCATTCATCAAACATTTTGGGAGTTCCAGTCCCCGGGATTCTGAAACAGACTTGAGCCTGTCCCCAAGGAGCCCCCAGTCCAGCATGGGGGATCCACCTGCATCTCAGTGAGTGGAATATCGGGAGCAAGAGCCTGAAGCAGAGGCTCCTGGAAGAGGAAGCCTGCAGTGGGCCCTCTCGGCCAGGACAGCTCTCACTGGGTCCGGGGCAAACATTCCAGGAAGGGGCAGCCTAGAGAGACGGGCAAAAGCAAGAGGACCTCCTGCTTTGGGGGACCCAGGCCTCAGGTGCAGCAGCCCGAGAGGCCCTGGGCAAAATCTGAATTAATGTGCCATATGTAGCCAACTTCCTACTAGTGGCATGAAATAGCTTCTGATTAGTCGCTATTATAAATTAAGATAAAAATGAAAATGTTATACATATCTTTCTGTATTTTTGATTACTTCCTTAGGATACATTCCTACAAATACAATATTCCTACAAATACAGCTTTCCCCTTTATACCAGGGTGGGACCCTCCATCAGCCCAGCACAGGGCCAGTATCCCTTCCCCTGGGAGCAGGGCCACCTGCCCTCCAAAACAGCCCCATGTACCAGGAGGCCAGCGATGTATGCGAAGGCAGCAGCTGTGGTCACAAGGATGGGTACGGGCCAGTCGCTCCAGTAGCCCATGCGGTTGTAGAGGTACCTGCCAGGAGGAGAGGGGGCAGGGGTCAGACCTCCACCAGGCCACTACCTGGCCCAGGAATCAGGATGGTCTGAGCCTCCACACAGACGACAGGCTGGGCTCAGTGACCAGGCTGTGCCCACCTAGCAATAAGGCTCAGCGTCTGCCTGATGCTCTACCATGCCTGCTCATGGCAGCCACCCGGGGACCAAGAAATGTAAAGGAGAAAATAATGCCCCATAATCCTATTGGCCAGAAGTAATCATTACCAAGGCTGTGCTGGATCTTCCTCCTGTGGGTTCCCCCGCCCCCATGCCTATATGTTTGTATAAACAGCAAAGCCAGGACCCCGCTGCACAAAGCAACACGGTCAGGAGCACAGGCTTTGGAGTGAGGCACACAGGCTGGATTCACATCCCCTCTCGTCTCTGCTTTTCACTGTCTTGTAGGACCTTGTGGAGGACAGGCTTCACTGATTCTAAGATGCCATCGATTGTCACTGTCATCTCAACTTCAATGTTAAGATGTGAAAATTGGGGGTCTTAGAATTGATCGAATGTAATACTTGACTTCTCTGAGCCTTAGTTTCCTCACCTATAGGATGGGGATAAGAAAGTGCCTTTTGAAGCCAGGTGTGGTGGCTCACGCCTGTAATCCCAGCACTTGGGAGGCTGAGGCGGGCGGATCACGAGGTCAGGAGATCGAGACCATCCTGGCTAACATGGTGAAACCCCATCTCTACTAAAAATACAAAAAATTAGCCGGGCGTTGTGGCAGGCGTCTGTAGTCCCAGCTACTCGGGAGGCCGAGGCAGGAGAATGGGGTGAACCTGGGAGGCAGAGCTTGCAATGAGCAGAGATCGCAGTACTACACTCCAGCCTGGGCGACAGTGTGAGACTCTGTCTCAAAAATAAATAAATAAATAAATAAATAAAATAAATAAATAAAAAGTGCCTTTCATGGGGTCTCATGAGGATGAAGTGAGGTGAGATGCATGGTAACTACTCAATAAACTCTCTTTGTTTTTGTTTGTTTGTTTGAGACAGGGTCTCTGTCACTGAGGCTGGAGTGCAGGGATGCGAACATGGCTCACTGAAGCTTTGACCTCCTGGGCTCAAGCAATCCTCCTACCTCAGCTGGGACCATAGGCACCCACCAAAATATCGGGCTAATTTTTTTTGTATTTTTTGTAGAGGCAGGGTCTTGCCATGTTTCCCAGGCTGATCTCAAACTCCTGAGCTCAGGTGATCCTCCTACCTCAGCCTCCCAAAGTGCTGGGATTATAGGCGTGAGCCACCACACCTGGCCAACTGTCTTCTCAACACAAGCATTTACTTATGCCAGTAAAAATCCTGAGAAAATGTGATTTTTAAAATAGCCACGTGGTTTTCCACTGAATTAATGTACCATATGTAGCCAGCTTCCTACTAGTGGCATGAAATAGTTTCTAATTCTTCACAATTATAAATTAACATAAAAATGAAATTTTTATACATATCTTTCTGTATTTTTGATTACTTCCTTAGGATAGATTCCTACAGATACAATTATAGGGTCAAAGAGAATGAATTTTTTTTTTTTTTTTTTGAGACAGGGTCTTGCTATGTTGCCCAGGGTGAACTTGAATTCCTGGGCTCAAGCAATCCTCCCATCTCAGCCTCCCCAGTACCTGGGACTATAGGCACATACCACTGTGGCTGGTGGGATTGAAATTTTTAAGGGGCATGATAGATACTGCTTAGATGCTCTCCAGAAAGAATGAACTACCCACATCCGGCTGGGCGCGGTGGCTCACGCCTGTAATCCCAGCACTTTGGGAGGCTGAGGCGGGCAGATCACGAGGTCAGGAGATCAAGACCACGGTGAAACCCCGTCTCTACTAAAAATACAAAAAATTAGCCAGGAGTGGTGGCAGACACCTGTAGTTCCAGCTACTTGGGAGGCTGAGGCAGGAGAATGGCGTGAACCTGGGAGGCGGAGCTTGCAGTGAGCTGAGATCATACCACTGCACTCCAGCCTGGGTGACAGAGCGAGACTGTCTCAAAAAAAAAAAAAAAAAAGAATGAACTACTCACATCCTCCTTGTACAAAGGGGGAAACTGAGGCTCAAAAGAGGCAGCAACTTGTTCAAGGTCATCAGAAAATCTGAGCGCTGGGCAGCTTCAGCCTGCTGTCATCTGGGACCTTGCCAGACAGCTGGGAAGGGACACCGGGAGGAACCCATGGGGCATCTGCCCTCCCTGGCCCTCATCCTCAGAGTCCAGGGGAAAATCTACTGCCTGGCAGATCACTGAATGCACTCACCTTACCATACCGTTGGGAAACTGAGGCCTGAAGAGGGGCAAGACTTGCTCCTGATAACTATTCCTGAAAGATGTTCTGGTTCCATTTGTCTCTCAAGTGTGACCACTTTTAGCAGGGAGTCCTTGAGGACAGCAACAGCCAAGACGGCCCTCCCTGGCCCTCCTCATCCAGTGCTGATCCCTGGCTGTCACTCACATCCTCTTACTGTATGAATTGAATTATTCCCAGAGATTCTTTTTTTTTTGAGACAGAGTCTCACTCTGTTGCCCAGCCTGGAGTGCAGTGGTCTCCCAGCTAGAGATGTGGTCTCCCAGGAAGCAACCCTCATGTTTAGGTAGAGCTTTGAGCCCTCTTATGTTCATCATCTCATTGCATCCTCAGAAAGACCTGATGAGGTTAGAGTTACCCCATTTTACAGAATGGGGTAAAATGTGATCTCGGCTCACTGCACTGCAACCTCCACCTCCCAGGCTCAAGCAATCTTCCCACCTCAGCCTCCCGAGTAGCTGGGACCACAGGCATATGCCACCACACCTGGCTAATTTTTTGTAGTTTTTGTAGAGATGGGGTTTTTTCATGTTGTCCAGGCTGGTCTTGAACACCTGGACTCACATGATCTGCCCGCCTTGGCCTCCCAACGTGCTGAGATTACAGGCATGAGTCATTGTGCCCGGTCCCCAGAGACTCTTGAGACTATCAGGACTGGGCCGGGGCATCCTGAACCCCAGCACTGACTCCAAGAAACTGAGGCGACAGGCTGAAGGAGCTGCAGGTCTCCAGGCATCCCTAAGTGCCAGGCAGGCCTCCCCTTGCCACCACCCCAACAGGGCGGGAACCCATCCTCTGCTTGAAACTCCCAGTGACAGGGAGCTCACTCTCTGGGTAGAGTGGGTAGCTCCATGGACATGACACAGTCAGGCAGGCTGAAGTCCCGGTCCCAGATCTGTCTGCTTCTTGCTGTGTGACGCTGGAAAGGCTACTTAACCTCTCTAAGCCTTGGTCTCTTCAGTCTGTCCTCAATTCATGTTTTTGGCACTAACTGGTTGTGTGACCATGAATGAGTCTTCACCCTCTCTGGGCCTCCATTTCCCCATCTGTACATGATGGGGGTAGACTTGATGATCTTCTAGGCAGCAGACTCCAGTTCCGAGGAACTGTCTGGGTCTGCAGTTGAGGGCCAGTAGGGAACGTTCCCATTTACTCATGACAGTGCCCATGCTTTGGACATCTGCAAAGATGAATAATTGATTTATGGCATTTAATAAAGGCCAGAGGCCACCTCTGGGACTCTGCCAGGGCTCCGGCTCATCTTGCTTGGCTGCCGCAGGGCAGGGGTGGGACCGCAGCATATTCTTGATTGTGCTCATTAATAAGAGAGGCACAGCCTGGTGCCATACGGGGAAAAGTGGACACCCAGCTCCATGAGCAGAGTCCCAGGATCATCACAGAATCCTAACACCACAGCCTGTCAGAAGCCCAGGGTCCTGAAAATCCCAAATGCTAACATCATGCTGCCTTCCGGCTAGAGATGTGGTCTCCTAGGAAGCAGCCCTCATGTTTAGGTAGAGCTTTGAGCCCTGTTGTGTCCATCATCTCAGTTCATCCTCAGAAAGACCTGATGAGGTCAGAGTTACCCCATTTTACAGAAGGAGAGGCTTAGAGAGCACCAGAGACTTGCTCATCGCCATGCTGACCTGAACATCTGATCAAAAGGAAGGAACAGCAATGGATGGGGAGTGAGGAGCCAGGCTTCCAAGCCCCAGCTGTCCCCAACTGGCTGTGTGACCTGGGCCTGTTTCCTTATCTGTCAGTAGAACCCTGGGTCCTTGCCCTCCTCCCATGACCTCTCCACTGCTTAGCAAAAGGCAGGCGATGGAATGGCGAAGAGGAAAAAACAGGTGCCCCTCCTGTACCCAGGTAAGTGGCTCAGACGGCCCTGCCTTTGGATCTGAGGTACCCACAAAGGACCTTGAGCTGTCCCCAAACTCATCTGCCAGCCCTGCCCAGGGCCTAGCTAAGGGAGTTAGGAGGCCTAGGATCCAGGGCTATCTCCTCTGCAGAGACCTTGGTCTCTCTGAGCTGTAGATTTCTTGTATACAAAGGGGGTAACCAAAGGGCCCTGCCCCGGTTGAGCCCTGGCCCAGCCTTATGTTCCTATTGTCCATGGTCACAGCACCGGGAAGGAATGCCCTGTGTCTCCCCAGTGGGCTTTGGCTCCTGTAAGCCTTTGTTCTTTGAGGCTCCCCTCCACCTCTTCAGGAGGCCAGGAATGCAGGCTGAATCATCAATGCAAGCACCAAGGGGTCTCCAAGACCAGCAGCTAAAGTTCCCCAGGTTTCAATCCCAGTCATTCTTTAAGGCCCAGTTCCCATGCCTCCTCCTCCAGGAAGCTTTCCCTGAGTTCGCAGTAGGACTCCCCTCGGGGCATGGATCTCTCTGTTTCCTCCTCCTCTTTCTTGCCAGTCTGCGATACAATCCTCACCCATACCTCTGGCACTTCCCACTATAGTCCCACACCAGCCTCCTCACCAAAGCCCTGGAGGTGAGCAGGACAGAGGCTCCCAGGGAGTAGGCCCTGCCCAGGGCCACACAGAGAGCTGGTGGCAGAGCTCAGAGGGCCAACCTGGGAGACAGGCTCTAACTCCAGCCCCCAGGTCCCAGCTACTGGATACCCAGCTCTGGGCCCCTTCCTCCCCCACCCACTGCCCCTACTCACCAGTTGAATTCATCATAGTCATTGTGGACTTCCCACCAGAAGTAAAGCCAGGTGAGCGTGAGGCCAAAGGTGAAGGTGAGGAGCAGGAACCAGAGGCGCTCCCACTGGAAGAGCAGAGGAGGAGGGGATTAAGTGGGTCAGGGGCCAGCCCCTTAGGCTGCCTCCCACCAGAATGTGTCCTCCTCCCTCCCACTTTGTAGCCAAACCTGCCAGGCAGGAATTCCTGCCCTCTTTACCCTGGGAGAAACTGAGGTTCAGAGAGGGGAAGTGACCTGTCCACCATCACCAAGCCCAAAGTCACAGAAAGGTGGAGAGCCAGGGGCAGTCAGGGCCTCCCCCCCTGGGGCTGTGCTCTTTTTACTGTGGTCTGCAGCCTTTCCATCGTGTACTGCTCTCCCTATTCTGGGGACGGCTCCCTTGGCGCTGGCACAGTGATCGGCAGTCTGTGAAGTCACATCCCTCACACACATGCCTACAAAGCAGGCACTCTTCTTCTCCACCTCTACCCCGTGCTACCGAGAAAAACACTGAGGCCCAGAGAGGCCAAGTGACTTGCCCAGGTCACACAGCAAGTTAGCAGAGGATTAAGGAAGAAGTACAGAAGTGCCATGTTCTGCTGCCTCCACTGGGCCAGATACCCCTGTCTCCAGCCAGGTGGAAGTGGGGTGGCGGGGGACACTGACACCACCACTGCTGTTTCCTGAGGGGCCAGCTCAGGCGTCTGCAGGCACTTCCTCCTGGCCCTCCAATTTCTCCCTGCTTTCATCCGTCCCCTTATCTTGGAAGCACAAAAAGCTTGGAATATCCTGCATCCCGGGAAACTGCTGAGATCATCAGAACAAGTCAACAGCCCTTGAGGGGAGGTCAGTGTGAGGAAGAACCAAGACTACATTTCCCTTGAGGGTGTAAAGTCACAGAGGCAGCCCTACGTCTGAGCTCCCTGCTATGTTTCTAAACCATCCCAGTTTAACCTCTTCATGGCTCCTTACTGATAGCCAAGCAGGAGTGTGGCCCCCTGACCTCTCCAGCTTCGACCTACACAACCAGTTCCTGCAACCTGGAAGGGCCACTGCCTCTGGGCTTGTTCCCTGAACATTCCCACTCACCTTTCAAGTCAGCTCAAATATCACTGCTTCTGTGAAGCCTCCCTGGATTCACCCTGCTACCCTCGTGCCTGCCGCGGTGCGCCCGCAGCATTGGCATCCCTCTGTCTAAACTCACGCTCTGCACACCATGACCTGCTCACTGTGTCCCCCAGACAAGTGTGGGTTCTGCAAGGACAGAGACTGAGCCGACTTCCACTCTACTAGTACTTTATGACCACATGCAGGATTGGGCAGGAAGGAGGGAAAGTCTTCTCACTGTCCAGAATCCTTCCATCCCACACCATGCAAAGATACCATCAGTCTGCCCAGGAACCTCAGATCCCTGTCACCACTTACAAGCTGTGTAACTCTGGGCAAAGTACTCATTCTTTCTGTGACTCAGTTTTCACCTCTATGAAATGAGGGCAATACTAGTACTTATGCCATGGGGTTGATGGAGAATTAAATGAGATAATACAAGTCAGGTGGCTTGGTGAGCACTCAGCACACTACCAGTGTATCTGTGACATCCTCTGCCTCTCCAGAACGTAGGAAAGGCCTTCACACCCTAATGGTCCATGACTCCATACCCACTAAGGGCCTGCTCCGTGCCTCGCCCTGGGCAAGAGGGCTGGTGCCTGGGTGACCCTCCTGTCCCAGGTGGGTCACTTCAGTTGGGCGACTCATGTTTGGGTGAGCAGCTGCCACCACTCCTTGTCATGTGCAGAGCCCGACTGCCTTGCTTAGCCTCACTTCGTACATAAACAGAGATGCAAAGGTGACGACACCCTGAGGCCCAGTATTTCTAGCAGGTTTAGGCTTGGGGAGGTGGTGGCTTCTCAGAGAGTAGGCCACTTGTGTCTGCCCCAGCTGGACACAGAATGGCACAAGCTCCAGTTCCAGGCACAGCAAAGCCCAGCCTTGGTCAGGAATAGGGAAACCCTGGCTAGGAGCAGGGCAGGACATGTGCCCTTCTAGAGCAATCGAACCCTAGGAGCTGCCACCCAGAGAATGGCTGAGTCCCTAGACTCAGTCCTGCCTCCCATGGAGGCAGTCTGGGTCTGCACATGACCGTCTCTCCACCACCCTCCAGCCAGCACCCCAGGACTAGTCCTTCTCAGAATCCGTCTTGCCACCTCAAATTCTTATTTGCTCATAACAGCCTTCATTCCCTGCAGAGTGCAGCTGGTGAGTCCCAGGCCAGCTTAAACATCTGAGTCTCCCAAAGGGTGAACCATGTCTTTAGACTGACACCCATCTGGTCACGTCATACCCCAGCTTGAGAGTCCCACTGGCAAGAGCTTCTCAGTAGATGTCAGGGCCCACTCTGTCTGGCCCAGGCCAGCTCTGTGCTTTATGCCCCATGCACAGAATTACATACGGTTCCCCAAACAGGCTCTTCAGACCCCAAGCCTTCACACAGCTGGAGCCTCCATCTAGAAAGCAACCTTTCTCTGCTCCATGAGGCAAACTACTCCTTCCAGAGTGCCTCCTCCCTGAAGACTCCCCTGTCTCACAGGGTGAATCCCATCTCCTCAGAGCTCCGTAACCCATGCAGCCATCTCACCTATGGCTCAGACCCCACAGTTCTAGAACTGTCTCTATACATGTCGGTCTCCCTGCTATACATAAATGCCTTGAGATCTGGGCAGTTTTCGTGTTCCAGATGGCACAGGAACTTGAAAAGATTTGATAATGAAATGATAGGTGAGGAAACACCCTTTCTCCTACCCTGGCATGAGTACACCCACCCAGGAGAGATTCCCCTGAGGCTTAACACCCAGTTCCCACAAAAAAGTACCTAGTCTTCTATAGAGCCCACGCTGGCAGTGTTAGATGGCTGTCTGTCCACAGAGACCACTTTGCCTCCTCAGGGGCAAGGCCTGTGTGCCTCTGACCAGCAGAGAAGGTTCTGAGAGGGACCTAGGCGAGGGGTGAGCCTCGGCCTAGGATGGGTCTGGTCCCAGGCAAGTAGCCTGGAGGCGGGAAGGTAAAGCACCTCCTGTAGGCGCTGGGAAGACGACCTGTGACCGGGGTGATGCAGGGCCCAGGGGCAAGGCTGACAGGGGGCCAGGAAGACCACAGGGGCCGGGAGGGCCCATGGCAGCCAGGGTCCTATGCCCTAAAGGCCATTGTCCTCAAGTGTCCAGATCCTTACAGTGGAGCAAGGCAGGGCAGGAATGAGGGGCTGCACCTCCCACTCCTGGGAACCAGCCAAGACCAGAGCTGGTGGTGGTTGGGGGTGAGGCATCCAGGCATGGAAGGAATGCAGGCAGGGCCTAAGCAACAAGGAGCCAGGAACCCCATGATCAGAACTAGTGCATGAGCTGGGGTTGGGGCAACCTAGGGATTAAAGCCCTGGGAGCTGAAGCCGGAGGCCACAGTGAGCCTGTAGATGGGGATGAAGAGGCCCCAGCACAGAGGGAGGCAGGCAGCGGGGGTCACTCTAAGAACAATCAGAGGAAAACACTGAATGGCAGGGACTGGAAGGAAGGGAAGGGGAAGGTGAGGAAGTAGCCAGAGGAAGTGGCCTGGGGAGCAGCTCCACTGATAAAGAGGCCCCAATAGCACTAATGGTCCTTGTCAGGGCACATTACAGCAGAGAGAGGCCTGCCCGCTCCACCCATTAGCAAGCCAATCTGGCCCTGCTCCCAGAGACGTGGAGCAGTGATCGCTGCCTCAATGCCCCGGCCACGGCCCTCCTTCATCTCTCACAGTCTGCATAACACTAGGGGTTGTTTATTTAGGGGTATCTACCCCCATTGCACAGAAGCTCAGAGAAGGGCCACCACATATGGCTGAGCAAGTTGTGCACTGCCCCCTAAGAAGTGCCACTCACATCATGGTGACCATCAATGTGCATATTATGACGATTTGCTGGCACATGGCGGGCGGGTGTGTCCTAGAAAATGGGTGCTTTTTGCTAATTTGCATAAAGGCTCAACACGGGTGAGTGGAGGGGAGTCAGAGGGGTCAGCAGGTAGGGGAGGAGTGGGGATAAGATTTGAACCCAGGCATACTGACTGGACTCTGCAGGCCCCCTTGGGAGGCAGCCTGAACAGCTCCCCTCAAAACCCACCTTGCCCTCTGGGACCCAGTATGGCGATCCCAGGCCCAGCCTAGTTCCCTGGATTTCTCTCCTCCAACTCTCTGACCCCTAGGCCAGACCTGATGCTCCTTCAGGAAGCCTTTCCATCCCTCCAGGGCTCAAAAGGTCTCCCCTCCCTGACCATCCTGCACAGACTCTTGGCACCCACCACTGTGACCCTCAATCAAATTGTAATTGTGGAGATGGAAAGAGCACGGGCTCTAAAGAGCTGGCTCTGCCACTCAGCACGTCACTTGGCCCCTCTGAGCCTCGGTCTCCTCGTTGTAAATGGGAATAACAGCCCTTCCCTCGGAGGGAGGCTGTTAAATGAGCTGAAGGGCTTCAAGTGGCACACAGTGGGCGCATAATGAGGGTGGCTCACTGGGCTGCGAGCTCCCTCAGGGCAGGGATGGCCTGAGCTGTCTCTATGTCTCCTGGGCCCAGCATCACGCCGGGCACAAGGTGGTGGTCACCTATGGCGTGAGGGATAGAAGGAGGTATGGATGTGAGACAGGGCAACAGAGGGGTGCTCAGGGCCACCAGTGGGCAGGGCCATCGTGCAAGCCCCAGACTTACCCTCAGGGAGCAGGAGAAAAGCTGAGTGGGCTGGGGCTGAGGGAGCAGCTGGCTCCTGGGGTAGGCACCAGGAGGAGTGTGCTGGAGACTGCCTAAGGAGGGACCAGACAGGGCGAGCAGCTGGGGCAGGAGTGGCCCCTGGCTGTGGATGGGGTAGGATGCTGATTCCTGCCCGAGGGGATGGAGGCTGAGGTGGGGGCTGCTGTGATGGAGAATCCTGGAGGCTCCAACCCAGAGGCCACTGCATCTCCTTCCATTATTACCCTAACCCTCCAGAAACAGGAGCCCCTCCGTAGCAATCTGGGCAATTGTGGGTCAATTTCCCTGAAGGCCAGTCCTTCTCCTCACTGTCTCCTGAGGATGGTCATGTCTTCTCTTCACCCTTCTTTGTCTCTGTCCTGTTCCTCCCACCCCAGAGCCCTCTGTGTTCAGAGAAGAACATAGAGAAAGACCTCATTAGCAGCGGGGGCTCATACAGTCACAGAGCACGACTGCAGCCGCAAACCCAGCCCCACACAGGAAGCATGGGCATGGCCGCTGGGGTGGGATGGCTCTGCTGCTGCCTTTTGCCACTGGCTACAGGCCCCTGCCACTGTAGACTGCAGCCCCAGGCCAAAATGCACACAGCTGCCCCTCCCACTACTAGGGATCCTGAAGGTTATGGAGCACCTCCCCTTGGTCCCTTAACAGAACATGGGGTCTGAAGTCTGCACACATCACTCTGAATGTTACAGAATTTCAGAATCGCAGAGCTCCCCTGCCTGTCCCCTTGCCCTGAGGCAGCGAGCGTGTCTGCAGCCTCCAGGACACGAGCTCACCCTACTCTACTCCACTGGCTCCTGGGAAGGGGCTTCTCCTTCCAGATGCTGCCTAGTCCTTCTGTGGACTCAAAATTCTTCCTTCCAAGACATGGAGCCTGACAACGGAAGGCTGGGTTGAGGGAGTCTGGCAATACTGGGTTTGAATCCCAGACTGGCCACGACTGAGTGACCTTGGGGAAGACATTTACCTTCTCTGTGCCCCAGCTTCCTGCTCTGTAAAATGGGGACAGTATCGGCATGCTGCCCAGACCACTAAAACCTCCCATGCACGGCATCTGGTGAGGCTGACCTTCCAGGCAGGGGAGTTACTGCCCTCCCCCGACGCCCCCCCCCCGGGAGGTGGAGCTGAAATCTGCCTCCTCCACTGCTCCCCTGCAGCTGGTTCTCTGATACCACACAGAACAAGGCCAGCCAAAGGGTAAGAAATATTGGGGTCAAATGACCACAGAGTGGAGAATACACAAAAGAGCTGGATTTTCACCCAGGCCCTTTTCCCACCGGCTGTGTGGCTGTAGGCCAATCGCTCAGGACCTCTGACCTCAGCTTCCTCCTCTGTTCACAGAATGACATCACCACCACCTCACAGGAGGACTGCCAGGCCCCAGCACGATTACAGATGTAAGCTGTAAGTCGCCAAATCCAGGATCGTTCCTGTAATTATCATTTCGCGTCTGACAGCCCTTTAATTATGTGAAGACAGTGATCAAACCTTTCCTCCCTGCTCTACACCACATCTCTCCAGCTGCTGAGGACAGCCAGGTTGATTGCCTTCCCCCAACCCAGGGCGGGTGCCATGGTCAGCCAGATGCAGAGGCCAGGCCTGGCTCTGTAGGCTGTGGCCCTGGGAACCAGCACCAATAGAGGAAGAAGACCCTGGCATGGTAGCTGCCCAATCTCACTCACAGGCTGCATCCCGGGCTGTGGGGAACAGAGTCCTGTGTGAGCTCACCATGGCATTGGGGGTGGGTGGGGATGGTAATCCTAAGAGCCCTTTACTTGCTCCATCTCATCATCCCCACAGTTCTGCAAAGCAGAGGAGACCAAGTCACAGAGGAAGGAAGGGACTTGCCCAAAGTCACAAAGGGCACACATAATGGTGGAACCACAATTCACAACCAGGTCTGTGTACCTCCAGTGTCCCCAGCTGTCTCGGGGCAACAAGGAGCAGGAAATGTAAATTATCCTTGTCTGACCAAGGTGGAAACAGGCTCAGAGGGACAGGGCCTTGCCCAAGGTCACACTTTGAGTCACAGGCTGCGCCAGAGCAGGGACCCTGGGATTTCAGAGTTAACTAAGATGCCAGAGATTATCTCGCCTCATCTCCTAAAGATCCAACTAAGAAGTGGTGATACTTCGATCTAAAGAAGGAGAATGGCCTGGAAATGTGGGCAAGAGATTAGGACATTAGCATATTAGTGGAAAAATGATGGGGAATTCAACTTATGGTGTTGGGACATCTGGATATTTGGTAACAACTGTAATTAGACCCCTGCCTCACACCCCGTACCAAACTAAATCTGTGTCTCTCCTCTACATCCTCACCACCCTTCTCTTCCAGTCATCTACGTACACGTGTTGAGCCCTTAGACACTCAGAGATAAATCAGGCCACCCTGAGCCAAGACTGGCAGCAAATAGCTCCACTCCTGGGAATTGGTGTGGTGAGCAGGGCAAACACAGGTTGCTTAGGAGCTCAGAGCCCGGATCCTTAACATTGTCAGTTATAGGAGGAGGGGTGAGCTAGAAGCCTTCCTGGAGGAGAAGACACCTGCAGCAAAGTGGAAGGAAAGGACTTATTGAGAGAACAAGGTTGGGAAACCTCAAGCCAGACAGAGAAAAGGAGCAGAGGGCGTGAAGGCACAGAGCAAAGCAGGCTTTATTTTGGGGAACTGGCTCTTTATGGGCTTATAAAAGCTTTCCTTATGTAAGAGAATTAGCCTTCGTACACACTGTATATTTTTTCTTATATATCATTTGAATTAATTTTATTTATCATGCTTTCTGTGCAGAAATTTAAATTTTTATGTAGTCAAATCTATCCCTCTTTTCCTTTATACATTTTGCCTTTGGTATTGGATTTAAGAAGGGTGGCCCAATATCATATATTTAAGTAATATTTTACACCCACGATTTCTCGGCTTCATTGCTTACATTTCAATCTGCAATCCACCCATCCATCGACATCCATCTATATATAGTTCCATATGGATGTCACGTGTGCGGAGAGAGGTTTAAAAGCCTTATCTCTAAAGCATGAAGACTAGAATTTCTTTTACATCTTTCCAAGTTGTTTAAATTTTTTCAACAAATGTATGCCTTCAAAATGGGAAAAAAATTTTAAAAATAGAAAAAAATACATCTTAATCCATCTGGAATTTATTTTGGTGTGAAGTAAAAGGCAGGGATCTAATTTTACTTTCACCAAATGGATGCTTCAGCTGTCCCTACATCATTTGTGATACTGGTAGTAATTTCTACATTTGTTCACCACACAGTGAGTTCTCAGATGCCTGTGGTTGTGTTTCCAGGTTTTCCAACCTGGCCCAAGGCAGCCCTTTCCCCCTTGTGCGGGCTCTGCCTGGCACAGCTCCTTTCTGCTCAGCCAAGCCCTCTCCCCAGTGGTTCCAGCTCTTCTTTGAGGTCCCAGAGCCCAGCTGCACCCTCAGCACACGGTCCTACAGAGACCAAGAGGGAGAGACTGAAGAGTGCCTACTCCTGAATCTGCCACCTGCAAGCCAAATCTTGGGCACCTCAGCTCTTCCAATGGTCAGCCTGTTCCACCTTCACCAAGTTCCAAATGAGGGGACTGATGCACGGGAAAGCCTGGGAAATGTCAGCTGGAAAGGGTGCAGGGAGCTCCCAAAAGGGAGAGATGGGCAGGCTATGGCAGGATTACCCTGGCCCTGATCCGGGAGATTTGGGGGAGGTGGTGGCCTGGGGAGGTTGAAGAGATATTGCAGCATTAGGGCCGAGCAGGGAAAGGGATTAGAATCCCCACCCCCAGCCGGCTCCTGACAGCCTAAGAGGCTGGATTTATTTTTCTGGACTACAGAGAGCTGGGCAATCAGGCCTCTGTCCTTGCTTCTGCTGGGGTGCATTGCACTCAGAGTGGTTCATTAGGCAGGAGAATGCAATTAAGTCCTGCCTGGGGCACCCTGTCTCTCCCAGCCTATCCCTTGGCTGGCATCAGCCCCTTGGGGAGACATGAGCAGAAGGGCTGAGGGGCCCTTAGGAAGAACCATCCCAGATCCCTACATAGGACCCTGACCACGTCACAGGGTGGGTGGTGATAGTCCCCTGGTAATGCCCCATCTCCTGCCCCACCCTTGCTCAAGGTGTTCATAGAGTGTCATCAACAAGACTTAGCCACTTCCCCTGGAGCGTGACGTGGTCATGCCAGGTGCCCTTGGTGCTATTCCAAGAGGAGCTAGGCAGGGTGTGGGGGTTTCCTAAGGCAAGAGACAGCATGGCTTTATTGCAGCGATAAATCCCCACCTCCTCATGCTGCAACAAACCAGCCCCTCCTCTCTCTCTCTTGTGGATGTAATAATATCATCTCCTAGTTTCTTATCCTTATAGGAATCCTGCAGTTTTAGAAGTGGGAAAAATAAAGCTCAGAGGGCCTCTCTCTCACCCCTGCCGGGTCTCTTTTCCTCAAAGCGCTGAAGGAGAGAAAGCCATCACTTTGAAAGTTTGTAGGGAGGGCACGTTTTCTGCAGGGTTGGAACAATGGTCTCTTTGGTACAAGACAGGAGGCACATTCCTATCCATGATCTAATTGTATCTGTAGGACATAGATGTGTACCTCCACTTAACCCACAAGCAAGCTCAGGCCCAGAGAGGGTCTGGGCCTGACCTGAGATCACACACTCAGTCACTGGGAGGCAGGGTCAAGTTCAGGCTGCAGCTCCCTTGCCAGGAATGCCCAGTGGCATCTGGCTCAATCCAGCCACACCCTGGAGCCCATCTCAAGGCTGCTTCATCCCTGAAGCCTGCCCTGATTTCCTGAGTGGGATCCATTCTTTCCAGCTCCATATCCTGGACACAAATCCACATGGCTGACAGGACAAAAAGTGGGGGCCAGCTGGGAAACTCATCTCTTCCTCCCTCTTGTGCACTGGCAGAGCCCAATCCCAGCTCCCAGGGTGATCTGGGAGGTCCCTCTGGCTGAGGCAGCACCCTCCACTGCCAACCACCACCAGGAGCACAGGAGGCAGCACCAAGAACACAGCACACACCCGTCCGCACATGTACGCCTACATTCTCTGACAGCTCATTAGGGGTCCGGCTGCCCCACCTGGTCAGCAAGATGGCAGTCACATCCCCTAACCGCTTCCTCACTCACTCATGAACACATATGCTCAATCCTCCTTCCAGTTGTTCATTCAGTAAATCTTGTCCGAGGACCTCCTCTGAGTCAGGTCCCTGGAGTGTGCAGGCCCAGACGCTATCCTAAAGAGTCCAGTGGGAAACAAAAAATCACAATCCACATGGCCAGCACAGGTCAACCTGCTGTGGAACCCCAGGGGAGTGAGGAAGGTGGGGAGAGAGAGCAGTGAGGAGAGAAAGGAAGGAGGAGGGCTATTTTTTGGCAGAAGTTGGGGGCATGGAGGGGGATTTGCAATGAGTCTTAAGGGGCAGGGAGGAGAAAGACAGGGCATTCCAAGCAGAGGGAATGGCAGGAGCAAAGGCCCAGTGCTGTGAAGGGTGAGGTTATCCTGTGGATGCGGAGAAGCTCAGGGTGGCTGGCGTGGACGAGCATGGAGGGGAAGGGGCAGAGGAGCTGGGGATGGATTTCCCTACACCGAGTGTCTTCCTGCCAGGGTAGGGTGATGGGGGGCTCTCATCATATCTCATCATAGAAGGCAGGCAACTGGGGTTAGGGAGGCTTATTTGTCTGTTCTGCCCACCCTTCCTGTGCTATTCCTGGACTCTACTGAGAACGCTGTACTCTCACTCGCTCCTGGGGCACAGCATGTGTTCCCATCTCCAGGATGGGCCTCCATCCACCCACGCTGGGCATCATGGGAGGATGGGAGGATGGGATTCACTGTCAGACACTCCTTCCTCTGCACCTCAGTCCACAGCCAGTCCGTTGATACCTTCTAGGTGTCTCTGGAATGCCTCCCCAGCCTGCATCCCTGTGTATACCTCCTCACTCCCCACATAGACACCTGAGGCCTCACTGGCCCTCCCACCTCCACCTGAGGGCCCTCAGCATCCTCCACAATTTGACCACAGTGTTCCTCACACAGCCCGAGCCTGGCTCAGGCCCCCGCTGCCCAGGATGAAGCCTAGACTCCTTAATACAGCTTCAGGCTCAGGCCCACTGAGCAGCACCCTTCCCCGTCCCTGCACCTGAGCCGGTGGACTGAATTCCTTTCAGTTCCTGAACACAAGACACTCTCTTGTGCACACAGTTCCCCCTACCCTGAACACTTCCCTGGTCTGTGGAGATGGGGCCGATACTCCCAGAGGCCAGCTCGGGCAAGCCTTCCCTGCCCCCAGGGTTTCCCCAGGCCTCCAAAATGATCGACCTGGGTGGTCCAGGTGTGTCTGATCTTGTCTGTTCCCCCACAAGCCTGGGGGCCGGCCCTTCAAGGGAGGGGAAAACCAGGTCTGATATACTTATGACCCCAGAGCAGGTAGCAGGACAGGTTTGTTGATTGAATAAGTAATCAGGGCACCCCAGACAAGACTGTTTGGTGTGGAACAGATGAGAAGGCACAGGCCTGGGGGTGTGAGTGGGGTCAGTGCAGGCTGTGCCCTCAGCCCCTTGGCCTGAATAACTCCCTTGCTCTTCCTGGAGGAAATCAATTAAGATTATAGCAGCCTTCAAAAGGTAAATGTACTACAGAAGTGCAAGAATCGGCTATGGTAGTCTGTCTCTTTCAATGTCTCTGGCTGGGAAGTTCCTCCAGGCATCTGACCTATATCCCTCTCTATAGAGAAGCTGGTTTTGACACTGCCTTTTGCAGACACAGTCTTCAGGGGACCCTGTGGGGATGGCCTGAGAACAGTCTTCTGTCCTACCAAGTCCTTAATTGGCAGTATTAGAGTAATGAGTCACAGACAACAACCAATTAATTATCCCCAGTTATAAAAAGCTCTACTTCCCCTTCCTGGCTGTTGAGTGAGCCTGGCCTCCTGCTGCCAGGCTCCTCCACTCCTCAGAACTGGGGGCAAGAGAAGAGGCCATTTCACCTCTCTGGTCCTTGGTTTCCTGCTTCTTTATTTGTTAAGCGTGTATCCTGGGGGACTGGGGGGCAAAGGCTTGGAAGAGGTGGGAATGTGTCAGGCTGGGGGGCAGGAAGGAGGGAGACCAGCGTGGATGGAGAGGAAGGGGCCCTTCCCAGGCTCTCTCCACGCACCCTCTCCACTCCCAGGATCCACTTCAGGGCCCAGGGCTGGATCATAACCAGGGAAACACTGAGGATTCCAAGCCTGGCATTCAAGGCCACTCCCCATCTTGTCCCAAATGCTCCTGGTCCAGTGCTCTTTCTCCTCCATCAGGCAACTTCCCAAGTCCCCTTGCCTTTCTTCTTCCAGCAAACTCTCACTTAAACCCACATCTTCAACACACGCTATCTTCCCTAGTCTCCAGCAGTTTAGGCTGCAAATCTATCATCAGCCTGTGTGACTGATTTCTCCATCTGTAAAATGGGCACACAATTAAACATGGCCCATGGAGATGTTACAACAATGACTAGGGCAATGCATGTAAACTGTTTGCTCCCTGCATACAGTAGGTACTCAATAAATGTTAACAGATACTATTACTTTCATACTTCATTTTCCAGCCTGAGAATGAGAATAAAATGCCTCGTGACTCTCCCACCTTTCAGCCCATTTCACAGATGAGACTCAGGGAGATCGGGTTTCACAGGAGTTGAACCCAGGCTTCTCTGAGTTGGGAGATACAGGGGGAGAATCCCCCCTGGGGCGGGGGTGGTGAGAATAAGGAGACAAACCAGGCTCACTGGAAGAGCCGTCTCCACCACCCCTCAACTCAGGCAGCTCTCCTCTCCCTACCAGCCCCCGCAGAGCTTACGCAAGACCTCTATTTGTTCAGCGAAATTTCTGGAGCCCCTACCCTGCACCAGCCCTGTCTTTGAGACACTAGGTCGCTATTCCTTCGTTGTGAGAGTCCAGCCCCACCGCTGCCCTCACCCAGCTGCCTCAGGAAGGAATAGAGAGAGAAAAGAGAAATGGGGAGAGAGAGAAAGGATGAGGGGCAGAGGCTGGGAACCAGGAAGTAGGAGGAGACAGGGGGCGGAGCGAAGTGAGCGACTGCAGGGAGAAAGGGGCGGGGGAGCAGAGGATGCTCATCTTCAGCTGTGAGTTTGGGGTCACCTGAGGTGAGCTCAGCCCTTTCTGCAGAGGCGCTGCCACCCAGAGCTGCTGTAAAGCCCTATACCCTCTCCTAGCCTAGCTCATGGCCCCCTGCTGCCCCTCCAGCCTTGGCCCCAGACCCCTGCCTCAGATTGGTGACCCAGACCCTAGCCTTGCAGGGCACATTCTGTTCTGGTTCTCAGTCAGCTCAAAACCAGCCTCAGCCCACTTCCTCCACTCTGGGCCCTGTGCTGGCTGCAGCCAAGATCATCACTTCCTGACTCCATGCCTATGACTGGCTGGCCTTGGGCCCACCAAGGAGATGAGACTTCTGGGAGATACGCCTTCCCCAGCATCTGCCCTGATGGCCAAGGGGCTTCCTGCCTGGGAGCTCAGCCATCCTTCTTCTCACCTTAGCCTCAGCTGTCTCCCCACCCCATTCACACCAGTGGCTGCTGGACCTCCATTGCCCAGGTCCAGATCCAGAACAAAGTGTGGAGCACGGTAGAGTGGTCACGGGATTCTGAAGCCAAGATCACAACCTATCTCCCATTTCAGAGATGGAGAGGCTGAGGCTTGGGCATCTGGAAGGACCTGTCTCAATGGCTAGTCATAGCTGGCACTGTGCCAGTCACGTTACAGCCCTCATCACATGTCATGGCCCAGCGGCAACTTGAGAGGGGTGTGTCTCCCCTCCAGTTCACCGTTGAGGGAGCTCACAGGCAACTAGATTCAAGTAGAGGATGCACCACCAAAACCTGAATCCATCTGACTCCAGAGCCCACGGTCTGTACCCCTCCACATAAGAGGGAAAGCTGTGACATATGGTATCTCAGAGGGCTTCCCAGCAGGGGCCTGGAGTGGAGAGACCGGGGCTCTAGTATTGGCGTTGCCAGGGGCCTGCCCTGTGGCCTTGGGCAGGCCCTTCCCTCTCCTTTGCCTCAGTTTGGCCACTTGGCTCCTCTGTGGCCGGGAGTGGGGAGATGGCAATGAATCAGGCCTGGTGCCCACCCTGGCAGTTCCTGCTTTTCACTATTTGGAGGTGACGAACCCAGGCTCCTCAGTCTAGGGCTCTATCCGTCATCAGCACAGGCAGAGGAGGGCAGACAGGTGGATAAGCTTCCCCGACCTCCCCAGACAGACAGCCAGGCCTACTGGGCCTCTGACATCAGCGGCAGCCACCGCTCCCCATCCCCCACCCCGGCCCACACCCTGCCACCCCCTGGCCACTCCAGCCTCTTCTGGGGCTGGCTGAATTTAGAGGCTGGCTTCTTTGTTCAGACAAGCAGGAAGGAGGAGGAAAGTTGTTCTCCAGACAGTAAAGCTTTTAGATAAACACCACACAGGAATTGGGTTCCTTCAGAGAAGAAACTAGATCCACTGGCTGACAGCGCCCCAGGGACAGGAGTGCAGCTTAGGTCTGGCCTGGGAAGCCCAGCACTGAAGGAGGCTTTCTTTATCCGGCTGTGCACCTGCTGCCAGCTCTGGCAAGCCTGTGGCTCAGGTGACTGAGCCCCGGTGCCAGACCGTGGCCCTGCCAGCTCCCAGGCTCCAGGATGGCCAGGCCCATCTCCTCACCCTCTCCTCCAGCACCTGCCTGTTTGCCTGCCTGCCTGCCTGTCAAGATCTGCCAGGAAGCTGAGAACTTCTGCTCACCTTGGGGTGACCCTTCCCTTCTAGAGGAGCCCAACCTCAACAATGTCAGAGGAGAGTTAACAACTTGTCAACAGGACAAACTCCTTCCATGCCCTCCTGGTCAGTAGATTCAGGAATTACTATAAGCCCATTTTACAGAGGGAGAAACTGAAACCCAGAAAGGCCATTGGCCTGTCCAGAGCGAGTCAGCAGAGACAGAGCTAAGACCCCTCCCCCAGCCCCTCAGGCTTGCTGGGGCTCACTGGGTCCCTCTGACCCTGTTCCAGGGTGGCTCACCGGTGTGGTATCATCATGGGAGCGCTGGTAGCGCTTCCAACGGCAGCCGTAGATGCCCGTGAGGCAGGAGAGGCACAGCTGTGGCTCGTAGTACTGCAGGGGCTGGTGTCTCACCATACTCGTGCCCACGGCCCTGGCGCCTGGCCCTCAGGCGCCCATGGAGGCCCCCAGCTTGTCCTGCAGGAGGAAGCACAGGGCAGTGAGGCAGGGGAAGGGTGAGGAGTCAGGCACCACACAGCAAGTCATTGTAGCCTAGGTCAGGGAGGGTCACCCCTGCTCAAAGCACTGCAGTGGGGCTCCGTCTCACTTGGAGTCACAGGCCCACCCCTGCAGGTCCCCAAGGACCTGTCCTCTGCCTCCCACCCAGGCCCTCATCCTCCCTACTCCTTCCCCTCCAGCCACTCCTGACCTCTTCCATGTTCTTCACTGGCCTAGCATGCTGCTGTTCCCTCTGCCTGGAATGCTCTTCCCTTAGAAACCTGCATGGCTTCCTTCTCTTTCCCCTCCTCTCTTCAGGTCTTAGCTCAAATGTCCTTTTCTTTTCTTTTTGAGACAGAGTCTTGCTCTGTCACCCAGGCTGGAGTGCTGTGGCACAATCTCGGCTCACTGCAACCTCTGCCTCCTGGGTTCAAGCAATTCTCTTGCCTCAGCCTCCCAAGTAGCTGGGATTACAGGTGCCCACCACATCTGGCTAATTTTCGTATTTTTGTAGAGCTGGGGTTTTGCCATGTAGGCCAGGCTGGTCTCGAACTCCTGACATCAGGTTATCCACCTGCCTCAGCCTCCCAAAGTGCTGGGATGACAGGCGTGAGCCATGGCACCTGGCCACATGTCCTTTACTCAATGAGACTGTCCCAGATCACCTTCTGTAAAACTGTAGCCCCTTCCCACATTCCCTAAGCTCCTTCCCACATTCTCAGCTTTGTTTTCTCAATCATGTCCTTAAATATAACTTGCTTATTTTTCCTGTCTGTCTACCCTACTATAATGCAGTTTTCATGAAGGCAAGGATTTTTGTCTGTTGTATTTTCTGCTGTATTCCCAGTAACTTGAACAGTGTCTAGCACATAGCAGACTTTCAAAATAAACATTTTAGAAGAAATTATCATATAAGCTGAGATGTGTTGAGCACTTAAAATACACCAGGCACCGTGTAAATACTTTACATTCATTGTTCCATCTCATCAGCACAACCATCTGAAGTGGCAGGTTCTGTGTCCTAAACCCATTTGACAGTTCAACAAACTGAGGCTCAGAGAACAAGGAGCAATGCCTGGCTGCTGTCCCATAACTGGACTGTAGTCAATCTAGGAACTGCTCTAGTGCCCCAAAGTATTCATTCTCCAGACACAGGGAGCTCCCTCACCGGGTGGGGCCTGTGGGAGGATGGTATAGCAGCAAGAGGTGTCTTGAGGGTTGAAGTGTGGCTGCCAGAAGCTACTGCCCCAGCCCTGCTTGGCACCCTGGAGATATCTGTGGGAGCCTCGGCCTCTGGGGGCCAGTGTTGGTAAAGTGTGACCAGGTGGCAATGGGCTTGGGGCACCTCACACACCCTGAGTATCAGGTGTCATCCAGTCCTCCACACCACTGTGAGTTATTCTTATTCCATTTTGCCGATGACAAACCTGGGGCTCAGAGCAGAGAAACTATTTGCCCAGAGGTGCACAGCTATACTGAGGTGTCAGGACTCCAACGCTGGCCTGTGGGACTCCAGAAACTCAGTCATATGTTCTGTACCAGGCCCTGTCCGAGGCCCTGGAGACAATGTGAGCAGGACACACAAAGGCTCCTAGGGCCCTGAGAGGGCCAAAGAGGGGAACAGCCAGGCATTGTTCCAAGTGCTTTCCATGCAGAAACTATAACAGCAGCCCTAGGAAGGAAGGAAGGATTTGCATTTAAAAAATGGAGATATAATTCACATGCCATAAAATTTACCCTTTTAAAGTATACAATTCAGTATTTAATATACAGTATTCAATTTTTGGTATATTCACAAGTTGTACAACCATCACCACTATCTAATCCCAAAACAGTTTCACCATCCCAACAACCCCCCACCCCCTTCTCATGCACTGTAACTCCCTATTTACCCTGGCTTCACTCCTCTGGCCCTGGCAACTGCTCATCCACTTTCTGTCTCTATGGACTTGCCTATTCTAGAGACCTCGTATAAATGGAATCATACAATATGTGACCTTTTGTGTCTTGCTTCTTTCACGTGGCATAATGTTCTCAAGGCTCATCCATGTTGTAGCATGGATCAGCATTTCATTCCTTTTTATGTCTAACATTCTGTTGTATGGATCTACCACATTTTGTTTATCCATTGATCAGCTGATGGACATATGGGTTGTTATCACTTTTGGGTTGTTATACATAATGCTTCTGTGAATGAGTTTTTTGTGTGAACGTGTGTTTTCATTTCTTTTGGGTACACATTTCTTTTGGGATAGAATTGCTGGTCACAGCACTTTGGGAAGCCAAGGCAGGTGGATCACTTGAGGTCAGGAGTTCGAGACCAGCCTGACTAACATGGTGAAACCCCATCTCTACTAAAAATACAAAAATTAGCTGGGCATGGTGGTGGGCACCTGTAATCCCAGCTACTCGGGAGGCTGAGGCAAGAAAATCGCTTAAACCTGGGAGGCAGAGGTTGTCAAGATCGCACCACTGCACTCCAGCCAGGGTGACAGGGCAAATCTCCATCTCAAAAAAAAAAAAAAAGAATTGCTGTGTCATATGGTAACTTTTGTTTTTGAGATAAGGTCTTGCTCTGTTGCCCAAGCTGGTGTGCAGTAGTGCAATCATCGCTCATGGCCACCTCAGACTCCAGGGCTCAAGTGATCCTCCTGCGTTGCTGGGACTACGGGTATGTGCTGCCACACCTGGATCATATGGTAACTTTTATGTTTAACCTTTTGAGGAACTGCCAAACTTTTCCAATGTGACTGCACCATGTTACATCCCCAAAGTATCATCATCATCATCCCCATTTTATAGATGAGAACTCTGAAGCACAGAGAGGTTGACCCACTTACCAAAGGACACCCAGCAGAGCCAGGATTCATACCCACGCAGGTTGGCTCCAGGGACCTTGCTCTAACCCATGGGCCTGCCAAATCTGATCTGCCACCTATTTTTGTACAGCCCAAAAGCTAAGAATAGTCTTTATGTTTTTAAATGGTTGTGAAGAGTCAAAACAAAAATATCTTGTGACATATGAAAATTATATGAAAGTCAAATTTCAGTGTCCATAAATAACATTTCATTGGACGCAGCCATGCTCATTCATTTATGTATTGTCTACGGCTGTTTTAACTGTAACTGCAGTGTTGAGTAGTTGCCACAGAGACCATATGGCTTGCAAAGCCTAAAATACTGACTGTCTGGCCCTTTAGAGGGAAAGTTTGCAGACTCCTACAGTGACTGGGCTCTAATGGCCCACGAGCCTTATGGTAAGTGCAGTGTATGATGGAGGGAGGAAAGGGAGCCTGTGGGCACTGACCAAAGTGCAGGGAGGGTCAGAGTATGCTCCCTGGAGTCAGCACTGAGCCAAGGCTTGGTAGATGAGCTCCTAAGATGCCACTCTCCAAGGCCCCAGGGGCTGCACCGTAGGAGCACGCTGGGCTTCAGGCCCACTCACTACTTCTACCACCAGGCCTCACTCAGGGCCTCTGCCTATCCCTCCAACACCACCACCCAATGCTGACTTCACCTCAGTGCGGAGATTACAGCCTGCAGTCTGAGGGGGAAGATGCATTAGGGGCTTGCTGGGAATACTGAATGACCCAGAGTCTCCTGAGTGCTGGGAATTGACTGCTGCAGCCTCTGTTCCGGGGAGCCCTGGGGAGGCCTGTGGACTATGGTGCAGCTGCTGGGGCTTCCCTGAGCCAGGGCCTGGGGGACAGGCTGGGGTGGGGACACAGCTTGGCTCCCATGGGGCTAGAGAGACCATGGGTGGGGGTTGGTGTAGGGTGCTCTCAGCTTTACTATACTCCAGATTTGGGGAGTGCTGCGTGCCCACATAGGCACCCCCACATTCCCAGCCTTCCCGCAGGGGTGGGAGGCCAGGGTCCACAGCCAGGGGAGCCAGATCTCACCCTGTGCACTCCCTAGACAGGGTTCTCTACTGTCATGTCAGCCACTACATCTGCCCCCGCCTCCCCAGGAAGGGAGGAGGCGGGTGCAATGTGGAAAGAAGCCTAGCTTCATGCTGCCTCGCATTGACTTGCTCTGTGGCTGGGGCCACTCAGGCTCTTCCCTGAGCCTTGGTTTCTGAATCTGTAAAAGCAGGTAACAGCTGCTGCCTTGACTTCTATAGGACACACAATTGGGGGCAGGGAGGGGGAAAAGTGCCAGGAGGTACTGCAATGCTGAGGTACAACAGGTGGACATCCTGCAATGCACGTGGGAGCCCGCCCCAGGTTCCCCTGCCTTCACACTCCTTTCCCGGGACCCCCCTGCCCCTGGGACTAATTCCCACATGTCCTCTGCCGCCCCTCCCCTGTCCCCACGACTGCACATTACAACCCACCCAGGAATGGAAATTCCACTTCAAACCTGGAAAAGAGGGAAGTAGAAGTGCATGCGTCATGCCTCGGCCCAGAACTTCGCTGATACTGGCTCTCAGAGTCTCCTCTCCCCCTGGTGCATTTTTGTCCTGTTCATAAGTGTAGGGGATTCTCTGGGAGGCAAACCTCTTCTTTCTCTTCTGTATGCTCTCCTGGCTGCAGCCATCTTGTCCACTCTCACGGCTTTAGTTACCAGGTGCTGCCAAGGCCACCCAGGCTCTGCCTCTGATCGAGATAGCCAGCAGCTCCTGGATGTCTCCAGCGGTGTCACCCAGGCCTTGCAGACCCAGTTCAGCCACACTGCCCTCTACCACCCTTTTCTCAAGGCCCTTTTCTCGCCATCCCCACAGCCACTCCCCTGTTCAAGGCCTCATCTCCCCTGGCTGGGGACTCCTCCAGATTCCTTGCTTTCAGCCCCATCCCTCCAATCCAAACTCTTACCTGCAGCTGGACTGAACTTCCTAACAGGCAGTGACCGGGATCTGACCACTACTGCTTTTCCAGCCTTGCTTCCCTTCACCTGGTGAACACCTCCTGATCCTTCAAGTGTCAGATGTTCCCTCCTCCATGGAGGCCCGGTTTGGTTAGAGGTCTCCCCAGCCTCCCATATCCCTGGCATGTCCCTCCCTCTTACCTGGGCACACTGTGAGAGCACCGTGGACATGCCTGCCTCCCCCATGGGATGGTCTGCATTAACCCCATGTCCCCAGGGAGCAACACAGGGCAGCAAGAGCAGGAGGCACTAGGGACTTCTTGGACCATACTTCAGAGAAGTGCCCAGAAGTTCTGCTAACAGAGGCATGCTACTTACACCACACTCGGCCGCCGGGACGATCTCTGAGACGGGACTCTCTCCACCATCCCTCACCAGCCCATCCCCTCCCCTCCCCTTCCTGCCAGGGATAATGGCATTACTTAGGTCCAATCGATTTCTCCAAGCTACGTCCCAGGGCTGCTGATACCAGCCAAGTTCCCAAGAAATCCCCTGCCAAGAGCTACTGCTGGCTCTGGGACAAGAGAACGCTCTCACCTCTGAGCCTGATGTCCAAGGCCCCTCCCCAGCCCAAAGTCCTATTTTCTGTCAGAATTCCTGGCCCCTACCCTGTACTTGCACAGCCTCCTGCTTGCACAGGGAAAAGCAAGAGTCCATGACTGAGATGGAATAAACACGCACTATGGAGCAGAGGCAGGATGCTGGGATGGGCGTGCACCTCCGGCGTCCTGTCTCATCCTCACATCCCGGGACGCACTGGCCTGCTCCCCTACCCTTTCTCCCTCCCATAACTGCCAGGCCCACGCTGTGCCCCCCAGACTGCACTGCACTGCTCTCAGCTCCTTTTCTGATCATGAAGTGCCTGGATTCTAGCCTGGTCACCCTCAACTGAATTGCTATGTGACCTTGGACAGGTCACTACCTCTTCCCTGAGCCTTACTTTACCCATCAGGGAATGAGGACTAAATGAGGTAATACATGGAAGTGCTCAGGTCTGTAATAAAAAGGAATTGAGGCAACAACATGAATCTTGAAGACGTCATGCCAACTTCACAAAAGGCCACATATTGTATGATTCCATGTATAAGAAATGACCAGAATGGGCAAATACTGAGACAGAAAGTAGCTCAGTGAATGCCAGGGGCTGGGAGGATTGGGGAGGAAAGGCGGAGTGACTGCTAATAGGTGTGGAGTTTCTTTTTGGGCTGGTGAAAATGTCCCTGGCCAGGCATGGTGGCTCACACCTGTAATCCCAGCACTTTGGGAGGCCGAGGAGGGTGGATCACTTGAGGTCAGGAGTTCAAGACCAGCCTGGCCAACATGGTGAAACCCCGTCCCTACTAAAAATACAAAAATTAGCTGGGCAGTAGTGGCAGGCGCCTGTAATCCCAGCTATTTGGGAGGCTGAGGCAGGAGAATCACTTGAACCCAGGAGGCGGAGGTTGCAGTGAGCTGAGATGGCGCCACTGCACTCCAGCCTGGGCAAGAGAGTGAGACCCTGTGCGCCACCATCCAACCCTCCCACAAAAAAAGAAAATGTCCTGGAATTAGTGGTGATGGTTGCGAACTTTATCTCGATAAAACTTTTTTTGTTTAAGTGCCCAGGTCTGGAAGTCACATGAATGTCTGCACTAGTTGTGAGGTGCTGCGAGGTCAGCAGCAGCTGCACCAGAGGGGACAACAGCCTGGAAACCTTGGCTGTACCTGGGCCCTCTCCACTCCTACCCAGGCGTGGGTCTCCAGACCCCTCAGATTCTGGAAACAACTCTAGTTCCTTCCAAGGAACTCTTCTGCCAAATTAACCTGAATTGTTTCTGTTGTTTGCAATCCCAAACCTTGATTGGTATGAGGATATTCACTGTGTTGCCAGCTTTTAACAGGTTTTAAGCCCTTAATAAATGTGTTCCAGAACTGATTGAGGTCAAGTGCCATGGCTCATGCCTGTAATCCTAGCACTTTGAGGAAGCCGAGGCAGGAGGATCACTTGAGGCCAGGAGTTCAAGACCAGCCTGGGCAACATGGTGAGACCTCCATCTCTAAAAAAATAAATAATAATAATAAAAAGAACTGGCTGAGCTAACATATGTACGGTGTGAGTACTACCAGCCACAATAGTTACTGTTTGTTGTGCTAGCACTTGCTGCTGGGTGGTGTGGGCACTCCAGGTCATTGCTGGGTACTGTGCTGAGCATTGCATAGGCGTCCCCTCCCCTTGACAACCTTCCTGAGCAAAGGCCAATGGTCTTAACAGATTGCAAACATGGGCCTGAACGAATGGGCAAACCAACCACAGTGCATCCCACACAATGAGGAATATTATTTGGCAATAAAAAGGAGTCAGCTACCCAGCCACAAAAAGCAATGGAGAGACCTTGAAAACATATTGCTAAGTGACAGAAGCCAATCTGGAAAGCTATATACTGTATAATTCCAACTAAGTGACGTTCTAGAAAAGGCAAAACTATGGAGGTAGTAAAGAGATCAGTGGCTGTCAAGGACTCAGGGGGAAGGGAAAAATAAGTGGTGCTCAAGGAATTTTGAGGGCAGTGAAGCTCTTCTGTATGACACAGTAATGATGGACATGTGTCAAACCCCATAGAGTGTGCAACACAAGGAGGGAACTATAGCGCAAACATGGACTTTAGTCAATCATAATTAACCAATATTAGTTCATCAGTTGTAATAAATGTACCATATTAATATAAGATGTAAAGAATAAGCCAGACTATGGGGAGGAGAAAGGCAGAGGAGGGTATATGGAAACTCTCCGTACTTTCCAATCAATTTTACTGTAAACCTAAAACTGCTTTTGAAAAAGTGTATTAAATACACACACACACACACACACACACACACACACACACACACACGTGTGCACCCGCACCCAAGAGGTTAGGTAATTCACCCAAGGCCAAACAGCTAATCATGGAGGAGGGAGGATTTGAACCCGGGGCTGTTGACTCTAAAGTCCAGACTCTCCATGGTTGCAGCCCCACAGGGCGGGCCTGTTCACGTTTCTATCACCTTCCACGTCAATGCCAGCTGCAGCATCTGTATAACTGCAAATTGTACCTCAAAGGGCCAAGCTCAACATTTTGGTTGGTATCAGGAAAGCATAGGCAGAATGAGTCTAGGAACATTGGGGAGGAAAGGAAAAACCCCCAACAGTGCCAGGGCTGGTGGGGATGGGAGGCCGACCTTTGGCATTGTGCTAGGGCCCTGGGGAAGGGGGGCAAGCATGCAGATGGAGAGACACCCCCCTTCTCCTTGGCCGTGGCTGCCCTCGCGGGGCCTCAACCCCAGCCCAGCCCTGGGATGATGGTCTGAGGCTGAACTGGAACACCAGTAGGCTGAGTGACTGCCCCAAGCCTCTGGCCTCAGTTTTCCCATCTGTATCATGGGAGGGTTTGAGCACCCTTGGCTGATCTCCAAGGGCCTTTCCAGCACTCAACTTCTAAAACCCTTTAGCTACCCGCTCTCTCCTCACCCCCAGTAGCAAAGCAGAGAGGGGGCTGCTCGAGGAAAAGGGAAGGCCAATCCCTGATCCCTCCCTGTTCTGACTGGGGAAGAGCCCCCTCTGCTCCCACGACTAATCACTGGGCATCCTGACAGTCACCCTCCTGGGACGCAGTTCAAAACTTGGATGAAAGTGGCAGGAAGGCCCATACCAAGGTTAGGCACCTGGTCGTCCTGAGCACCAGGGCAGAGCTCTGGCCCTGCCCAAGGGCCTCCACCATCTTTGATAGGGATTAAGGTGTAGGTACATTGTGGCCTAGATGACTCACAAATAGTGGTGACCCCAAACTTCCCTTACAGTAAAATGCCAGGCATGAAAGGTGCAGGGCCATGGTTTCCATAGGGCTCCGGGATCATGGCCTTGGAGCAGGACCAGGGCCTTTCTGTGGTCCTTCCTCACCACTTCATCCATCCCTGCTCCCAACCCAGCTGTGCCTATGAAACCACCTTAGCCCTGCAGCCCCTCCACCTATCCTCAATGCCTGGCAAACTCCTGCTCATCTCAGCTCAGGTAGCCCCTCCTCCAGGAAGCCCTTCCTGACTGGGTCACTATCTCTTCTGGATCCCACAAATCTGTGTTTCCTGACCACTGTGTAGGGGCTTCCAGGAGATGGTGAGATCTATGCAGAATTCAGAAATGAGAAAAGATTTGCAGCACAAAGGGGAGAAGGAAGGGCATTTTAGGTAAGGAGACAGCACAGCGGAAGCCTAGGTGGCAGGGAGGGCAGTGATTGGGGCTTCTCCCAGGGCAGAGGGCATCCCAAACAGCTCACCAAGTGGACCGTTTCCCAAAACAAAACAACTAAACCCAAACCCACAAAACAAATCTCTGGCCCCAGGGTGAGGGCTGCAGGTGGGGGAGACAGGAAAGATTCTGGAAAAAGCCCAGCCAGTGAAATGTGGAACCCACCTATCCCCGGCCCTGCCCTGTGCTCTCCGGCCCCAGCCTCCTGCAGGTAGCTTTTCCGGGGTGCTCAAGACTCAGTCTATTTTCCATTGCATAGCCTCATTTGATGGCTTGAATGGAGAGATCCCCGGCTGCCACCAACTCACTGTACAGCCTTGGGGAAGTCGTTCCACCTCTCTGGGCCTCAGAGAAAGCCCTAGATTCTAATGGAATCTGCAGAGAAGGTAACCAGACCTAGGGGCAGGAAGGAATTCTAAGTCACAGGGGCAGCTGCCAGTGGGGAGAGGCTCGGGGAGGAGGTGCCTGGAAGGAGGCAGGGAGAGAGGCTTTGAGGTGAAGAGGCAGGTGGGGCCTGTGCCACCCAGGCCCTGCAAGCCTCCTCATTCTCTGGGGAAATGTTACTCAGTGGCTGAGGCTGGGGCTCAGCCAGAGCCTCCAAGAATCAATCATGCCATAATTAAGGTCACTATTAATCTCTTTCCACGGTGATGCCAGGGCCTCCTGTTTACCCAACACTTCTGTCCCAAGAGACCTCTGATTGCCATTCCTCTCGGGAGGAGGCTGGCAGGGCCCAGAGGCGAAGGTAGACTAGCTCTTCCCCAAATCAGGAGCCTGCCCAGGGGCCTTGGGTTCTCTTGGTACAGAAAGGACTTCTCTTTCCCAGGTCAGGGCTATGAGCTTGGGCTGAGTAGTCACCAAAAGTGACCTGGCCTTGCCCAGAGGGCACAGCTTAGCATCTCAGAACTCAAAATCTCAGGCTCCAAATGCCCCAAATTGGACCTCTAGAATCACTTCACCCAAGACTCACAGTGTCATGGAATCCTCATTGAATAATTCAACTGGTATCTTCAAATTATCCCTGGATTTCAGACTGCTAAGTCACAAAACATCAGCACCAAAGTCCTGGAGGCACTCCATCCAGCCTCCCCTTCCATTCAGAAATCCCCTGTGCTGCTCTTACTGGTGGTTCTCCAGCCTCTCCAGACCGGTCAGTGGCTTCCCTAGACTCACATACTCCTAGTGACAGGCCTCTCCCCTCCCTGGAGGGCTGAGTAGTTTTCTCCAAGCCACCAGGACTGTATTAAGGCCATCCTAAGAAGAGATCCTGCCCCCACCCCCTTCTCCCCCAGTGACACTGACAGGTTCTCTGGGGAGCAGGCAGAGCCAGTGAAGGCCCCGGGACTACTATTTGGGGGTAGTAGAGACTTTCAGCATCCCCCACCCTCAGTTTGACTTGTGCAAGCCCCTTCCAGGAGCCCAGTGGTTCAGCTGCAGGGGCCAGCCTGGCTTTTTCTGATGGCTCTTCCTAAGTCCCAGGGAGAGGGGAGTGGGAAAGTGGGGCACACCAAGTAAATGAAAGGGGGAGGAGGAGGAGGAACGTGAGTACAGTGGAGACTTGTACAGAGCAATCTTGTCTCTGTCCTCTCCTACCCCTCCTTGTACCACTGTGCTCCAAAGACACCACCTACCCAGCTTTCCCACCTCCATGCCTTCACTCAGGTTGGGCCCTCTGCCAGGAAAGCCCTCCCCAAATCCCAATCCAAATCCCAATCCAAATCCCATCCATCTTAACAAACAGACCCTGTGCAAAGCTTGGGCTGATTCCCCCCAACAAAAGCCCACTGCCTCCTCCTTTTTGTGCTCATATCATCTGGCAGAGCTCCTGAGAATGATCACAGGCCTCAGTGCGCTGTAATTATCTGCTTCCGTGGCTGCCTCACCCACCAGACTGGGAGCTTCCCCGGGTTCAGACTTCTGATCCACTTGGCCAAGCTTTTCTGAAGACCTATAGTGTCTGCAGCCCCACACCTGGTGATGGGGACACAAGATATGCCAGGCCCTGTCCTTGCTAGAAGAGTCACTGTATAGAGGACCTATGTCCCCTGCACTGGGCCTGGCACCAAGGAGGTACCTATTTAGTTGTCAGTCAAAAAGCTGGTTAAATGTGAGACGGAAGGAAAAAAAGAACCAATCAAAGCATCTTACACCACACAACTGCAGAGCCACTTCTGAAAGCCTGAATTCTGCCTCTGAATAATAATTAGCCTCTTCCCAATTTACAGAAAAAAAAATTACAAAAAAAAGACTCAATTAGGTACTTTTCTCTCACAAATTTTTCTTAAACCTCTGATATCCATTTGCACATTTCTGTACCATATCTAGTGTAAGATGACCTCAAATCTGGCACAGGATACTAATTTCATCACTGTCATGAACATCACTACTCTTCACAGTCTTCTGCAAAGAACAGCAGTCTCTGCTTCCAGGCAGGTCCGAGAACCTGGGGCCTAAACTTTTCCTCCCTTCCTTCAAATGTCGAGGTTTCACCTTGGTGACCAATGAAAACCGAGCTTGCTCGAATGCTGAGGAAGAAAGTCCCAGGAGCTGGCTGGCCCACCTTGAAGGTTCATGCTAATTCCATGATATAAGGCCTCCAAATCCACTATTTGTCATTCATTCCTTTGGAGGAAGCATCACTTTCTCTAGGATTCTCTTTTAAAATATAAATCTTCTCTGGAGGTGGAAGCCCATTCAACCCTCAGATTGGAGGTTAAGGAAACTTAGTTTAATGCTGGGCTCTTGAGAGGCAGTAAATCACAGGGTTTGTGAAGAGGTCAGCCTGCCTGGGTTTTCATTTTTTTTTTTTTTTTAGAGACACAGTCTCACTCTGTCGCCCAGGCTGGAGTGTAGTGGCACAATCATAGCTCACTGCAGCTCGAACTCCTGGGCTCAAGCAATCTTCCTGCCTCAGCCTCCCAAGTAGCTGGGACTACAGGTGCATGCCACCATGCCTGGCGACCTGCCTGGGTTTGAAACCCAGCTCTAACATGTATTTAATGGAGCAAGTTTCTAAATGCCTTTATACCTCAGCTTCCTTATCTATAAAGCAGGGATAACCATGGCATCAGCCTCATGGGCTCTCAGACAAGTATCTGGAACGCTGTACTAAGCAAGAGACAAGTCTACTCAGAGCTTCAGTTTTTTCCTGTCCATAAAATGGGACGATAATCCCATTTATGCCTTTTTCATAAACTCCCCCATGGGGGAGGTGGACATTGTGTAAGAACCCAGTCAGCTGCCCTCTGCAGTCTGTCTTGAACTCCTTTCTTCCTCCCTCCTTTTCTCTTTACCTGGAAGAAGGTACCGGTGGCTGTGAGCTGGGCTCCTGGAGGTGTCTTGTCCACAGAGGCAGTGATATCACTTCACTGGGAGAGCTGAGAGGACAAGGGGATAAATCCAGTGAGTTCATTCATCAGTCCATCCTGCCTTCTACTGTCCCACGTGACCCTTAGTGAGCACCCATCCTGTTCCCTCCCTGTGCTGGGTGTGGGGCCCAGTGATGGGTGACACCGAGTCCCTGCCCTGGGGAAGCCACAAAGCTGGTGGATGGGCTGACAGGACATACGTGATCTAATACCCAGCCATGAAACCCAGCACATGCAATCCACCTCCACGCATGCTGCCCACAAACCAGCCCCAGGCCCAGACCCAGATAACCTGTTTCCTGAACCACTCCTGCCCCTCCAGGACCCACGGATCCAGGATCCAAAGCCCAGCCACCCTGGGGGCAGAGGCCCTTTCACGCTGCCCAGGGTCCTGCTTCTCTGAGGTAGCTGCCAAACCAGCTTGTTCTTCTAAAGCAGCCGCTAAGGGAAGGACGGTAGCCCGGAGGTGGGATCTGGGGCACCACAATTACATGCCTGAGCTCTGACTCACGCACCACCTCCCCCATTGCCAGCTCCTGCAGCCAGCAGGGCAACCCCCCACCCAGGAATTGGGAAAAGAGATGGTACCAACAGGCCACGGGAAGCAGAGGGGCCAGGAGAGGTGAGGAGGAGACTGCAGACCAGCATTGCAGGCTTCAGAGGATGCTGACACCTTGTCTACTAGGGACACTGAGGCTGCAAGGACGGAGGCCTACCTACATCACATAGAGGCAGAGCCAGGGCTGGGACCTGAGCCTCCTGGTGCCAATATAACAACTCTCCCCAACCCAACTGGATTCTAGAGCCACACACCAGCAAGAAACACATAACCAAACACACACCTCTGTGTGTGAACCAGAGGTGGACAGAGCTGGACTCAGAGACAGCTCGGAAATGACAGCCACAGAGAGATCAGCACTTGAGACACTCCCAGGCCTGCCCTTCTGCACCTCCAGGTTCCTCACAGTGCCCTGAATGTACAGCACTTTACAGTTTATTAAACATACTTATTTCCTCTGCCCCCTACAATGATCCTAAGGCCTAAGTGGCAGAGGAAATATAAATAGACCAGTGGCTTCTCCTCTAAACTTTAATGTTTGAGAAGCCATGGTCTCTTTATATTTCCTGGGGCCTTGGACCTTGGAAACCTAGGGAACTTGTTAAAATGTGGTCTGACTCAGTTAAGTCTAGGCTGGGGCCTGAGATTCTGCATTTCTGATAAGCTCCCAGGTGATGCTGATGCTGCAGGTCCCTGGACCACAATTTGAGTAGCAAGGCCAGAATGAGTCAAGAGCATGGGACCTGGAGTCGAACTACACAAGTTAGAATCTTGGCTCTTACTGTGTGACCTTGGGCAAATTACTTAACCTTTCTGTGCCTCAATCTCCTTAGGTATAAAATACTACTACTAATAAAACCTACCCCATAGGGTCAATGTGGGGATTAAATTAGTTACCATATGTAAAACACTTAAAGTGACTATTATTTCAGATTTTGAAATGGAGGTTCTGAGAAGTGAACACACTCAGCAAGGCGGCAGAGCCAGAATTCAAGCTCAAACCTACAAGTGGCACAAAATGTCACAGCCATCAAGCCCCTCCCCCCATTAGACAGACATGGATATTGAGGTCCAGAGAGGGGCAGAAAACTGAAATGACCACCAGAAAGTTGGTGTGAGAAATACAAGTCCATGACTCCATCCCAGTGCTCCTTCCACCACACCTTACTGCCTGTCAGGAAGGAAAGTACCGCAGAGTCTCCCCAGGGCTGTCAGCTCTGCTGTCAGCCTTACCTGGGCCCATGGCTGCCCTGGAAACTACCTGTGGGGTTGTCTGGACGCGGAGGCCGCCCCCATCCCCACTCTGCCCTCTCTCCATCCTGCCCAATAGGCTGGGTGAGGCAGAATGGTCTCACATCCTCCTGCCATTCCCCTCCTCCTACCTCCAGCCTGTGCCCACTGCCCTGTGTCAGGTCACCCAGCTGGGGTCTCAGGTAGAGGGTGACACGCCCGGGTCTGGCTCCACCCCCACCTTGCCTTCCCAGCACGGGGCCAATGGGAGCCTGTGAGTCACCTGAAGGAAGTGCTCGGCCCCAAACAGGAAGTGGCTCTTCAAGCAGAAAACCCCTGCAGGATCCCCCAGTGCCCTGGAGCAGATGGCTTAGTAGTGGAAGCTGGTGAAGGAAGGGAAGCTGATTGGGACACAGCAACATCTACTCAGATTTTACCTGACATTCAAACTTGGGACTCACCCTCCACTTTTTGCTGCCTGGCCTGAGGACTTTTCTGCTGTGGACTGGCTGTATGCCTTAGGTACATCAGTACCCTCTCTGATCCTCATTCATAGGATCATGGACTGCACTAAAAGACTGCTATAACCTGGTAGTCCACATGAAATGAAGGGTTGGAGCAAGTGAATATAGGGTTTTATTTTATTTTTGAGACGGAGTTTCGCTCTTGTTGCCCAGGTTATAATGCAGTGGTGTAATCTTGGCTTGCTGCAACCTCCACCTCTTGGGTTCAAGTGATTCTCTTGCCTCAGCCTCCCGAGTAGCTGCGATTACAGACACACACCCCACCCAGCTAATTTTTGTATTTTTAGTAGAGACGAGGTTTCACCATGTTGGCCAGGCTGGTCTTGAATTTCTGACCTCAGATGATCCACCCGCCTTGGCCTCCCAAAGTGCTGGGATTACAGTTATGAGCCACTGCACCTTGCAAATATAGGGTTTTAAATGAATGAACAAATGCACATGAGTGAAACGAACGAGTAAATTAAGATACCTAGATATAAAACTCTAGCTACAGTGTAAGATCTATCATTTGTCTATTGTTCATTGTATGATAGAGAACTCTTTATTGGCAAGAAGACCCACCCCCCGAACACCCTTAGACAGGGAAAAGGGGCCCCCACACATCTCACACACACACACACACACACACACACACACACAAATAAATTCATTAAGAGTACACAGGAGCCTCTGTCACATTATACTCATGTGACCTGTAATCCTAAACATTCGCTCCTAACACCTCTAAGGCCCTAGTTAAACTCTTCTCTGTTTTTTATTTTTTTATTTTTTTAAGGCATGCGTTGTGGACTGGGTCTCACTATGCTGCCCAGGCTGGAGTGCAGTGGCTATTCTCAGGCAAATCATGGCAGACTACAGGTTTGAACTCCCGGACTCAAGCAACCCTCCCACCTCAGCCTCCCGAGTAGCTGGGACTACAGGCATGCTACCACGCCAGGCCTCTCCATTTCTCAAACTTGAAGAACAAAAGGTGATTCTGTTAAGATGCTGTGAAGGTCTATGGGTCGTGTTGCTGCTGAGGAGGGAGATGGATGCTGCTTGGGGGAGGAGTGCAGCAGGGGGGGGCCTAAGTGGCAAAAATATATAAGAGGGAGACAAGTTAGCTTGTCAAAGCCTTCCTCCCAGACAGCAGCGAGCACCAGTTTCTTGCATAAGCAAGCATCTCTATTCCGGTCTTGCTGTGCATCCTTTATTTTGGCATTTCTTCCTGCTCCAATTTGTGGTTCTAAAAGTACTCATGAATTAGTGTGATATTCACAAAAATGCACATGGTGGCTGAGGAACATCTTACAACATTCTGCAACTCACATTACTCACATTAATGTAACATGAAGTCTGGTATTAATTCTTTAAATTTGCAACTAGATGGACATTGAATACTAGAACTGTGAATAGTTTCATTTCTATAAAATTTTCAAAAATTTAATTAATATTTCATGTCTATTTAAAGATTTTATTTAAAAATCTGATCTTCATTAATTGTGATGGGTATAGCTTTAATTTTAATAGATGATTTTATGGAATAAAAACACTCTTGAAAACATACAATAAATTTTCCTATGTTTATATTTACATTCGTTTACTTTTTTTTTTTTTTTTTTTTGAGACAGAGTCTCGCTCTGTCACCCAGGCTGGAAGGCTGGAGTGCAGTGGTAAGATCTTGATTCACTGCAACCTCCGCCTCCCAGGTTCAAGTTATTTTCCTGCCTCAGCCTCCCAAGTGGCTGGGATTACAGGCATGTGCCACCATGCCCAACTATTTTTCTATTTTTAGAAGAGATGGGCTTTCACCATGTTGGCCAGGCTGGTCTCGAACTCCTGACCTCAAGTGATCTGCCTGCCTCAGCCTCAGTGCTGAGATTACAGGTGTAAGCCACTGCATGTGGCCACAGTTCATTTTTAGTTATTCCATAAAATCTTTACTTTAGCAAGATCACTAATTATATTGTTATAATCAAGATTTTCATCACTTGTGTTCTGTTGATGGCAATAATCTAAAAGACTAAAAGTAAAATGTGATTGTATTTAAAGTACATAAAATTTGATGGCCAGATGCGGTGGCTCACGCTTGTAATCCCAGCACTTTGAGGGCCTAGGCAGGCAGATCACCTGAGGTTGGGAGTTCGAGACCAGCCTGGCCAACATGGTGAAATCCCGTCTCTACTAAACATAAAAAAAATAGCTGGGCGTGGTGGCATGCGCCTGTAATCCCAGCTATTCAGGAGGCTGAGGCAGGAGAATCGCTTGAATCAGGCAGGCAGAGGTTGCAGTGCACTACCATCATGCCACTGCACTCCAGCCTGGGCAACAGAGTGAGACTCCATCTCAACAACAACAACAACAACAAAATATATATATATAGGCTGGACATGGTGGCTCACGTCTGTAATCTCAGCACTTTGGGAGACCGAGGCGGGCAGATCACAAGGTCAGGAGCTCGAGACCATTCTGGCTAACATGATGAAACCCCGTCTCTACTAAAAATACAAAAAATTAGCCGGGTGTGATGGCACGTGCCTGTAGTCTCAGCTACTTGGGAGGCTGAGCCAGGAGAGTCGCTTGAACCCGGAAGGTAGAGGTTGCAGTGAGCCAAGATTACGCCCACTGCACTTCAGCCTGAGTGACAGAGCTGTCACTCTGTCACACACACACACACACACTATATATAAGTCTGAATTTAATTTTATATATATATATAATTTGAATATATATTCAATATAATCCTAGCTACTCAGGAGGCTGAGGAAGGAGAATCACTTGAACCTGAGAAGCAGAGGTTGCAGTGAGCTGAGATCGTGCCACACTGCACTCCAGCCTGGGTGACAGAGTCAGACTCTGTCTCAAAAAAAGAAAAAAAAGAATTGTTAAGTCTTATTATTTATATCTGAACATCATCAGCTTAACAATATACTCGGAGATGTGCAATAAATTCAGACATTCTTGATATTTTATCACTCGCAGTCAAATAAAACTAAACTTTACACAATGTAAATATGTACACAATGTACGTATTTCAATGTACATTGTGAAGGTATATTTGTCAAGGAGGGAAGGAGGGAAAATCAAATCTATTTTATTTAACAGTCTCCTGGCTTGCTTTACAATCTTCGAATATCTGACAAAGATACATGGATCTCTATTTGTATTTTTGCTCTCAGTGCTCCAAATTTAGGAGAGGCCTGTCCACTCCCCACCCACCACCTCTCATGTTGTGGGGCCTAGACCCCCTGTGCTGGTGACTTCACATCTGTGAGCAACTGCTTGTCTGTCAGCCAGCCCTGCCTTCCCCAGTTTGCCTTTTACAAGTGCTTTCCACATGGAAGGTCCTTATGCTTATGCCTTGTGCATGGGGCTGTATTTCCAGGGCAGTAAGCACTCAAATTTCCTCAGGGGCAGTGATCACAACTTGACTGGCCTCTTCCACAGACCCTGTACTCCTTAAAGTCCCTTCAGCTCCAACAGCATCTTGCAGGGGAGCCAGGGTGCCCCGGGTCTTCCAACCCCAGTTCTTGTTACACTATCCCCCTGGAAAGGGAGCCGGCTAGGCTGGGAGGGCCCAGCAGCCTCTGCTGCGCCAGGCTAGAAGCCCCCCGCCATCCAGCTGGGCAGTGGTCATGGTGACCTGTAGCCCATAGCTATTTTCCTCAGCCCCTGACACCTGGGCTGGCAAATCTCCACATTCCTTGCCCACTGCTCTTCCTGGCATGTTTCACAAAGAGCTTCTAGAGAGCAGGAAGCAAGTTGGGGAGGTGGGGGAGCAGAGGAGTGAGCAGGAGACTGAGAGCCAGGAGACCTGGCTTTTCTTCCTGGCTTGGCCACTAGAAGGCAGGTCAACATCTTCCTATGTCATATGGGGACACTGGGACCTGCCCAGATCCCCTCTTGGGATGACAGGGAGAACCAGTGAGCAGGACGTGACAGGACTGTGTAAACTGTACAGTGTGCAGTGGCTGTAACAGGGGCCAGACCCCATCTCCCTCATGTTTCCTGCTCAGCCTGGCACAGTGCCGAGGGCCCATCTATTGTAATACTGCCCAACATTTACAAGGGCTGGACATACTCTCTGTACGAGGCCAAGGTTTCTATGTACGCTATCTGACGCCTCTTAGCCTCCCGCTGCAGACTATTTTTCTTTTTTTTTCTTTTCTTTCTTTCTTTTTTTTTTTTTTTTTTTGTGACGGAGTCTCGCTCTGTTATTCAGGCTGGAGTGCAGTGGCGCGATCACAGCTCACTGCAACCTCCGCCTCCCAGGCTCAAACAATCCTCCCGCCTCAGCCTCCTGAGTCTCTAGGACTATAGGTATGTGCTACCATACCCGGCAAATTTTTGTATTTTTTTTGTAGAGACGGGGTTTTGCCATGTTGCCCAGGCTGGTCTTGAACTCCTGAGCTTAAGTGATCTCCCCACCTTGGCCTCCCAAAGTGCTAGGATTACAGGCATGAGCCACCATGTCCGGCTGCAGTAGATATTTTTTATAGATGGTAAACAGAGCTCGAGAGGGTTTAGGGTCTCTTGAATTCATACTCTTACTACCAAGCCAGTCTAGACACCAAAAATCTAGTCACCAACGCACATTTCCTGAGCTCTCCTGTGTGCCCAGCAGACAGACGCAGCCCCTGCTGGAGGAGCCCATGAGCTAAAGGTGTAGACAAACACACCAAGCGCATCATGTGAACAAAGGTGGCAGGACGCGTAAGGGGTGGAGGCCTTGATGGTGGATCAAAGTTGTCTCCCGGCCTCACCCCCAGCCTGGCACAGTGCTGGACCCACCACAGGCAGCAGTAATACCCAGGAGTGAACAAACTTGTTTTCCTGACATTCACCTCCCCAACCTAGCCACTCCCTGCCTGCCTCCTGGACAGTGAGGGGGCTCTGGAATTTTTAGACCACTTTCTCCTCTGGGACCACCACCCTAAGGGCACCCTCTCTCGGCGCCTGCAGGTGCCCCAGGCCTCTGCAGTGGATTGTACGTTAAACCTGGTGAAAGTAAAACTGTACTTATCTGAGCACAGAATCCCTTATACAATAGGTACTCAATACATGGGTATCAGATGAGTTAATGAGTTTGCAGCAGTGACTGACCACTTCGGTGCCTGGCTCAGTTCATCCTGACCACTGGGGGCTTAATTCAAGTTCTGAACCAAAGAGGGGTTAGTGGGCCAGGGCAGAGCTGATAAAGAGTAAGATGCTCACTTAACCGGCCATGGGGCTGGGAGCAGGTCCTGGCCCTCTCTGCTCTTTTGCTGTGTGATCACCGGCAAATCACTTCACCTTTCTGGGCATCCACTGCGTCAAGCAGGGATTAACACCATGTTACAATCTCCTGATTTTAGTTGAGCACATACAAAATGGGTTACAAACATAGGGCACTGAGGCTCAGAGACAGGAGGTGACTTGGCCAAGGTCACACAGCAGGTGACAGAGTGTGGACTAGCACCCAGGCCTGTCATGGTCTGTTGTGGGGGGCTGGTGGAGGGGGGGCTGACTCCCAGAGGCCTGAGTGGGGAGGCCAGATCATGGGTAACATCTCTTGTGATGTCACAGGGGACAGGAGAGAGTTAAGGGTGGATCCCATGAGGGCTAACCCAGGCTGACATCACCAGTGAAAGTGAGAGTCACATAGTCAGAGTCTTAGGATTTAGTCAGTACAGCCAGGAAGGGCAACCTGTTTATTTGTTCCTGGAATGTGTTGACCAACGCAAGTTCCCCCAAGTGATCCCTGAGCACCGTCTATGGAAACACAGAGTGGGTGGGCTAGGAAGAAAAGCCAAATTCAACTCAGGTGGGGATGGGCCACAGTGGCTTTGATGTCCTCTATGGGCATTTGGTGCCTCCATGGCCTTGAACTAACCTCTGCCCTTAAGCCTTGTCCCACCTCCTACTCGTCACTGATGCCCTCCGGGCTGGGTGGGTGGGCTGGGAGGGAGAACTACAGCAGGTTACCAGGGCCTCTAGGGCTGGGAGGGACCTGGACTGGTTGGAGAGATTGCCCAAAGCCAAGTCATCTGGGAGAACAATGGGGGCGGGAGCTCTGTGGGATTTTGCCTCTAGAAGCTGACAGAGAAAGACCTGGGGCTAGAGAAGCAGTGGAGCACAGTGGGGCTCTCAGAAGGCACTGCCCCTTGCTGACCACACAGCCTGGGATTCCCCCTTCTGCACACCCCTTTCTCACAGCTGTCACTTGCTGGTGCCAGGTCCTGGGCAATCAGCACCTTACATGAGTCTGTTGACTCAGGAGGGAGAGGTATGAATTCTCCAGCATCTTTGCCCCTGGAGGGTCAGCCCTAGGGTATGACTTACAGTGTCCCTCTGGAAGACAAAGCCAAAGTTCCTTCTATGGAGCTTGGCTGGAAATAGCCTCTTGCTTCTCCTCCTTCTCTTTCTGCTTCTACGTTTCCTATTCCCTTAGCAGGTTTCCCTCAGCAGGGAAGCTTCCTAATGAGTCACTGTCACACGAATCCTTGTCTCAGGGTCTGCTTCTAGGTCTGCTTCAGGTGTCTCAGGTGGGTGCCATCAATGCTTCCATTTCAGAGATGAGGAAACTGAAGCTCAGATCTTTCCTGTGAAAGATCCCCATCTTGCAAGCAGCAGAACATGCACTTGAATTGACGTCTGCCAGGTGCAAAGCCAAGCACTGACCCCTCCCCTCAGGTCCCACCCCTTTGTCCACAGCCATCATCATCTGAGCTGGTTTATACCCCCAAATGCCACTGTCCCTTCCTGGACATCTGGTCATCTAGGCTAACTTTCCTTCTTTCTTCTTCTTTTCCTTTTTTTTTTTTTTTTTTTTTTTAACTGGAAGGAAAGGAGAAGAATGTGCAGATGATCCAAGGGGGATGACTAAGTCTTCAAATTCCTCTGGTTGGCTCAGACCCTGTTTTGGTCAATCCTTGTGAATCAGGGCGGGTCTGACATTCTGGGAATGCAAGGAGACTTCAAATCATCTTCATGAAAACAAGTTGTAAAAATACTGACCGCCACTCCAAGTGGCCAGCTGATAGGCTTGGCTCCATGGAGCAGGGTTGAACAAGTTCACCAGAAGGGAACACACAGCGGGAAAGACTTAGGCTAGACCCAAAGGAAGAACTTCCCTGTAATTGAGAGCTGGGCCCAGAGATGGGGTTGGGTGTGGCCTCTTTGGAAGCAGGCCATCCACGTCCTGACCTTCCTAGGCCTTTCTTGTTTGCAGTGTCTACGAAACAGCTTTGGTGAGCACTGAAGATGCAAAAACCACCAGAGGCCAACCCCGCCCAGCCCTGAGCTTCAACTCCTGACCTGAACCTGGTTTACGAGGATGCTCTGAGCTAGTGGAGCTTCTGCCTCCTGGGATCCTCCCCACACCCCAGGGTGGCTGCTACCACCATACCCTGCAGATATGAAGACTGGCAGAGGTCAGGGCAAGACTGAAGGCTGCCTGCCCAGCACTGCACCTCCTTCACCCTCAGCCCTCCACAGCCATTCCTCCAGAAAGCACCACCCCCTCCAGGCACCCTCCCTGCCCCTGGCAGAGGACTAGGCGGGTGTCTACAGATGACCACTTCACCCTCCCTCCTCCCTCTGGCCTCTCCTCTCTCCTCTTCTGGCTCCTTCCAATCAGCAGTGAGCAGGCCTGGGGCTCATGCAGTTCATCCCCTGCACCCCTTCCCAGCTCTCCTCCCTTTCTCTCCTCCCTTCTCATCCAAACTTCTGAGAGTTGTCTGCACCCATATCTCCACTTCGTCCCACCCACTGCAAAACCCATTACCCTCTGCTGCCACCAAGTTCAACAATGGCTTCTGTGTGGGTAAATCCATGGGGCACTTCTCCATCCTCAGCCACTGATTGCCTGGTTGTTTGTCCCCCTTTCTGGCCCCACCTCACCAGCCCCTTCGCTGGATCCTCTCTGCCCAGGCCTGAATGCTGCTGCTCTCAATCCTAAGCCCCCTTTCCCTCCCTTGCCCATCACATCCTTCTTGGCAGTATCATCCACCCCACGGTTTCAACCACCCATCTCTGGCTGGACCAAGTTCAAGACTCAAGTATCCTGCAACCCTCTGGTCATCTGCACCTGGACATCCCACAGGAAGCTCATACCCACAGTGGCCAAATGGGAACTCCTCTTCCTTTCCACGCATTTCAAGACACCTCCATTCCCTCCAACCTCCAGGCCTGGAAGATGAGAATCACCCTCCCCATCTCCCTTTTCTTCAAACCCGCCAGTGCCATCTGACGCCAAGCCCAGCTCTGTTCTCTATCTCCTTCCTCTCATCCCCCAAACAGCTCTGTAGTCACCACTCAAACTCCTCCTGTAGGAAGCCCTCCCTGACTCTCCAGCAGGCCTGGGCATGCCTTCACCTGTTTTCTTGTGCCCTGTACAGCCATCCATTCAGCAGCCACGCTAGTGTCCAACTGCATAGCTGACTGCCTGGGCTGGCTCTGGAAGGTAGGGGCAGGGTCTGATCTGACCCTGGGTCCCCAACACCGAGGCCAAGTGCAGCATGAGGGGTCCCAAAGAGGTTTCTCAAATCTGGGAACTTGTATTTCTGCTGAGTTTGCCACATTGGTGAGGTCTGGATCTTCCCTCAGACCACAGGCCCCCAGGGGCAAGGGCTATACCCTGGCTCGGCCCCTCCTCGCACTTAGCCCCTTTCAGAGCACCCTAACCTGACTGCCATTTATGACAAGATAACCATGGGGGCCCTGAGAGAGCCTAAGAGGCCCACCTCATACTTGTGCAAACACATGCGAACACACAGAGACATCCAAAAAGACATAGGGCACATATTCACGGACAGACACAGGTGACATGAGTGGGCACACTGGCGCAAGCATACAGGCTCCCAGAAGTACATGGAGCCATACAAAGACAGGTCCACAGGGACACAAACATCCTGGAAACAGGGACTCGGGCCATGGCCTCGCTCAGAGTCACCTGCTCCAGGGGTGAAGCCTTTGGCTGGGCCAGGGCTCCAGGCTGGTGCTCGGGGCTCCAGAGCAGGGGCTCAGGGAGACGTGGCAACAGCCACCTGAACAGTCTGGCCTGTTCCATTTGGACTCTGAGGCTGTGATCAGAGTGGGGAGGGGTGCTGGGAGAGGAGAGGGTGAGAGAGCAGGAGCCGCTCTCCACAGACAGGGCTGGGGGCAGAGGAGGAGGCCACCGGCCCTGCTAGGCTCCTCCAGACCCCTCTGCCAAGGGAGTTACACTTCCACCCTCCCCTACCAAAGAGCCAATCTGAGCAGAGAACAATCATGAAGTTTCTAATTTACTGGAAGAGGAGGGAAAGCAAGCCAGGGTAGGTATGTGTATCACATTCAAAACTGATGTAAATGACCCGCGCCAAACACCTGGGTGTGAGCCCCATCAGTCCTGACCTCTCCCTACACCCCCAAGTCCAGTATCTCCCCAGATCCTGTTGATTTGCCCTCAGAAATGGCTTCCTCATGATGGTACTCAAGCCTCTCATATTGCTGCCTGAGAAACAGAAGGACATCCTGGAACCTACAGGATTAAGTACAAACCCTACACGCAAAACTTTTTTCAACCTGCCCACAACTCACTTTCCAGTCATTTCCTTCCCTCCTCACCTCAGGGCAGCCCTGCCACCTGGAGCTAAGTCCCTGCTCCAGGGACTCCCTTCTCCAGCTCAACACTTTTGCAAAGTTAATTTCTTCTGTGTAGAATGCCTTTCCACTTGCCTCAGTTTGGTGAACTCCTATAGATCCCTCAATACCCAAATGGGAAATGCTGCTATTCAGTGGATTGGCTTCCACAGTGGCAGTCACATCCTAAGGTCAGCACATCACGAATAAGTTGCATATGGTCAAAATCACCCTTGGCTTTATCTAGCTACCATTTATATATGATGCCTAGGCATTGTTCTAGGCATTTCCTGTGTTTACTCATCTAACTCTCACAACTGTAGCAGATGGTATTTCCAAAGACATCTGCAGCAATGTCTCCCATCCTACACCCTCTTCTTACAAAGTGATGCTGACACCAGTCCCATGGAGAGAAGTGGCGTCTCTGTCCCCCCACTTGAATCTGAGAAGGCTTGGGAGTAATGGCTGAGGTGACACTACGGCACTTTCAGGGACAGGTCATTGAGTGTGAAGCAGCTTCTGCCTCCTTCACCAGGACACTCCTACTAGAGCCCTGCACCACCGTGTAGACACTGTGATTGCTCTGAGACTGCCTTGCTGTGGGAAGGCTCAAACAAGCCTGCAGAGAGAGAAAAGAAGGCCTGAGACTACGCAAAGAGTGAGAGAAGCTGGGCAAACCTCCGGGTGCCCCAGCTCCTCCCCACTCTAGACGCCACCTGACAGAAACCAAGTGAGACCCTGACCAAGAGCCACTGGGCTGAGCCCAAGGCTGAGCTCAACTTAAATTCCTGGCCTACAGAAACTGTGAGATAATGATTGTTCTTTTTCTTTTTTTGAGACTGAGTCTCGCTTTATCGCCCAGGCTGGAGTGCAGTGGGACATCTCAGCTCACTGCAACCTCTGCCTCCCGGGTTCAAGTGATTCTCCTGCCTCAGACTCCTGTGTAGCTGGGATTACATGTGTGCACCACCATGCCCAGCTAATTTTTGTATTTTTAATAGAGATGGGGGTTTCATCATGTTGGCCAGGCTGGTCTCGAACTCCTGACCTCAGGTGATCCGCCTGCCTCAGCCTCCCAAAGTGCTGGGATTACAGGCATGAGCCACCACGCCCAGCCATGATTGTTCCTATATAAAGTCACTAAATTTTGGGGTCATTTGTTACGTGACAACAGTAACTGGAACAAATATAAATTATGAACTATCATTCTCCTCACTTCAGAGAAGGATCTGAGGCAGAGAGGCTAAGCAACTTGTTCAAGGTCATAGAGGTAGTAACTGGCAGAACTGGGATTTGAACCCAGGCAGTTTAGCCTCAGAATCCACACTATTCACTGCTATGCCATACTGACTGCCTGCAAGGTCTGATTGGTCTCCCAGCCCACAGCAGGCCTCAGGGAGTGGTTGCTGAATAAATGAGCGAAGGAAGGAATAGGCAAATGAATGAATGAAAGTGAGCAAAAGCAGAGTGAGCTCCCAGGTGCAAGGCAAGGACCTTAGAGAGCCTGCACCATGCAAATGAGTCTGACGTGAGTCTCCTTGTTGCTGAAGCAGCTCCGCTGTCCACAGCCCTGGGGAAAGTCAGGCGATCAGAGGAGACTAGCAGGTGCCATTGGCCTCCACCCACTACAGATGCTCATCTCTTGAGCCTCCTGAGATGTTCATCTCCCAGCCCCCTGCCTCCCCCAGCCCTGAATGCTGCAGGATTAGACATAGGCCCCTGGGGAGCTGATCCCTCCTAAGGACAAGGCTTGCGGATCTCAGGGACTGGAGGGGGAAGGTCCCCAGGCTGGAGAGCCAAGTTTAATCCTGGCATGGCCATTGACTGGCTGGGTGAACTTGAATGAGTCCCTGCCCCTCTCTGTGCACAGGTGCTCTCCAGCTCCAATATTCTGAGATTCACCACATGCTCAGCTGCCCTCATGGATGGGTGCAGGTGAGCTGTGGGTCCTATAGCCATGGGCAAAAGGGACCTGTCCCTAGAGGGAAAGCGGAAAACGAGAATGAATCCCACCTACTACTCACTGCAAGTCTGCTGTACGCCAAGCATTTCAACATGAACAATTTCTACTCCTTGCAGCAATCCCACTGGGCACGGTGGCAGGTGAGGAGGGCCTTAGATTCAGCTAAAGGAGGCTAAAAGCCAGGGTCCAACCCAGGCCCATCCAACTTCAAAACTCCCTACTCTTGTGACAAGAGCCAAGAAGTGGAACAACCCAAGGGTCCATCGACAGGTGAACGGACAGACAGAATGTGGTCTAGCCACACAATGGAGCAGCACTCCGCCTGAACAAAGAAGGGGATCCAGCCACATGCTGCAGCATGGATGAACCATGAGGACACTATGCTAAGTGAAATAAGCCAAATATTGTACACTTCCACTTATATATGGTATCTAAAATAGTCAAACTCAGAAACAGAAAGTGGAATGGTGGGTGCCAGGGGCCAGAGAAAGAGGGAGAAATGGGGAGTAGTTGTGTAATAGGTATAGAGTCTCAGTTTTGCAAGATGAAAAAGCTCTGGAGATCTGTTGCACAAGAATGTGAATATAGTTAACATACGGAACTGTATTTAACATGGTTACGATGGTGCATTTTATGTTTGTTAACTTAAATAATACAATTTTTAAAAATACTCTCACTCGGCCAGGCACAGTGGCTCACGCCTGTAATTCCAGCACTTTGGGAGGCCGAGGCAGGCGGATCATGAGGTCAGGAGTTCGAGACCAGCCCGACCAACTTGGTGAAACCCAGTCTCTATTAAAAATACAAAAATTAGCCGGGTGTGCGCATGCCTGTAATCCCAGCTACTCAGGAAGCTGAGGCAGGAGAACTGCTTGAACCCGGGAGGCAGAGGTTGCAGTGAGCCGAGATCATGCCATTGCACTCCAGCTTGGGTGACAGAGCGAGACTCCATCTCAGAAAAAAAAAAACAACAAAAAAAACCTCTCACTCTTGAGGTAGATAGGGAGATTAGAAAGGGTATTAGGAAGGGGAGTCCAGGAAGGCTTCACAGAAGAGGGGGCATTTGAGCTGGACAGGATTTGGGCAAGCACAGATGGGCCTGGGGCACCACAGATAGAGGCTTGGACCTTTGGCCCCTGCCTCCCTCTCAGGATCCAGCTGCCTCCGGCCCCCAGCCCCACCCCCAGCCCTCCAGATCACCACCTAAAAGCAGTGCCCCAGAGGAGAGCAGGCATTGGCTTGGAAGGAAGAAGGGATTTCCTACTATGTGCTCCCAGGCCCACTCACTGCATGACCTTGGGCCAGTCCTTTTCCTTGTGGGGCCCCTGTTTTCCTGTCTGTACCATCAGAGAATGACCTGCAATTCCTAGGTGTCCTTCCAATTCTCACACTGGGAATAATCTCTGAGTGGGAGGCAGGAGGCACCAGAGACCTGCAGAGAGTGGGGACCAGGACACTCTCTGATCAAAAGACCAGGAATCTGGAGCCACAGCCTCATGATCCTGCCCCAGGCGACCTTTACTCACTTCACAGAAGGGAAATCTGAGACCCAAGTGGATTTGGTTTAATTCAAACTTAACCAACATGTGCCTGCACCTACTATATTTGTGATAGGGCCATAATTCCTCCCTCAGTCCAGAACCGTTTCTCCTATTCCATGCTGCCAAAAGTGGAAAAGACTCTAACATAAGGTAAAGCATGAATCACTGCAGTCAGAGAGACAAAATCCTCCATGCCTAGGTTTCTCTCCAAGAATTCTGACTCTTGCCTCTTTCCCCTGGCTCTCAGGAACCCCTAGTTTCTCCCTCAGAAGGAATGGGGCGGGGCAGTCCTTGGTTCCAATATCAGCTCCGCCAAGTACCAGCTGGGCCTCTGTGTCCTCATCTGCATCATGGGGATAAGGACCCTTCCCAGAGCCCCTTGGGAGGGTCAGATATGGCAAGAGCACAAAATGCTGAGCCAAGGGCTTGGCACACAGTAGGCACTCAATAAAAGGTTGCCATCATCCGTTCTCTCCTTTCCAGACAAAGACGTTTTCATCGATCTGTTTGTTCCTCTCAGGGACGCTTTGTTTGTTTGGGCTCTTCCCAGAAGACACTCCCCCCAGGAACACTGGGTGATGCTCCCCAGCCAGCCCCAGGGAGGAAGAAGGAGGAGGGATGAACTTACTTGATAGGAAAAGGAAAATTCATCATCAGGTAAACACAAGAGAGCAACCCCGGGGAAGTCCAGTGGCTGCCCCTCCACCTAGGAGGACCCAGGGTAGCCTCTTAATAAGCTCCCTAGGGCCTGGCTGGGAGGCCTGATATGATCCGGCTGCTACTTAAATCGCACAAAGCCTTCTATTCTTAGCTGAGCAGAGGCCTGGTTCCATCCCAGCTGTCCATTAGCACTAACCAGCCCCAGGCACACCATCACAGCGGCCAGTCAAGACCACAAGGTAGGGTGGGGGCAGCCCTGTGATCTGACCGAAGTCTGAGACCTACCTGAGGGGGCTACAGATGACTCCCCAGTTGCCAGAGTGTTCACGGAGCCTGCAGAGGGGCTGCCTGGGCTGGATGAAGGTTTGGATTGTGACCCCTTAGGCCTCCTCCAAGTCTGGATTTCATATCACCGAGATTCTATGGTTCCATGATCCAGTGCTTCCAAGATTTGGGAACTGAAAGAGTCCACGGTTCTAAGGACCAAGGTTCCAAGATGCCAACAAAGACGGAATGCTGGGCTCTAGAGTGTGCACCCTGCCCCTGCCCCCCTCCCCTTCTCTGTCCAACCCTTAAGTGGCAGAGGATGGCCAGCTCTATCCCAATCCTGTGGTCCCCAGGCAGGGGAGTAGCACAGACAGCATGGTGGACTCGGCACTGAGGTCAGCAACACTTGTTTTACGCCACCCCTAATCCACTGGCGCAAGACTCCCTGGGGAACTTCTGGGCACTGCAGGACAAACAGGGAAAGAAAGAGGAGAAGGGCCAAAGCTGCCCTGGGGCCCACCAATGCCAGACGCTGCTGGGCAGGATGTTCAGTGTCTGCTCTGTGCCAGCAGGGCCAGCATACCCCTGTCAGGCGGACATGGGGAGGCTGGGTGGGCTACCCAAGGTCACAGGCCAGAAAGTGCAGCAGCTGGGCCAAGAACCCCAGGCTGGGCTGGCTTCAGAGATCACTGCTCCCCTCACCCTGCTTTGCTGTAGGCCACAGCTTCCTGGGACCACTTCTTCCAACATCCTCATTTAGAGGGGAAAACTGAGGCCCAGAGGGAGAAAGGGCCTATGATCAAGGTCACATAGAGAACTGGTGGCAGAGCCAGGCAGAATCTTTCCCAGGCTGGGGGGCACTGGCTGCCTCCAAGCCCCACTGGGTCACAGCCACTGAGCCTTCTCTACATTCCTCCTTTAAAGCCCAGACCGGGGTTCTTAAGGCAGGGCTGTCTCCTGTTCCCTTAGTCCCCAACACAGTGGTTGCCCCACGAGGCCATCTGAGTGACAAGCCAAGAATCAGAGGATAGGACAGTGGGTCAATGCTTCACACCCAAGGCTGGCCAGTGGAGCACACACATGGTCTGGAGAGAGCTGACCCTGTCAGATGCTGGGGACACTCACAGGGACACTTGTCAGGAACACTCAGAGGCTAATTAAGCAGCTGTCCCATTAAGGAAAGCAAATCAGGCTCTACACACGCATTGACCATCACAGAGCCTGCCAGTCATCAGGACAGGACACCCAGCCTCAGCTGCCTGAGCCCTTGACCCGCACTCTGGGCCATCATCCCCCAACACCCACCCCCAGCACCCACTATCTATCAGTTGCTTTTTTTTTTTCCACAGTAGGATTTTATAGATTATTTCTCATCTGAAGCTCACAATGAGCCTGAGAATTAGGTACTTGTTCCCTCCATTTTATAGGACAGGGAGGACAAGGGACTCGCCCACGTCACCTGGCTAATATGACAGAGTCAGGACTCACACCCAGTGGCTTTACATGGTCCCAGGGGAAAGGTCAACAAATACCTGGGTAATTTTGAAGTCCTTTTCGTGGAGTCACAAGGTACAAAAACGTGTCTAAGCTGCACTGATCATTTTGAGGAAGTTGACAAGAATTTCCTCTCTCCTGTTTACAGAGACCACAGATCAAGTATCTAAAAACATCCAATTTCTTTGCTCTGGCCTAGCATTAGATCTGCCTTGCAAATCGGTGGCCTGCCATGTATCCGGTGCCTTCCTGGGTGTGCCACCCACTGGGTTGATTTGATCTCACACCAGCCTTGTGACGTTGGCCTTATCATCAGCATCTTAAAATGAGGCCAGCTAAGGCTCAGAGAGCCCCAGGCACAAATTCAAGGTTGCACAGGCACACGGATGGAGCCAGGACAGGAAGCCAGGTGTGTTCCTGCTTGGTCTTTTTAAGACAGGGGGAGAGTTGGAGGAGGGGTAAATTGACGTTTGTTCACTGGGATCTTATAAAAATAATCTGCTTAGGTTTACATCAATATCCCACTATATCTTTCTCCCTGCCTGCCACTCTGCCTCCCCCACTGTGGCCCCCATGCCAATCTAAGCGGAGGGAGGATCTGTGATGCCTCTGGGTGCCAGCCTCACCAGCTGTCTGCCCCTACTCCCCCCACATAGGGCCAGGACCATCTGGAGCTGCTCAGGAACAAGGGCACTGAGAGGGACCCCCAGAATTCCAGGCGAAGGGGTGCTGGGCACAACCTAGCCTTGTCCCTCCAGCACCTACCCTGGGCAGGTGGCTTTGGCTCAGCATGCTGTGACAGGCTGCAGGCCTCCCAGAGGGGGTACCTGAGGCCCTGCTGAAATAAAGCAGTGTCCACATTGAAGATCTTGGTCATCCCGACTGACAGCTCCTGGCATGAACAGGGAAGTGGAAGGGATGTGGAGTGACTGTCTTTTTCTGCCCCTCAAGCCCTATGCCCACCAGCCACCCAGGGATGCAGGACACAGAGAGGCTCCTGTATGTGGGCAGGTCATGTTAGACCCAGACTGTAAACAGGACAGACAAGTTGGGTGTGGGGGGTGTTCTTGACATGTGCTCCCAGCCTTCCTCAGAGGCCGAGACCCCTGGGTTGCAGCCAGGGAAGGGGCGGTATCTGGTCCCTGGGCCCAGCAGATAGGAAGGACAGCACCATCTTTCTTTCTGTTCAAACACAGACAGGGCTGCAGACACACAGTTCTGGCCTGTGTGTGCGACTTGTACATAATTCAGAGGCTCCTATTGCTCTGGCCTGGATAAAATGTACCAGCAGGGGCAGCTTGCACAGAGAACAGTGAGCTGATGCCAGGGAGCACTTCCTGAAAAGAGGTGAGTGGCCCAGAGGCTTGGGGGATTAATATAAATTGGACAAATGAATATTGTTAATGCCAAGAACTGTTTACTTGTTTGTGGAGTAAGTCAGTTTATAATCCATGTTCAAACTTTATCTCGTTGAACCTTCATAAAAGTCCAGTGTGGAAGTTACTATTAACAGACAAGAAGGCGGAGGCTCAGAGGCTGAGTCACTTGCCCATTTTCTTTTTCTTTTTTGAGATGGAGTCTTGCTCTGTTGCCCAGGCTGGAGTGCAGTGGCACGATCTCAGCTCACTGCAATCTCCGCCTCCTGGGTTCCAGCGATTCTCCTGCCTCAGCCTCCCGAGGAGCTGGGATTACAGGCACGCACCACCAAGCCCGGCTAATTTTTGTATTTTTAGTAGAGACAGGGTTTCACCATGTTGGCCAGGCTGGTCTCGAACTCCTGACCTCAAGTGATCTGCCCGCCTCGGCCTCCCAAAGTGTTGGGATTATAGGCATGAGCTACCACACCTGGCTGCCCATTTTCACATAGATGGAAGCAGAGCTCCCTCCCCGTGCTAAGCTGCAGCATGCGCTCAATGCCACTGCCACTCCCAGTCACGGGACACCAAGGAATGTCCTTCTGGGCTCAGGGGGCCAACTGCTGAAGGGAGAAAGCACGAGGGGCAAAGTTCCCTGGCAGCGGGAGGGCTGTCCCCCACTCAGGGCACCATGGCCCCAGCCCTGCTGGGGCAACCCAGAGAACCCTGAGGCAGGAGACAGGGAGAGTGGTGAGGCCTTCCCCTGCACAAGCATCCAGAACTCCTGAGAGCTCTTCAGAGTAGGAAGGGAGGTGCCAGGTGACCTCGCCTGACCACAAATGTGAGGAACCCGAGGCCTACAGAGGAAGAGTCCAGCCAGTCCACAAACACCCACTGGGCACCAGCCAGGTGCTGGGGACACTGGGATGAATGTGACCAGCTCTGAAGAGGCTCCTCATCAGGTAAGCACCCACTTGGCTGGAGCTCAGACCCTCAAAATCTGCCCCAGAAACTTCTCCAGCCCCGTCTGACCTCCTTTTCCTCCCTCTGCTCCCACATCCACAGGCTCCTTACAGGGTCCTCATGACACAGTGTCATGTGCTGCCTCCTTTCACCTCTGCTCCAGCTGTTGGAAGAATGCCCTTCCCAGCCACCTGGAGCCCATCCACCCCCACTCCCCCATCTCTTCTTCGCAGAGCCTCACTTAAGTGCCCCCCAACCCCAAGCTGAGACTGATGGACCCCAGGAGGAAGCTCGCTCCCTTCTCCCCCTCCCCCCTCCTCCTCCTCCGGGCCTCCCCATGCTCTTGACCTCCCTTGCAACATCTGTGCACTCTGCCCAGGGTAATGGGTCCTGGAATTGCCTCACTCTCTGCCCCTCAGGACCTGGGACTAAGAAGGTACAGCTCCGCTGAATTGAGTAAATGTGTCACCCACCCAAAGCAACGACCCAGAGCAATTAACAGATCACTTCTTCCTTTTAAGGCATGTATTTAAGGCTTGTCTTTCTTTGAAAACCCTCGGAGGAAAGAGATGCAGCACTGTGGGGGAAAAATGAAATGGAAGAGACTTAGATTGTCTTGGCATTTCCAAGTGCTGGCTCTGTTCCTGGCACACAGTAGATGTCTGAGATATGTTCTTTTGGTGGATGAAAGAATAAAAATATCTCCACGGCCACTTGCCCCTGCTGCCTGAAGTTCCACCATTATCACTGAATCTTTTCTGGGGCTAAAGAGTATTCCCTGTGATGCTCTCTCAAAATGCAGTCCTGGGCCAGGAAACTAGCTCTGGCTGGGGGTTTCCTTGCACAAAACAGCAAGGTCAGGGTTTGCCCATGAGATCTTCTCACTGCATTCTCAAGACGGTGTGTCCAGACCCTGCTCTTTGACCAAGGAGTTGCATGTTCAAATAAGCTTAGGAAAGGCTGGCTGCACACTCTGCCACCCATTGGGGTCCCTAATTCGTATTAATACATTAAAGACCCTGAGAAGGCCTGTTTGGATTTATGTGACCTAGCGTTTCCCAAATCTGTATGCTCATGCATCCTTGAATCCATTCCCATGCCACGGGACTAGGGCTCCTCAGGGGACAGTTTGGGGAGTGTGGACTAGATAGTGCGCCTGGGTCCAGGCGGGACAAGGTCTGCAGGTTGAAGGGTGTCTGTGGCTGCCACCCAGCCAGGGCCATGCTTCCCTGCACTGACCATTTGACAGAGGCAAAAAGTCCAACCTCAGCCACCACCACCAATAGCTCATGACAGAGACAGATAATGAACATGGCATCAGACAGCCTCCAAACGTAGCGCAAAGGAGGGAGAAGGTAACAGAGTGGGCCAGAGACCTGAGTGAGTTCCAACTGTGACTTTGTGCTCACTGCTGGCCATTGGGCGGGGGGACCCCATCCTGCTAAGCTTTGTTTTCATCATCTGCAAAATGGGGATAATGCTATTCTCAGGGCTGTTGTGAAGATTGAGGTAATGCAAGCAGAGGCAGATTACAAACTGTCAAGTCCTGTGCCAGCATTTGCTGTGTGCATCATTATTTTACTGCATGCATGGCCAGGAGGGTGTGGTAATGTCTTGATTGATCACAAGCCACTGCAGAGGTCCTCAATCAGGACAGATGGATGGATGGATACATGGATGCATGGAAGAATGCACAGACAGAATCCCCAGTGTGACACAGGCTCACCAATGGCTGACTGGTTGAATAGGTATGAATGAATACACGAACCAATTCTAGTAAGGTCAATTGTTCCATTTCTTAGTCCCTAACTGGTAGAAGCATGAAATTGGGAAGGACACACACACACACACACACACACACACACACACACACACACACGAGGGGAGAGGAAAGAGATGCAGCGCTCTGGAGGCAAGTCTGTGGGCAGCAGAATAAAGGAACCGACAGGGTGGGAAGAGCCAGAAACCAGAGTTGAACACATGCAGCAGCCCAGGGTCATCTGGCACAGGGGTCAAGCCGCGTCGGCATTCTCAGCAAGGCAGGCGGGGTTCCTAAGGCCTGTCCCTCAACCCGTCCATGTTGCCATTGTTCAGAGGAAGAAAGTGATCAATCTCTTTTGCAAAGGTTTCCAACCAAAACTGTTAGAGTTGTTTTTAATGGGATAGAGAGCAGAAAGAAGTCTTTAGAGCTGGGTGTGGTGGCTCACTCCTGTAATCCCAGCACTTTGGGAGGCCGAGGCAGGTGGATCACCTGAGGTCAGGAGTTCCAGACCAGACTGACCAACATGATGAAACCCTGTCTCTACTAAAAATACAAAATTAGCTGGGCGTGGTGGCGGGCACCTGTAATCCCAGCTATGTGGGAGGCCGAGGCAGGAGAATCACTTGAACCTGGGAGGCAGAGGTTGCAGCCTGGGCAACAAGAGCGAAACTCTGTCTCAAAAAAGAAAGAAAGAAAGAAGTCTTTAGGGCAAGACACAGGCCTTAGCTGCTTCTTCTGGAAAAATGTTTCTTACAGTTTATATGAATTCATCAACACATCTATGCACAGGACATACTGTGTACCAGGCAAGTGCTGTTGGGCACTGGGGACACAATGCCACGTCTAGACAGCATCACACGTGGAGGGTTCTGGATAAATGAGGTATCGGGTCACTTGAGGATGGAGAGGGAGGTTTTATAGAAAAAATTCACAGACAAGAAGTCTGGAGGACCAATTTAAATCATTACATGACCTCAGACAAGTCACCTTCCTTCTCTCAGCCTCCATCTTCCCTTCTATAAAGTGGGTCTGATAAAAATCATGAAAACTATTACATGGCACCAGACACTGACCCAGCAGTTACAGATGTTCTCTTAAGGCACACAGCCAGCAAGGCAGGTGTTGCTAACAATTTGTTGTGGAGTAAATTGTCCCTTTCACAGATGAGCAAACTGAGACTTGGCTGGTTACCAACTTGCCTGAGGTCAGAGAGCCGGTGGGAGTCAGGGTGTAAGCTCCGGTGTGTCTGATTCCAGAGCCCACACTCTCCTGCCCTCCCAAACAAGTCCCACACTTCCTCCTCACAGACTGCTGTGAGGATGCAATGACATCACAGATATCAGAGCGCTTCGTAAAGTTAAACTGTCATGTGTCCAAAGTCAACAAAAAGTCAGTCTTGACTCTCCGTGAAACTAAACACTGAAGTTTACAGGGGCACTCAGAACTAGTCACAGCCTAGAACTCCTGGGTTCCTCGCTCTCAACCTCTGGCATTCCTCGGCTAACTTCCTCCCAGGGAAAGGGACCCAGCAATCCCAGGAGCCCCAGATGACCCCTCAAGGCCCACAGAGCAGGGTTCCCCTGGCACCCATAGGGCCTCCTCCTAGACCAGGAGACCACCTGGCTAGTAGCCTCCTGACTCTCCTGTGCTCCACTCCTGCTGAGGACCTAGAGGGCACGGCCTGGCCCAGGTGCCATGGGAGCTGCCGCAGGGACCCTCACCACTTCCCACCGACAGGCTGTGGGACCTCAAGCCAGTCACCTCACCTGCCTGAGCCCGAGGTTTCTCACCTGCAAAATGAGGGATGAAAGCGGATCTCATGTGGGAAAGGAGCCACTCCAAGGAGAGACTCAAACATGACTGCCCTTGAGCTGGGTGAGTTCAGCTGAGTGGGTAGGAAGGGGAGCACCAGGCTCTGTTTTGAGGAGGGAGGCAAAACCCTACCTACCAGGAATCACCCATCTAACCTTGAATTCTCGGCCTGCCCTTGGCAGTCCTGGTCTGAGAGATGGACTCAGCTGCTACCACTGCCAGCCACCAGCAGGACCCTATCTGCTGTCTTCCCAGGTTGGCTAGGGTCCCAGAGGGGGAGAAGCAGGAGAAGGGTCTTCAGTCAGAACTACATATGTCTTCACTGGAGGGACCTGGGCCCTAGAGCACAGACATCCTTGCAGGCCCACGGTGGCCCGAAATGGTTGCTAACTGGCCTTGGGCCACACAGTGAGACGGAGGTGCCAGGACCCAGGCCTTTAGGCCCAGCCCAGGGCTCTCTGCACGGGCCCAAAGTCACCCCTTTTGGAGCATGCATTAAGCACAGAGAGGAAGAACAGTGTGAAGAGTTAGGATGATGCACCCCCTATCCTGCCATGGTCAAGAGGCTCTGGCCATTGACAGTTGAACCCCCAAGCTCCAAGGTGAAAATCAACACCTGGTCACCCAGTTCTCTGCTTCACTCACTGCAGGCACTGACAGGGCACATCTGGACAGAGGAGGGGCTCAGTCTGCCTCTGCAGAGTCCCCAGCAAGAGGAAGAAGGCTCCAATTGCAGCAGAGTGGACTTCAATTAGTCTCAAGAAAGAACTTCCTGCAGAGGCATTAAGCATGAACAGCATACAGAGAAGGGGGGCATGATGAGGGCAACTGTAGCATCTCCTCTGAAATACAGGATGCTGTCTCATTCATTATGTCATTTTACTTTCAAACCAGCCTGGAAGGTAAGTGTTGCTGCTCTAATTTTATAGGTGAGCAACTGAGGCTCAGAGAGGCTAAGTGACTTGCCCATGTCTTCTAAGTTCCACTCAAGAGAGGCAGAGCCAGGATTCCAAGCCAGAATTCTGACTCCGAGGCCCACATACCTCCCTTCTCAGGAAGTCTCTGAGGATCCAGGTGTTACCACACCTGCCATGGGCATCTCACTGTGTCACCTCAGATGCCTAGGTGTGAGCTGGTGGAGATGCCAGGGGCATTCCTTTCAGGAAGGAGAGGGAGTGCTCGCTGGCAGCCAGCTGTAAAGGGCTCTGTGTCCTAGACCTGCCGGCTGTGCCCCTGCAGACAACACCCCGTGGGGGCCTCCCACATGGTTTCCATGCAAAGTGTCATATCTTCTGTCCTCTCCCTGACCATGCCTCCTCTTGGGCAAGGCTCAGTCTCTGGCACCATTATGCCTCCTGCTCCCTGCCTGGCAAGAACCACACCCCCCACCTAACTCCACACCCAGACTCCCCATCACAAGGCCTGGCAGCATTTGGTGGCACTTGCTGCACGGCCTGTCCCAGGCCTGCCCAGCCCCACGCTCCTCTTACCTGACATTCATAGGCTCCTGGGAGACCCTCTGAACTCAGAGTGGCATGGCTCTTAACACCCTGGACATGAGGAACATGTTCTGGGTCCAGGGCTATCCCCAGAACTGTGGCAATGACTGCCCAGCTCTAAGGAAGGTGTGTGAAGTGGCCACATCATGGCCAGCTCTGGGATGGGCAAGTCGCAGCAGGGCTGGGGCCGCTGCTCTGTGCACCTGAACTCGCCTGACACTAGCCTACCTGTGACTTCTGCTCCACTCCAGAGGTTCCCCTGTCCCTGGCAGGGTCACCCCAGAAGCCATCTATAGCTTACTTTGGTGGAGGAGGCAGAGAGGGAGAGATGGGTACCTCCAAAACTCCTCTCGCCGAGGTGTCTGTGGCAGCTCGGCTGCTGATTCATCTTTGGGGTAAGGGCTGAGAGCCCCTTCATTAAGGGGTATGGTAAAAACAGATGATCTTTAAACTGTGTCCTAAGGACAGTGTATTCAGTGGACTCCCGGGCTTTTGATGGACAGAGTGAGGAAGTGTCTTTGGTTTGCTTCTCCAGAGCCACTCTCTACCTTGTTTGGGGCCCTGGGAACTGACCTCTGTGGAATGTAATGGGCTCCATGCTGCTGGCTTTCAGAGAGGTACACCCAACAGGAAGCATAAATGGGGGACTGAAGGAAAGAGGAAAGATAGTTGAAGTTTATCCCCTGTGAGGTCTCCTGGGTTGACTGGGTCCCTGTACTGATGGCCCACAGCCCCTATCCCTATAGCTGCCCACTTCCCTTGCTCCTTCAGCCCTGAGTGGTAACTGCTCCCAGCCACTGCTAGTCCCTCGGTGCTGCACTATCCCGTGTTGATTTGTCACACGCCTAATGCCTGAGCCAGTCACTCTGGGTTGATGTACCCTCTCTGGCTGTGCCCAGGCAAGGAGACCAAGCACTGCCACTGATGGCCCCTTTTGTAGTCTTCCTCTGTCCAGTCCTCAGAGCCTCCTCTGGTCTTAAAGAAGAGCAGTTTGAAGGGATGCCCATGATTACATGTGCAGGCCTCCTCTGTCCTCTGTCTCAGCCTGGGCCTGGTGGGGCAAGGGGAGCAGACTGGGAGACAGGGAGCGTGGACCAGCCAGTGAAGGAAGGGGCAGGAGGCAGGGGTCAGCTCCCCAGCAAGTGCATGCACCAACAGCTCTTGAGTGCTTAGTTTACGGTAGGCACTGTGCTCCACATACCAGTAATTTTATTTGCTTCTCAGGTAATCCCAGGAAGTCCTTCCTACAAATGCATTTTATAGGAGAAACAACTCGTGCTCAAAGAGATAAAATGATTCTTCCAGGGTCATCCTGCCAGTAAGTGACAAAGCCAGGATCAACATAAGTTTTCTGTCTTCTGTATGGTAGACACGTTGGACAGTGATACCTGGACTTGAGCAAGCCCTGAGAATGACCTTGTATGGCAGGCGCACCTCAATGCAGTTTGGTTCTAAGCTAAGGAATCTGGGAGTAGCCAACCCGGAGATCCACTCCTTATCTATGAGGAACATCTGAGCTCTTGGCCCATCCTATGGAACTTGCGGGCCAAACAGAGGATTGAGGTCTGTGGTTTGGGGTAAATGGAGGTTGCTAGGTGGAAGTTGTTGGGGGAGGTGCTAAGTGAAAATGCTATAGAAATTGCAAGCTTTTAGGCTGGGGGGCGGTAGCTCACAGCTATAATCCCAGCACTTTGGGAGGCTGAGGCAGGCGGATCACCTGAAGTCAGGAGTTTGAGACCAGCCTAACCAACATAGCGAAACTCCATCTCTACTAAAAATACAAAATTAGCTGCGTGTGGTGGCACTTGCCTGTAATCCCAGCTACTTGGGAGGCTGAGGCAGGAGAATCGCTTGAACCTGGGAGGCGGAGGCTGCAGTGAGTGAAGATCGCGCCATTGCACTCCAGCCTGGGCAATAAGAACGAAACTCTGTCTCAAAAAAAAAAACCAAAACCAAAACCAAAAACAAAAAAACTGCACACTTCCTGCGAGTGGTTGTGGTTCTTCGGTCCAGCCAGCAGCCACTGGACTCTCTCCCCTGTGTGTGAGCCCGTAGTAAAACCCCATGGCTCATTCGCTGGCTCTGGGTCTCCTCTTTGGCCTCTTGAGCCTGGTGCCATCCTCACTGGCACTGATAGGGGTTTAGCTCAACACCTAGTAACTACCTTGAAATAATTTTAGTGAACTGGCTCACAATCACAGCAGAGTTGGATGACTTAAGTGGGGTCAATTATCGGTGAGGATTTGCACAGAGGCCTCCAATGTTCCCTGGACACCCTCCCCTAGATTAAAAAAAAAAATCCTCTGACATTCTTCAGTTCTCCCAGGTGGGACAGGGGCCCCAAGCAGGTGGTGCAGTTGGGTGTCCGGGTTGGAAAAACAAGCAGATTCAGACAAGGCTTCATTGTTAAGGAGAGTCTGACACTTTGACCATTAAAGCAAAACTGAGCAAAACAAAATGCTTACTGCCTTGTCTTATCTCTTAGAGAGAAAGGGGACAGTGGGAAGGGCCCCCGGGCTGGGTGTTGATCCCACCCTAACCAGCGCCAGTCTCAGAGACCTGGCCTCAGGTGGCTGGGGCAGGGAGTTCAGGGTCTCAGTCCAGCCCGGCGTCAGGTATGGGGTGGGTGCTTGCCATGTGTGGCCTCGTCTGGCCTCTGTGGCCCTTTCAGAGAGATCGTTATTGTCATTTTTCAGATGAGGAAACTGAGGCTCCGAGAAGACACGCAGGGAGCAGCTGCATGCTGGAACCCAGGTTAACTGGATTACCAAGTCTTCCCACTCCCCTCATCTCTCCAGGCAGGAAGGTCCTGGGGGGAGGAAGCAGCCTCGGAAGGAATGAGCTCCTTGTCCTGGGGATGTGCAAGTATTGTCTTGGGACACTGTGGGAGGTAGGCTGCAGAGGGCAGCCAGGTGGCTCTCAAACTGAAATCACCAGGGGAGCTTCATCAACTACTGATGCCTGGGTCATGCCCCAGAGATTGTGGGGCCTGCAGGACTTTTAAAAGTTTCCCAGATGATTCTAATGTGAAACAAAGTTTGAAAGCCATGGGCTTGGATGCCCACTGCTGCCCTTCCCACCTCTGAAACTCTCCTGCCACACGCCTTTCTAAGGAAAGAAGGGATTTATTACCCTGACCCCATTTTACAAAATGGGCAGAAGCCAAGCAAAATATAAGGGTGTCCTCAAGGCCCCACAGCCAGCAACAAATCGAGGCAGCATGAGGGGTCCCCTGATTTCAGACTGCCCCTGGGGTGAGCTTCTTTAAGACACTTGGGGGTTCCAGCTCCCTTGTCAGTGGGAGAGAAGTTTCTCTTTGAGCCTCCTGGGTGAGAGAGTGAGACATTCTTCGTGGCATTTTTTTTAAAGAGTCCACTCGTTCAAAAGCTAAACAGCTGCAGGATTAACGCTGGAAGACCCCCTCTGCTTGCTGGTGTGCCTTGGGAGCAAGAAGATAAAAGAACTCAAAGCAGGCCTGTTTATCCTTTTCTGCAGGAGATTTGGTCACAAGCCTGGGAAGAGCTGAGCCTGTCAGACCAGCAGCCCACACTTCCTCCCCACCTGCCTTTCCGCCTTCCTCATGCCCTGAAAGCAGAATGTCACAGATGGAGAGATGGTGTGGGTTGGTGGGAAGTGAGAGGCCTGTGGAGTCCACTGGTCCTGGGGTCTGCCCAAGCTCTCCTCCTTGCCAGCTACCTTTGGAGAGGAGCTACTCCTCTCTCAGCTCATTCAGTGCTGATCTCACAGAGGTCCAAAGTCAGCAACATGGGCACCACCTCCAGGAAGGCTTCCCTGACTCCCCTCCCCACCCAGCGCCGGGCAACCCCAGGCCCCTGGCCTTCCCTGTCACATTCTGTGTTGTCACTGCTTCTGTGTCCTCCCAACCCTACCAGGCTGTTCATTCATTCATTCCACGGAGCAGCTGCCCTTTGCCTGGGATTCATTCCAAACGCCTTTCCTGAGCACCTGTTTTCTCTAAGATCCTCTGTGAGGTGCTGGAGATACAGATCATAACAGCTAACCTGCACTGAGTGCTCATTATGTGCTGGGCATTTTTTTGAGTGCTTTACACGTATAATTCATTTCACCCTCACAACTCTATGATGAAGATGCTGTAATTATCCCCATTTTACATATGGGGAAACTAAAGCCCAAAGAGGTTAAATCACTTGCCCAAGTCATTTAGCCCTACCCTGTGCCACCAGCCACAGATACTGATGGGACCGGCCCCTGCCTCAGGAGCCTGCTTCTCACAATTTGGAAGTTTTGCATCTGTGTGTTTCCTTGTCTAATGCTGTTTCCCCCACAGACCAGAATCTCCAACCATGTTACATTTCGGTTGGATGTGTGTGTGAGCAGCACCAAATAAATGCTGCTTCCCTTTAAGGAAGAACTCACACTCTCTGCCCAGCATCTGCTAGCTGGACGCCAGACGGCTTCTCCCACCTGGGTCATTTCTTCTGCGTAGGCCTGAGAAGAAAACCCAAGTCCCCAGATATCCCAGTCCTGCTCCCTCCCCTGAACCTAGCTCGGGACCCTTCCAGGCCAACAGCACCTGCTTACACACCACTGTTCACAGGGAAGGTGGTGGGAACTGTGAATCTGCAAACCCCAGCTAAGTCCCCCTAAGGGAAGGCCTCCCTGCCATCTGGCACGCCCTCCCTCCAGCCATCACTCACTGGACTCTTCCATCAGCTTCTTACTGAGTTGCTCGTTCACGAAGCCATCGAGGGGATGGGCAAGAAGACTCATGCTGATGGAGTACCCACCTGTGTGCCAGGCCTGGACAGGCACCCCACTTCCTTCATCTCATTTAATAACAGTTATTATCAGCCCCAATGTACAGGGAAAAAACAGAGGTGCAAAAGTTGAGCAAGTTGTCCATGGGGCAGCTTGCACTGCCTCCCCTGGCCCGGAGGGTGTGGCTCTGTGCCAGGCACACTGCTAGGCACTCAGAGGGAGGGGAGGATTCGGTGGGGGCACATAGAATCTAGTTTTGACAAGCCAGCAAGGGAAGCAGACCAAGCAGAACCCCAATCCACAGACCACAGTCAGTGTGCAGAGGGCCATGAATCAGCAGCAGAGGAGGCTTGGATCCCACCTGCATGGGAGGAGTACTGGAAGCTTATAGCAGGCAGCATCTTTGGACCTGGTTGAACTCCTTACTGCTCTTTCCCATGGTCACAGCAGGAGAAAGGGTAAGCCTTGGCCTACAAAGCTCTGGTGCCCAGTGTGTGTTTGCCACCACCCCAAAGGGGGCAAAGGGAGGAGAAGCTGGCTGCCCTGCCAGTGACCCCGCTGTGGCCCGGCCAGCCTGCCTCCAGTCCCGCCAACTTGGCCTGGCCTGGCCCAGCCAGTTCCCAATCACAGGGTCTCCTCTGCCAGCTAATGACCATGCTGCCTGCAGCTCAGGCCACCACCCTCCTTTGGGCGAGGCAGCTACCCACACAGCCTGCTGGCCCAGACAGTGGCCAGGCCAAAAATCACAGCTGCCCGTCATACCACATCCTCTGGCCCTGGTGCTGTGGTCTCCTCCTCCTCCCTCCAGGGTCACGAAAGACGATGTAGAAAGCTGGAGCTACAGGGGAGCTCAGAACCCACCCTGCTCCCCATAGACATGGACACACGGGACCCCAGAGAGGGGCCGACTCACCCCAGGTCACACAGACAACCAGCCAGCCTGTGCACGGCCTAGGGCCCAGGTCCTTCCTGGGCCCCATGCTCAGTCCAACACTGCCCTTCCTTAGCCTTGAGAAAAAACCTTGTCCAGGCTTTTTACACACAAAGTATGCTTTCAAGGTACTTGGGTGGAGGTGAGGAGACAGGACATCTTCTAAGCACAGATTTACAATTCAAACAGATGCAGCTTGGCTCCCTGCTCCCTACCTTTGAGCTGTGTGACCTCGGGCAAGATCAGGTACCTCTCTGAGCCCCAGTTTCTAGGGGATAACAGTAGCTACCTCAGGGAGTTTGTGTGAACAAGAGTGTCTATAAAACATTTAGCACATTGTCTGGCTCATAGTAAGTACTCAAGATATCAGCTGTTGTTGATATCATCACTGTAGTATTGTGTGGATACATTTTACAAACTGCAAAATGTTATGGATAGTAGGTATTATTTTTTACTATTACTGCTGAATGTTAAAGATTCAGAGGGGGCATGACCAGAGGGTTGGGTAATCCAGGAATGTTTCTGAGGGAATTTATGACCTCAGTCAGGTCTTGACAGGTGGGGAGGTAAGTGGAGCAGAGGCAGGGATGGCGGTTCTGATGGGAGGAACCACAAACAAAGGGGCTGTGATGGGGCCACATGTGGTGTGTTTAGGAGACAGTGCAGAGCAATGAGCCAGAAGGCCGGGCAGAGGCTAAGGTGACCAAGGACCTGAATGCCATAACTAGGGCCTGGTCTTCATCTTACAGGCCGTAAGGAGCCACAGAGGCTTCTAAATGGGGGCTCCATTAAGCTTTCTGAAATGTGAGTTCTGTCTAACATTCAAGGCCCTCTCCTATATGGGCATTCACCCCTCACTAACCCCACCAAGCCATCCTCCTCGCCCCAAGTTCTCCCTACCTCTCGGCTTACCACGCTATCCCACCTGCCCCGCCACTAGCCCACTAGCTCACACTCATGATGAGGCACCCCCTTGTTGAGTGCCTAAAGTGCCGTGTGTTTCACACATGGGACCTCAAGATGATCCTTAACAGCCTTGAGAAGTGGACATCACAACCGTCATTTCACAAAGGGGGAAATGGAGGCCTGATGGGATCATGTGTCTTTCCCATGCTCTCAGTGAGGCGGTGGCACAGCCAGGATTCCTTCTTGGAGGGATGTCAGGACCCCCCGTCTTTGCAGCAAGTTTCCTCTAGCTCCTGCCCAGACAGCCACCTCCCTGACAAAGCCTTCCTGGTTACTCCAGTCCTCAAGGGCCTCCCCTCCACCCCTTTCTGCCCTGTACCCTCCCCCTTACTCCTCCCCGTCACCACCTCTCTGGAATCAGAGGCCCACTTGATCCTAGCTCAGCTAGCTTGGTTCCCAGTGTTGCCTGTGGGACCATCTGGCCCCCAACAGAAGAGACAGGACATCATCAACCCCAGCTCTCTCCTGTTGGGGGCCAGATGACACTTTCTCCCTGTCCTATCCTGCCTGCCCCCCCATATCCAAGACTGCTAACAGCACAGACAGGAGCCCCCACCTCCTCTGGTAGGGTTCAGAAGCTCACTGAACATAGAGCTATTTCCCTGAGCCTGCCCCCAGCTGAGGGGAGTATTAATTATTCACTGCACCTTGGTGCCTAGGGAGGTCAGACAATGGGCCCGAGGGAATGGACACCAGCTCCAGGCACCACAGCCCTGCCAGCAGGAAGCCAAGGGAGGGGGTAAGAATCCAGAGCCCCTTGCCGGTGTCCCCAAGCAGACTGATTCTAGAGGCTATGAGACTAGGGGAGTGTGACCCACACAGCAGCCTGAGCTGAGCAAATTCAGGTCTCTGAGCCTGCCCTGCAACCATATCCTGCGTTCTAATCGAAGACAAGTCTGAGAATTTCCCCAGACTTCCTGGTCAAACTTCAAGCTTCCTTTTCTTCATAGGGATGGAAACGGATATTTGGCCAGGCACTGCATCTTTGTAGCTCATTTAATCCTCGCAACAACCTGCTAAAGGAGGTATTCTAATTTTATAGGCTCAGAGGGATGAAGTGATTTGCTCAGTGCCACTCAGCTAGTGGGAGGCACAGTAGACTCACGCCCACCTGGTCTGTCTGATTTACCACTATCTGGGATTCACCAGTTACTGTGGCTCGAGGCTGCCGCTTAGCCCGTCTGGGTAACTTCCAGGGCACCTGGTATGCAGCTGGCACTCAAACAGTTCTACAAGCAAACTCAAAGGCCCTGGGGAAGTGGTTTTACCTCTCTGAGCTTCAGTTGCCCACACGAGACTGGGCCATTAATAACCTCCCCAGTCTTGGCAAGTACAACATGCCCCTTAGCACTTGACAGCCAGATGTGATGGCCCCACTAACTGAGCAGGTAACACACAGCCTGCCATAACCTATTTTAAAGTGGCACTTGGAACCATGGATGCATCAAGAGGTCACAAGTGACTCTGCAACCCTCCTCTGCTTCACTCTAGGTTCCAGGCTCTCTCCACGTCATGAAAGGAGATCACAGGTGTGAAATTATTTCATCAAAGAGCTTTGTTTAGACATAGAGATTATTGCGAGGATTTGAAGCCCCAGACAGAGGTCTGGGGTAGAGGGAATCCCAAGCCCCTCAGTCACCTTGTCTTTTGGGATCCCCTAACCCTTCCACCCCCAGGGATTGAGCTTCAGACTTCCACAGACCTCTCACCACGCTCCTCCACCTTCCAGGGGCTTTCCAAGGTGGTTTCCCCTTGACTCCAGGGAGTTGGGCATCTCTAGGGTTAACTAGGCCTAGCCAAGGCCACAGGGCCCAGACCAAGGCCATATCCCCTCCCCGTCCCCACACAGAATAAGAGCCCACAGAGTCCATGCCAAGGGCTCTTTCACAACACCCCTCTCCCTACATGCCTTGGGGGCAGCAGAAGCATCCCCTGCCTGGGAATAAAGACACCTGGGACTGTGCCCCAGCCCTGGGAGCCCCCAGCCTTGAGACCTTGAGCAGGTCCCTTCCTTCCTGGGCAGAGGTATCCTGCAGGTTCCCCTGCCCAGAAGAAAATGAGGTTGGACCTTCCATTTGGGCCAAAGGCAATGCGGTTGCAGGCATTCCTCGGGGCCCCAGCAACCAACCACACTAATTCTCACCACAGCCTCATACATGGTCGCCCAGATCTCACATCAGCGATAGGGAAAGCCCCAGCCACCTATCCAGAAGATCCTAACTGGGGAGGAGTGTGCATACCTTGAAGGATGCTCAGGAAGGTTTTCTCAAGTCTACTTGTGGCTCAAGGACTCACTGGCTTTAGGATCGGACAACTGGCACTCCCTTCGGGTGGGCCTCAGTGTCCCCATTAGTAATGTGAGGGAGGTGAGTCACGTGAGCCACATCTCCAGCCACCCCAGAGGGGCTACATCTCCAGCTCTGACAGACCCTTACTTGGGGATCTCTGCAGTGAATTCACCAACAGATAAGCACGTCTCAGGACCTCCAGAGTGTCTTAGAGACCCTGGAGTCTGACACACAAGGGCCAGGAGCTGCTGCTCTCACATCCTGGGCCCACAGGGAGAGAAGCTTTGGAACTGGGAAGCTTCCCACCTCTACCCTCAACTCTGAGTCACCTTTCCTCGCGGGTGACATGGCCAGGGAGCGGGAGGCAAGAAGAAGCCACTTCCTCAGCTTTAGCATCAGCGCTCAAGTGCTCTGCCTCTTCCCCCTCTATCCTCTCCCGCTTCCCCAGTCTCCTCCCCGCAGTGAAAGGAGGTCACTCAGCCCCGTTAAGCCTCAGTTTCTCCATCTGCAAGCGCCGATAATAATACACAACACCTATTTCAGGAGTAGCAGTGAGGCTTAGGCGGGGCGGGGCGGGGCAGGGCGCGAACCCGCACACAATGGGCGCTCAATAAGTACCCGTTTTCTTTCTTTCCCCTCCCCTTCCCGCGCCCCCTCCCAGCCAGTTCCAGCCTCTGCTTGTTTCCCCTGACACTCCCTCCGCTGGCCCCCGCGCTGCCGCGATGGGGTCGGGGACCGCTCCTGCCGCGCATCCGGGGCTCTCACCTGCAGCCTTGGCTCTCGCAGGCCGCCGGGACAGAAGGGGACCCCTGTGTTATCTTCGGGGCAGGCGCTGAACCCCTCACCTGAGGCGGGACGAAGGTGACAGCCTGGGCTCGCGGCACCAGCCCGGCGGTTCGGTCCGACTGTCCTGCCCGCCTAGGACCCCTCACCGAGCGCACGACCCGGCCAGGGCTTCCCGGGCGCTCGCGCTGTTCCAAGCTGTTCCAACTGAAGGTTGGGGTCTCGTGAAGCCAGAGGCTGGGGGGGTCCGGGGTCCCGTGCACCGGAGGCGAGGGCCTGGGGCCACACTGCGCTAGCCCTGGAGCTGGGGTTCCGACCCTCACTGACGGAAAGGCGCGGAGCGACCCTGCAACCACGGACCGGTACGGCGGCGTTAGGAGCGTCCCGTCCCGGCGCAGCGGGTCAGGGCCGGGGCTCCGCGCGTCCCGGCCGCACGCCCCGAACCGCGGGGCTGGGACGGGCAGGGCAGGGCAGGCGCCGGCGGGGAGGCGCGGCGGCCGGAGCCCCGCGGGGAAGTCTTTCCAGGTCCCGACTCGGCTCTCTCTGCAAAACGGGGCGAACCTCGGCGCGGCGGCCGACTCCCGAGCTCCCGGCCGCGGCTCCACTTCCTCCTCTTCCCCTGCTCCCTCGCCGCTCGCTCAGCGCCGCGCCGCTGCCACCTCCGCTGTCATCCCCGCCACCCACCCCCACCGGAGCCGCAGCCCGAGCTCAGCCGAAACAGCGCCGCCCAGCGCCCCAGCGCCAGCCTGCGCGGCCCCGCCCGGACGGGGCGGAGTCAGCAGAGACCCCGCCCCCGGCCGGCTGCGGGCAGGGGCGGGGTGCGCGCCCTCTCCCCTTCCCGGGCCTCGCGCGTGGGGCCGCAGGAGCCAATCCGAGGGTGGGAGCGGAGCGGCGCCCTGCGGAAAGCGGATTCTACCTCGGAGAGGGCGGGGCGGACAATGGAGAGGTGCGGCTGCAAGAGGACAATGGCGGGGCTGGGGGTTCGGAACGGGCCGAATCGGGGAGGGGGTTGGCCTCGGGACCCGGAAGGAGGGAGAGGCGAGAGGGCTGGCTTGCCTGGGACGGGGGCATGGGGACTGCTGTGCGGGGATTGCGGGGGTCACGGGGAAGGAGCAGGGGCCAGTGTAGGAAAAGAAGCCGGGGCGAGGCAAGGTGGAGGATATCCGGGGTCAGGGGTCCCAGGGACGCTGGAGCGAGCCCTCCTGAGTGGTGGGATGCCACCGACACCTTGCTTCTCCCTAGCTTCTAGTGCTCGGCGCTCAGAGGTGAGAGTTGGGCTGGGAAGTGTTCAGATTTCAGGAAACGGTGAAAAATAAGTTTTTGGAAATGAGCGAATTTGTCTTCCACAAGCCTCCCTTCCCTGCGCCCATCCCCGAGGAGGAGCGTCGTGGTCAATTTTAAAAATACGAACTCAAGAGCAGAGTTGTGTGAGGACACACACTTCGAATCGTGATGCATCTGCAGTCCGCTCCCGCCCCTTCCCACCCCGCGCGTTGGGTGCAGGAGCCGTCTTTATTTTCTATTTCATTTTATTTTGAGACAGGGTCCCGCTCTGTGGCCCAGGCTGGAGTGCAGTGGCACTATCACGGCTCACTGCAGCCTCGAACTTCCAGGCTAAAGAGATCCTCCCACCTGTGCCTCCGGAGTAGCTGTGACTACAGGCGTGCACCACCACATCTGGCTAATTTTTAAATTTTTTGTAGAGACAGGGTCTCCCTATGTTTTCCAGGCTGGTCTCGATCTCCTGGGTTCCGGCGATCCTCCTGCCTCGACCTCCCAAAGTGCTGAGATTATAGGTGTGAGCCCTGTGCTTGGCCAAGGAGCCGTCTTCAGTGTGTGCACAGGACCAGGCGCAGAGAAGGTGTTGGAGGGAACTGATGTATGAATGAAAGTTGAATGTGTGCCGCGGGGGAGTGGGGTAGGGACCATGTGAAAGCCGCTAACTGGCCTGGGGAGCTAAGGGATGTTGGTGGCACAGTACAGTCTCTTTGTAAACCTCACACCAACCTTATGTTGTGATAGGTACCCCATTTCACAGATGAGGACTCAGCACAGAGAGGCTAAGTGACGTTCCCGAGACCACACAGCTGGCACAGAGTTCTATCCACCCATCATTATCAAATTCTAGGGTAAAGCTGTGTGGCTTTAACAGGTTACTCTCCCTCTCTGAGCCTCTGTTTCCTCATCTATAAAAGAAGAATAAAGGTGCTACTTGGCAGGGAACCAGGTGAGGGACTGGGCAGGCAGCAGGCTTCAGAGGGTGAAGCATGGGCATTCCCTGCAAAAGAAATGGCATCAGACTATGGCTGAGAGACTGGTTGGAAGAACAAAGAAGAGGGTGAGCTGGAGGCTGAAGTTCAGGCTGCGGACTTGAGGGTGCCCTGTCTTCTTCAGGCCCAGGGGTTGGGAGTAGGCAAGTTGGGCCCAGGAAGTTGGGACTGGTCTCTGGAGCCTGAGGGCTGGGAGAAGGCAGTTTTGCCTTTACTTGTTGAACTTGACGCTAAGAAACCTTGTGGCCCTTCCCTCTGTCCAGAGCCCTCTCTGGCTCCCGGTTGCCAGCATGACCAAGCCCTACATCCCTAGCCTGGCGTTCCAGCCCCTTTGTTATTGCTCTCTGCCTGCTGACTCCACCAGCCTCATCTCCCCATTGCTTACTTCCCTCTCTACTTGCGCCAACTTCTCTCAGCTCCATCAGCAAGCAGGATGCATTCTGTCTCCATGCAGTTGTCTCCTCCATGTGTTGCTTTGCTGTTCCCCTTCTCTCTGGAGTTAATTCTCATTTCTCTGCTGGGCTGAAGGGCAGAACCTCTAGGCCAAATGCTCATCTGTTCTCTTCACTGCTGTATCCCCAGAGCCTAGCACGGAGCCTGGCACATAGTAGGTGCCAAGTAAACAATTGTTGAATAAATGACCCATCTCTCATGAGATTTATCAAGATTTATCTCCACCAAGATTTATCACCACCTCCGAGAAGCCTTCCTGAACTCCCCCAGGCTGCCTGCCTTTGGTCTGGGCTCCCTCAGCTTGAAGGTTCTGTAATGATTGATTTCCATGTCTGGTTTCCCTCCCACCCGCCACCATCCAGCCTGGTACATGGCCTGCCCTTGTGAGATCTCGGCACTGGGAGATGAATGAGGCTCTCAGAGAGTTCTCTGGCTGCCCCTGCTGCGAGAGCCTCCTTAGCTGGGTCAGATGAGCAGGATGTCAGAATAAAAGGAGATTTTCAGAACAGACCCTCCATGACCCCTGAGGCGCTGGGGGTGTGTGAGGGGGAGGCATGCCCAAGGTCGTCAGGAGGTGACTAGCAAACAGGTCTCAAGACACCCACATTTGCCCTCTGGCCACTCTTCCAAAGGGGAGGGAGTCTTGTGAGCTGGGGAATCTGGCCTTTTGGTGGCCAAGGAGTTCCATGAAGCATGACAGAGGTGGTCATGGTGGCTGGTCTGGGCGGTGGTCGAGGGTGAGGCTACACGGAAACATTAGCCTTTTCTGCCTGATGCCCTACTTCTCCCAAGAACCTTCTACCTTCCTTACATTCTTCTCACCGGAGGCAGCAGCTTCAGCTTCGGGCCCCAGGGCTGTTAAACGCAGCTCCTCCCATTCTTATGGCAGATAGACATTCACTTTCACGTCTACATTTATATTAGTATTTTGCAGTTTTTCTTAAACAGGGCCACTGAATTGTATGAGGCTCCACACCCCTGGAGATCTACTTCCAACAAATCCTTCCACTGCGTCCATATATGCAGGTCCTGTGTGAGGCGTTGGCAGGGACGCTCTGCCCTCCTGCAGCTCCCTGTCTGGTGGGGTGATTGGGCTCCACTGAGCTCATTGAGCCCTCAAAATGCTTCATGCCTTCCTACCCCTCTGCCTCCGTCCCTGCCAGCCTGGAGTCCTTTCCCTGTCCCTCCTGCCTGCATGTGTCCCGCTTGCCTAGTGGATTTTCTCCATCCTTCAAGGCCCTTCTCACAAGCTGATGCCTCTGAGAACCCTGCCCACTTCTCCCAGTGACAAGCACAGCCTCTTCCTTTGGAGCCTGTGGCACCGAAGGCCCTTTGCCTCTTCTGATGCCTTTGGATCTGGGCTGCTGTTGATGGGTCAATTTTCCCACCAGATTATGAGCTTTTGGAGGGCAAGGGGTGGAGTCTGATTTCTCGCTGCCCGAGTCCCTCATTCACCAATGTTTCCTGAGTTGGACCAAGTCCTATACCAAACATTGGGTATCCAGGGATGGGACAATCAGATGAGAACCTGCCCTCATCATCGAGGAGCCCCCAGTCCCAGAGCTGTCTGCATGGAAATGTGTACCAAGTGCTTTCTGAACAGAGGAGGCTGCCTGATTCAGCTGGAGGAGGGCAAGCTGGGTCAAGGGCAGCTTCACAGGGAGGGTGACACTTGGGTATTTAAGAAGCAGAACTTATCAAGATAAGGAGGGAAGCGTCTTCTGGGCAGACGGAACATTGAGCGCAAAGGCATGAAAGTGGGAATGGGCAGGTGGAGGGTGAGAAGTTAGTGTATTTAGGGCAACAGAAATGACGGAGGGAGAAGTGGGTTGCACAACAGAGCAGTTAGAGCACAGACTCTGGAGCCACATGGCCTAGGTTCGAATCCTGACACTACCAAGTGCTAGCTCTGTTGTTACTCAGTGCCTCAGTTTCCTTATCTGTAGAGTGGGGATAATCCCAGTACTTACTTTGTAGGATATTTATAAGGATTAAGTGAGTTAATTTTTGTAAGGCACCTAGGGTAGTGTTGATGACACACGTAAGTTCCTAGTGAGTGTTAGGTAAATGAGGGGGAGCCGGAGAGGCCATGATAGGTGGGGTTCATGTTTGGAATTTATCTGGAGGACATTGGAGCATTAGCAAGGAGGGAGTGTGAAGGGGAGTGGGAAGCTTGGCTTGGACCCAGCCTGCTCTGCCCACTCACGCACATCCAGAGGGCATCCCTGGGACCCCCACCTGCCTGCCCCTCCTGCTCTCTGGTCTTCCACTGCCCTCAGTGGCCCTGTGGCCTCAACTAACCTCAGCTGATGTATAACAGGGCTGTAGGAGCTGGGGCCACACCTACCCCAGTACACCTGGGGGAAACTTTATGTTCCAGTTTATTGCCAAAGGAGGTCAAGTAGGGGTCCCGAGGGGATCCGGGACACATGTGCAGGGTGAGCATCTGAGCTGTAGCCTGGCTTAACGCATGGTGGATTTGGTAAGAGTGTGTATGTGGAATGGGGAGTGGAGAGGGGCTGGAGGCACTTGCCTGGCCTGGAGAGCTGGTTGGATGTAGGGCACTGTGGGCTGTGATGCTGTGGGCTTGGGAGCCAGGTGCACATCCTGGCCCAGTCACCTTCCCTCTCTGTGCCTGAGATTCCTGTGGGTAAAAGGGAGATGAAAATAGTAGCTCCTTCAGGCCGGTTAGCTCAGTTGGGAAAAAAAAGAAAAAGAAAATAGTGGCTACTTCAAAGGTGGTAAGGATGAAAAGATCAAATGTTCAGTCAGTGAGGCCTGAGGTACATGGTGTATATCTGGGAGACCAAAATCAATTCTGTAGTACCAAGGCCGAAAGGTCAAGAGAGACTGTGGCTGGAGAGCCAGGCAGAGGGACGTGCCACACAAGGTCTTAGTCAAGAGTTGGCCTCTGTGCTGAGGGTGGAGGGGAGCCATGGGAGGGTTTCACAGGGACAACAAGGTCATATGTGCTTCTCAGAGATCACTGAGGTAGACAGACTGGGGCCTGTGTTAAGAGTCAAGGTGACAAGGAGAGGCGCGGGTCTGAGCCTGGGCCCCGGCTGTGGCCCAAGTGGGTGGGAGGCATCCCAGAACATCTACAGGGAAAGAGGCTCGAGCTACTGATTTGTGTCCACGTAGGGCAAGAGTGAGCTAGAAATGCCTGGGTGACTCCCAGGGCCCAGCTGGTGGTGCCATTTCCTGGGGTGGGGAGCCTGGAGATGCAGGTATGGGGAAAGGTGATGATGTGGCTTGGGGACACAGTGAGTTTGAGGGACCATTGGGAGATACATGGGATATTCCTCGGTAGAGCTCTGGGGGGCGGGGCCGGGCTTGAGTCCACCTCTTGGGAATGGACAGCCTTTGGGAGGAGAGGCTGAGTAGCCCCTGGGAGGGAAGCGTGGCTCACCACGGATGAAAACCAACAGGGAGGGGATGGGCAGGGGCAGGGGCCTGAGGAGGAGCCCTCTGAGGGGAAGAAGAGGACAGAGGGGAGCAGACAGTGAGAGGAGAGTGTGCAGGGAGAGGTTAGCCAGGGCCGGGAGGGCCAGGATGGAGGTGTCCCCTGGGGTGGGCCATTGGGACTGTGGGTGACTTGGGAAGGGTGATGTGCATAGGGTGGGAGGCAGGAGCAGGGGCTCACTTGGTGACATGGTGGACAGCCCCTTTCAGGGCAGCTGGCAGGGCAACATGGTTGGATGGCAGCTGGCGGGGAAGGCAGAGGCAGAGGAGGGTTTTGGTTTTGGTGTTGGTTCCTGGAGGAGGGCTTCAGTTAAAGCTCTGTGAATAAGGGAGGGGCAGGAAGCTGACCTGGGACTGAGGAGAGGCTGTATTTGGGGGTTGGGGGTGAGGACCACAGTGGGGACAGGAGAGACAGAGCTGAAGCAGCCCCTTCTCACTTCGTAGAGGGGGCTTTGGGAAATGTCTGTGTCAAGTTAATAAAAAATGATATCATGGCTGGGTGGGGTAGCTGACACATGTAATCCCAGCACTTTGGGAGGCCAAGGCGGATGGATCACTTGAGGCCAGGGGTTTGAGACCAGCCTGGCCAACATAGTGAAACCCCATCTCTACTAAAAATACAAAAATTAGCCACGTGTGGTGGTGCATGCCTGTAGTCCCAGCTACTTGGGAAGCATGAGGCATGAGGTGGAGGCTGCAGAGAGCTGAGATCGTGCCACTTCACTCCACCCTGGGAGACCCTGTCTCAAAAAAAAAAAGATACCTGACCCCCTTTCTCATTCTCCTGGATCACTGTTCAGGCTCCAGTCTTGCAAGGCTGGGGAGCTTCACATTCCTTTCTGACCCCAGATCCTGGAAGCTTCCTCTCCCACCAGGTCTTGTCGCCAGCCAGTGGGAATAACCGAGGTCACCATAATGCCATGCTGACCCTTCCCCAGAGCCTTTGGATGCTCACTAGAAGAACTATCTGCTTTGTCCCCACCATTGTCAGTTGCCGGGGACTGCTTCCCTCCAACCCCCACCATGAACTTGCCAGATTGATTTCTGTGTCGCAGCACAGGGTGTGGCCACACCCAGTAGGCACTCAATACCTTTAACTGTAGAAATGCAGAGGGAATGCCTTCATTTGGCTGCCTCTGCTGCCCCCTGCTGTCTGAGACTGGTTGGTACAACATTAAAGGGCTGGTTCTGGAACTTAATGGTTTCGGGACCCCTTTTCTTGCCTAAAAATTATTGAGGACCCCAAAGAACATCTGTTTATACGTTTTATGTCTATTGGTATTTACAGTAATATAAATTTAAATTGATATGTTTTTAAAATATTCATATTATATGATTAAAATAATAAATGTAGTGTAACAACATATTTTTAGAAAAAATATTTCCCAAAATAAAAAATTAATGAGAAAAGTGGCATTATTTTATATGTTTACAAATTTCTTTAATGTCTTGATAGAAGACAGCTGGATTTTCAAACACACTTCTGCATTTAATCTGATGCAATATGTTGTTTTAAGTGAAGTTTATGAAGAAAATACAGGCTTACGCAAATACATAGTTGTAAAAGGGATATGTTAACAGCCCTTTCAAATAATTGTGGCTATTCTTTTTTTTATTTTTTAGAGGCAGGATCTTGCTCTGTTGGCCAGGCTGGAGTGCAGTGGCATGATCATAGCTCACTGTAACCTCAAACTCTTGGGCTCAAGTGATCCTTTCACCTCAGCCTCCCAAGTAGCAAGGACTACAGGTACTCACCACCACACTCAGCTCATTTTTCTTTTTTTTGGTACAGATGGGGTCTCACTATGTTGCCCAGGCTGGTCTTTTCCTGGCCTCAAGCAATCCTCCTGCCTCAGCTTCCCTAAGTGCTGGGATTACAGGTGTGAACTACTGAGCCTGGCTATTCTTTTTTGATACTAGCCAAAACTTGACAAGTGCTGTTTTTTTTTTTTGAAGGTTAGTTGTGATTAGAATCTGAAATCTAGCCGGGCGCAGTGGCTCATGCCTGTAATCCCAGCACTTTGGGAGGCTGAGGTGGGTGGATCACGAGGTCAGGAGTTCGAGACCAGCTTGGCCAATATGGTGAAACCCCGTCTCTACTAAAAATACAAAAATTAGCTGGGCATGGTGGCGCCTGCCTGTAGTCCCAGCTGCTCGGGAGGCTGAGGCAGGAGAATCTCTTGAACCCGGGAGGCGGAGGTTGCAGTGAGCCAAGATTCTGCCACTGCACTCAGTCTCAAAAAAAAAAAAAAAAATCTGAAATCCTATCAATGAAATTTTTATGTTCAATTACATTAAAATACATTAGACTCTTTCGCATTTTGGATATATCTTTTGCCCAAGCATGATGTTATAACTTAATGCACTGGCTGTTTGGAAAAAAATGGTTCACCAAGTTATGCAGGTCTTTCAAATATTGACAAATATTAGTATACTATGTTTTAAAAATCACATTAGTTAATATCAACACCGATCTCATCAGAGAAGTCTTTAAGTATTGGGAAGCTGCCAAGGTCACAGTGGTGAACACAAGGTTTCTAAAATTCCAATTTTCACTTGAGCTTGGGTTTCATCATTAGCAATAAATACTGTCAGTTTGCTGTGAAATGACAGATTCATTTTATTCATTCTTGAGAAAATGTCTGCCAGAGACTCAAGTCTGCATAAGCATAATTTATCTGTCAGTATTTCTTTCAGGTCAAAATGGTGTTCCATGAAAAAAAAAAAGTGACTAGTTAAGCTCACAGTTCAAACAAGTGCAAATGCTTTTCTGGAGACAACCATTGTGCTGCATCGGATATGGCAGAAGTGCTCTATGTTGCTTCCCAGAATATTAAAAAGATGTATACTCAAGGACCAGTATATTGTGAATGGGATCATTTTTATTGCTGCATCAAAGACTTTCCTGGTCGATGTTGGCAGTGTTTTCCTATGAGGGCGTGGCAGTGAAAAATGCGATGACTTCCTGTACATCGCATTGGAGGCCGCCACGTTGGCTTTTGCACCGTCAGGGAAATGTCAACCCAGCAAAAAAGGCAAATGATGCCTTAGTCTCATTATGAAAAGAGTTTTGACCTTGCAGACTTCCCCAGCAGGGTCTGTACTTGGCATTCATGTTTTAATTTAACGTTCTCATACCAGAAGCAGGGCTCAGTCACCCTTGACACAGTTTCCAATACTATGCCCCACCCGAATGGCTCCAGCTGGTGGCTGGAGATAAAACTTAGAGGCTTCTCTCCCACCTAGCAGGCTGGCTCCTGGCCTTCCCGCTCTCTCCTTTAAACGGACCATTCAGACATGAGCTTGTCAACTGGAAGTGACCACCTCTCAGTCACAGTGTGACCAACTGGAACTAGTGCCTGCTTGCTTTAAACCTACCAATTAAAGCTCCCTGAGGGAAAGCTGGACACCCTCGACCCAATATAGGCAGTGGCCCATGGGTCTTGTCTCTTCCTGCCTGCACTCCCTGACGTGTGTGTGTGTGTGTGTGTGTGTGTGTGTCCGTGTGTGAGAGAGAGACAGAGACACCTCTGTTGTGCCCTCCAGGGTGTGTAAGTACTAAACATTTTTACACTTTCACACTGTGGTTTTATCCCCTGAAGGTGAGGCCACTGAAGGACCCATGCAGGTGGGTCCCCTCCCTACTGGCGCTCTTTTTTTTTGAGCCCCTCCACTGTTGGGAACAGCTACCAGTTAAGTTGATAGAGTTTCCTTCAAAACATAGCCCTGACACCCTCTCAGAACAGAGGGGCCTCCTTATCTCCAGGAGCAGCAGGGGAGGGGGAAGGAAGAGGAGAGTTGAGAGAAGACACCTGCCCCTCTCATCATGTGCTTAAGAGGCACCCATGGGCACTGTTCAGGGCCGAAAATTAGAAATACCCCAACCAGCCAGTACCATGGGGGTGGTGATAGGAACCCTGGCTTCCTAGAATAACTCAGTTCCAGGAACCTGTGCTGAGGGCCCAGTCCATGCCAGACCTGAGGCTGGCACTAGAGATGCAAAATGCAATCAGACCCTGCCCCCTCCCCTTGAGGAGTGTTCAGTTTAGTGGGGGAGAGAAGGGTGCCACATCAGTAATAAAAACAGACCCCTTTATTTTTGTTAACTTTACCAAATGAAATTTTATAAATTCAAAGTGCCATCTACTGCTTCCTCCCGGGTTCTCTTCTTTCCCCCAGCACCCCTGCCCCCCAACACCAGGTTCTCTTCTGTAACACTCAACGCGAGGGTCCGAGGCTTCATTCTTGAAGTCAGTGAGACCAAGAACCCTCCAATTCCGGACACAGCGTCACCCTTATTATACAACAGGCTGTTTTCCTATGCTGTCCAAAACTGCATCGATTCCCCCTAAAGCCGCTCCTTCAGTATTCTCCATCTCTGTGACAGATCCCAACATCCTAGACATCACCCCCTATAGCCCGTCAGTCACAGAGATGCAGGGAAGGGAATTCTAAAGCTACTGGAGGCCAGGCATGGTGGCTCACGCCTATAAGCCCAGCACTTTGGGAGGCCGAGGCGGGCGGATCACTTGAGGTCAAGAGTTCAAGACCAGTCTGACCAACATGGTGAAACCCCGTCTCTACTAAAAATACAAAAATTAGCTGGGCCTGGTGGCGCGCGCCTGTAATTCCAGCCACTCGGGAGGCTGAGGGATGAGAATCACTTGAACCCAGGAGGTGGAAGTTGAGGTGAGCTGAGATTGCACCACTGCACTCCAGCCTGTGTGATGGAGTGACAGAAAGGGAGGGAGGGAGGGAGGGAGGAAGGAAGGAAGGAGGGGAGGAAGAGAACAAAAGAAAAAAAGAGAAAGCAAGCTAGCTACTGGAGTGTCCAGGCTCCCAACTCTGGAGTTTCTATCTCCTGAACATCTAAACATTTTTCCATCCACTCCTTGACCCTGTGGCTCCCATAATCACCTCCAAGGCCAGTGCCCATCATGTCAGCCTCTTCGGTGCTCTCCCTGCCTCCTCTCTTGCCCTCTCCTATCCACTTCCCACTATTTCAGATCTGAGCACAGCATTCTCTTGATTAAAACTCCTCAGTGGCTCCCCTCTCTTGGCTCTCAGCAGCACATGCTGGGCCCTCTACACCCAAGTCAACCTGGAAGGCACAGCTCCCGTGTCTCCTCCTCCAGGAAGCCTCCCTCTGACCATGAGGTGGGCCTACCATCTGGGAAAGGTGGAAGGGAAGGAGGGATTAAGTAGAAAGAGCCTCAGACTGCACTGCAGCTCCGAGAAAGCCTCAGCCAGCCCAGTGGGGAGGCCAGAGCACAAATTAGCTGTTAGAGGCTGGGCGTGGTGGCTCACACCTGTAGTCCCAGCTACTTGGGAGGCTGAGGCAGAAGGATCGCTTGAGCCTGGGAGGCGGAGGTTGCAGTGAGCTGAAATTGTGCCATTGTGCTCCAGCCTGGGCCACAGAGTGATACTCTGGCTCAAAAACAAACAAACAAAACAAAAACAAACAAACAAACAAAAAACAGAGGAGACATCTGCTGGGCAGAAACGGCCAGACCTCCTTCTCCCACTGAGCTGAGTCATTGGCTAGGGCTGCCCAAGGAGAAAGTGGCCTTGTCAGGAACACAGCAGTAGATCCCAGGGTGTTGCTGCTGGGATCTGTTGCTAACGACACTCCTGCTCTACACTCTCTTAAAGGAAGATCTGAGTGGCAAACCTCCATGGCTTGATGGATGTTAAAGTTGGAAGGAATTTAAGAGATGCTCTAGGCCAGCCGCTGTCACATTTTACAGATGAGAAAACTGAGGTTGGCCAGAGGAAGTGACTTGCCCAAAGCCACCCAGCATGTAAACCAATATGCAAACCCAGGTTCTGACACCCAAGTCTGCGCTCTTCTGAATCATTGCTGACTCAGAGTCACAGTGGGGCTAGAGGGCAGTGGGAGGAGAGTGGCAAGGTATGACTTCAGGACGCGGCTCAGGTGTCACTTCCTCACAGAAGCCCTGCCTGGACCCAAGCTCTTCTCTGGGCTCCCCGAGGCCTCTATCCACTCATTTACCAGTCAGTTCTGTGAATGTCAGCTTGTGTGTCTGCTTCCATGAGGCCATGTCCCCAGCACCCAGCATGGGACCCGGAACATCGTGCTACATGTGAAGGTACACGCCTCTGGTTTCTACTGCCCTCTCTGGCAGCTCAACCCTCCAGGACAGAAGAGCAATCGGTTCCGCTATTCGTTGCTTCCTTCCTTTCTTCCTGCTTTAAATAAATGTATACTGAGTGATTACTTCATACAGTCCTGGGGACACAGCGGTGAAAAATTTTGCCTTCATGAAATTTACTTTCTAGTAGAGGGAGGTAGACAATAAGCAAAACAAATACAAGGAGTGGTGTATTAGATGGGATACATGCTATGGGCAAAAGAAAGAGCCTCAGAGACAGAGGAGACCAGGAGGTGTCAGCGAGGACACTTGCCACTTAGAGGAGTCAAGGAAGCTGACGTTTGAGTAAAAGCCTGAAGCAGATGACAGGTGTGAAGGCCCCTGGTGTGTTCACACTAGGAGGCCAATGTGGCTGGAATGGAGGCAGTGATTGATGGGGTTGGGAGAGGTAAAAGACGAGCCTACGAGGTCACAGAGATTAAATCACAGAGGGCCTAGAGCCTGCAGTAGGAATTTGACTTTTACTCCAGTTGAAATGGGAAGGCATTGTAGAGTTCTAAGTAAAGAGGTGTCATTGTTTGACTTCTAAGTTAGACCTGGGGGATACGGTAAAGACAGGGGGGGAATGCCGCAGTCTGAGGAGAGGTGATGGCGGCTCAGATACAGTGACCGCAGGAGCCGTGTAACAGGTAGTCAGATTCTGTGGTGTCTTTTGGAGGTAGAGCCACAGGATTTTCTGATGAATTAAATGTAGGTTGTGAGACAAAGAGATGAGTCAAGGATGACCCCCATGTTTTGGCTTGATCACCTAGAAGGATGACATCACCCTTGTCTGACATGAGGAAGACGAGAGGGGTAGGTTTTGGGGAGCAGATCAGAATTCAGGATTGGACACGTTCATTTTCAGATGTCTTAGGCATCCAAGTAAAGATGTCAGGCACACAGTTGGATACACAAGTCTGGGGTCTGGGAGAGGTCCGGAAATGTGGGAGTTACAGGCATAGAGAAGGGATCTGAAGCCTTGAACTTGGATGACACTGTCAAGGAAACGGTGCTTGAGGGAGAAGAAAGAGGACCAAGGACTGAGCTCTGGAGCTCCCATATCAGGGCAGGAGGATCCTCTAGGGAGGTGGGAGGAAGAGCACAGTTGTGTGGTATTCTGGAAGGCAGGTGACGAAAGTGAAACCAAGGAGGGGCCGTTGGCAGGTTCCCTGCTGCTGCTACTGGTAAGGGAGAGCAGGATTGAGGACTGGCTACTGGATTTAGCAATGTGGAGGTCTTGGTGACCTTGAAGAGTTTCAGTGGAGTGATAAACGTGGGATGCTGGTTCAAGTGAGCTTGAGAGAGAACAGGAGGAAGGAACTGGAGACAAAGATAAGGACCACTCTTTTTTTTTTTTGAGACAGGGTCTTGCTGTCCCCCAGATTGGAGTGCAGCAGCGCAATCGCAATCATGGCTCACTGCAGCCTCAATCTCCTAGGCTCAGGTGATTTTCCCACCTCAGGCCCCCAGGTAGTTGGGATCACAGGCACATGCCACCACGCCCAGCTAATTTTTTAAAAATTATTTTTAGAGATGGGGGTCTCACCATGTTGCCCAGGCTGGTCTCGAACTCCTGGGCTCAAGTGATCCTCCCACCTCACCCTCCCAAAGTGCTGGGATTACAAGCATGAGCTACCATGCCTGGCCTAGACCACCTTTTTTAGGAGTTCTGATGGAAAGGGAAGGAAGGAAAGGGGATGAAGAGAAAAACTGAGAATGTTTTTATGAGATAGAATGTGTGTATGCTGACGGGAAAGGTCTAGATGAGAGAACAGTGGAAGATACGGGGGAGATGGAGGGACTGCCGCAGCCATGGCCTTGAGTAGCTGAGGGGGTGGAATCCAGCCACATAAGCAGGGGTCGACCTTCTGAGGAGTGCGTGGTTTTATCCATCGAGAGAAGGCAGATGCAAGGAGATTGGTCGGTGTGGTGGTGGAGCCTCTGGAGTTCATTGCTGATCGAGTCCACTCTCTCAGTGAATCAGGAAGCAAGGCAGTCAGCCACAGTGAGAGTGGGGAAGAGGCCTGGGAGATTGGAGGGCAGGGGGCAGCAGGAGAGCAGATGATTAGGGGTGTCTGGGATGACTGTGTGGAAAAGTGCAGGCACCTGGGGTCGGTGCACGTGATTAAGCAGCAGGCAGCCTGGAGAGCCTCCAGCCCAGGTCCCTTCACAGACCATGCGGGTTTCTTCCCTCTTGGGTAGCACTGGGCCAGGCAAGGCAGTGTGGATCTGCAGCTGACCAGGGGCTCAGAGGAAGGAGCATGCCTAGGAAGTCTCAGATTTCCAGGACTGGTTTACATATTTATGCAAAGCCACCTCCTCCCTGTTCCATATTGGAACAAAGTGTGTGTGTGGAGGGTAGCATTTAATAGGACCTCTTTGGACTGGTCTTACAATGCCCCCTATGTCAAGGGACCGTACTATGCCCACAGGGGCAGGTCCTGTCACCATCCCATCATTAGAGAACTGGGAACCCACCTCCCTGACATGGGCAGGGTGGGGCTGCCCTGTCTGTTTTTCATTGTCCTCCTGCTTTGGTTTCTGCTTTTTGGCAGAGGCTGCTTTTCCTAGATTACTTCCAACATCTGTTCACTTGCTTCTAGAATAAAACAGGATAAGTTTGATTCTGATATTTTCTTTTTCCCCAAGGCCATCTTCAGTGAAGGCCTGGACTCTCTCCAGGTGCCCTGCTAGTGCCTTCCTACTCTGGAGTCCGCTGCCTGTGGTGGGCTTTGGGCCCTGCCTGATGCCAGCCAAACGTCCTCCCGTCCCTGGATCCTCTCTTGCCTCCAGCTCCTGACTCCTAAGGACTCTTTATGCCCCAGAGCCTCCTTTGCTGAGCTGCCTGAGCTGAGGGCCCAGAACTACTGGCCTTCAGATTTGGGGTGGCACATGGTAAGTCCTGGGGCATTGTGATGGGCTGGCCAGGCCCATCCAGGGATATCCCTGCCTCTTACTTCCCAGTCAGTCCCAGCCCCATTCTTCCCTCCCCACACCCCACCAAGGTACACAGGATGCCCTGTGCTAGCTTCAGAGCTAGACCCTCACCTTTCACAGGCTGGGGAAAGGTCAGCAAATGTGAAAGGGAGAAAGAGTCACATTTTCTCTTTTCTTTTCTTTTTTTTTTTTTTTTTGAGACAGTCTCACTCTGTTGCCCAGGCTGGAGTGCAGTGGTGCCATTTCGGCTCACTGCAAGCTCCACCCCCTGGGTTTAAGTGATTCTCCTGCCTCAGCCTCCCAAGTAGCTGGGATTACAGGCGCACACCACCATGCCTGGCTAATTTTTGTATTTTTAGTAGAGACGGGGTTTCACCATTTTGGCCAGGGTAGTCTCGAACTCCTGACCTCAGGTGATCCCAAAGTGCTGGGATTACAGGCGTGAGCCACCGTGCCCAGCCCACATTTTCTGATCTCTTTTTTTTTTTTTTTTTTGAGATAGAATCTCACTCTGTCGCCCAGACTGGAGTGCAATGGCATGATCTCAGCTCACTGCAACCTCCATCTCTCAGGTTCAAGCAAGTCTCATACCTCAGCCTCTCAAGTAGCTGGGATTACAGGGATGTGCCACCACGCCCGGCTAATTTTTGTATTTTTAGTAGAGACGGGTTTTGCCATATTGCCCAGGCTGGTCTCGAACTCCTGGCATCAAGTGATCCGCTCACCTCAGCCTCCCACTATGCTAGGCACATGTGGCTCACACTTGGGCTAGTTCCCCAGTATCCATGCCCCCTTCTTCCATAGTAATAGCACTCCTGGTTTTTACCTGGACTTATGGTCTTTGGGAACAAAGAGCACATTTCACAGCTCTCTGTGGCCCCAGGACTAAATGGAATGTAAGCAGCATTGCTGTGTATGTCTTCTGGGAAATGCCCTTAGATAGACAGACATGCACTTTTTTTATTCTTCCATCTGCTGCCTGGGCTCCAGCTGCCATCTTGGTCATTGGAGGCAAGGGCCACACCCTTGGCATAGAGGAGTCATGAGTTGGCAGGAGCCTAAAATGCCAGAGGATTTAGCAAAGCAGGGTCCCCACACCACTCCTGGATCACCTATTCCCAGATCCTTACCTGAGTGAGAAACAAACCCTCTTGTTCAAGGCACTGTTATTGTAGGGTTATGTTATTCACAGCTGCTCCTAATCCTAGGGTGACACGTCACTTTTCATGAGTTATGTCATTTTCATCCTCACAACAGTCCTGCCAAGTGGATGTTACCTCATTTTTAGAGAGAGAAAAGGAGGCTCAATGATTTTATTTTCTATTTTAAATAAAAATTGACTTTCTTTAGTCTGTATTCTGCTGAAGCCTCAGTGATTTTAAGCAAGTGGTCCAAGGCCACCCAGCCAGTATGATGCCGAAGTGGGCTGAAGCCCTGGTTGCTCTGATTCCTGGGCCCTGCTCTCTCTGATTCCTGGGCCCTGCTCTCTCTGATTCCTGGGCCCTGCTCTCTCTGATTCCTGGGCCCTGCTCTCTCTGATTCCTGGGCCCTGCTCTCTCTGATTCCTGGGCCCTGCTCTCTCTGATTCCTGGGCCCTGCTCTCTCTCTCTGATTCCTGGGCCCTGCTCTCTCTGATTGATTCCTGGGCCCTGCTCTCTCTCTCTGATTCCTGGGCCCTGCTCTCTCTGATTGATTCCTGGGCCCTGCTCTGTGAGCCCTTGGGGTCACACCCAGGCTGACCTCCCTGTGTGTACAGACCCAGGTTGATGAACACCCTGTGGTCTTCCCAGGCTTCATCTGGGTCCAGAAGCATCTACTGAGCAGGTGGAACTGTTGCAGGGTCAGAGATGTTGCAGGGTGACCCCATTCTGTCCCTGTTTTAGCAGTGAAAGTCGCACATCCCTCATTCCTGGGCAAATCAAGACAGTCACCCTAGAGCTGTGGTCCAGCCAGGTCCTGTTGCTGCCCCTTTGGGCACCCAGAACCTGATCCCTCACAACCTGCTGTTTTCCAGGCATTTGTGCACCACCTCCCAATCCTTGGGATCCTCCAGGCTGTGGTTAGAGGCTGGGACAGGGGTTAAGGTACTATGAAAATGAGGCTCAGGCTGGGCGCAGTGGCTCACGCCTGTAATCCCAGCAACTTGGGAAACCAAAGCAGGGGGATGGCTTAAGGCCAGCAGTTTGGGACCAGCCTGAGCAACATAACAAGAATTGTCTTTACAAAAAAAAAAAAAGCTACCCAGGCATGGTGGCAGGCACCAGTAGCCCCGGCTACTGAGGAGGCTGAGGCAGGAAGACAGGAAGATCACTTGACCCTGGGAGTTTGAGGCTGCAGCGAGCTATGATCGTGCCACTGCACTCCAGCCTCGGTTGCAGAGTGAGACCTCGTCTCTTAAAAAAAAAATTAGGCTCATCAATGCCAGCAAGAAGTAACAGCCCAAATCAAGTAAGACCTTGATTTGTCTTTACAATGGCCTCGAAAGACAGCAGCCCCCACGTTCATTTTGACTCTCCATTGTCCCCTGACTCTCTGTATATCCTGTGACCTCATGATAACAGAGTCCCTGCCTGCTGGTGAAATGGGAAAGCTTCCCTTGAGCCCCTTGCAGGGCGTGCGATGCGGGTATGACTTGCTTCTTCAGTGCCTCGCTTCTTTAACCTCTAGAGCAGGTTGTGGGGCTCCGGGCCCACAGCAGCGTCTAGGGGTGGATGATTACAGCTCCTGAAGCCCCAGCAGGCATGTGCTACTGTGTGCTTTTAGTTTTGCCGTCTATAGGCAGCTTGTGTTAACCAGCTCAATTAGACCCTCTACCTTGTTGCGAGGACAGAGGACTTTCTGTATCCCGGGTTCTTGCCTTGGTGTTCTGAAGAATCGGATCACACCTGAGCTCAGAGAATGAGTGCAAGGTTTTATGGAGTGGAGGTAGCTCTCAGCAGATGGGGGAGCCAGAAGGGACGGAGTGGGAAGGTTTTCCCCTGGAGTTGACCGCTCAGTGGCCTGGGCTCTTTTCCGACTGCCCCAGCCAAACTCCACCAGGTTCCCCCGGTTGATGGCCTGCCGGCCTGCTGGCTCTGTGGGTGTGCTCCTTCTGCCGGCATGCTCCAACGTCCTCTTGACACCCAGCTGCTCGTGTCTTCTTCTGCTGATGTGTTCTCCTCAACATCCAGCCACTTGTGTCTCTGCCTGCTAGGGTTTCGGGGTTTTTATAGGCACAGTATGGGGGGCGTAGCAGGCCAGGGTGGTCTTGGGAAATGCAACATTTGGGTGTGAAGTCAGGAGTGCCTATCCTCACCTAGGTCTATAGGCACAGGCCCTGGGGTGGAGCCCTAGCCAGGGGCCACTCCCACCTCTACCCAGCACTTCCCCGCCCACTTTCATATCACTGGGGCCTGAGGCGATCAGGCTGATCTGCTAGCGCTACTCATCCCTGCCTTCATCTAGGAACCGGGCAGGCATGGTGGAGCCCCAACACACTGCAGCATGAGGCCACTGCACTCAGAAAGGCTTGTGTCACATCCTAGCTCTTCTACCCTTCACCCATGTGACCTTGGCCCGGTGATTTCACCTTTTGAGACTTAGTCTTCTCATCTATAAAATGGGGATAATAATACCTGCCTCACAAGGCTATAGCAAGGATTAATGAGATCATACACCGTGAAGTTTGGCTCTGGACCTGGAATACAGTTAACACTTGATAAAGATTGTCATTGTTGTCACTGTATCACCACTCCTCTGTGCCAGGCAGCTCTCATGCTGGATACCAGGGACCCTGCGATACACCAGAGCCATTCAGGAACTCCTTAAGGAACTCAGAATCTGATGAGGAGATGTGCCACAAAGACAATTTAAACAAATAATAGATGATGGCTCACACCTGTAATCCCAGCACTTTGGGAGGCCGAGGTCGGAAGCTCTCCTGAGGCCAGGGGGTTCAAGACCAGACTGGTCAAGGTAGCAAGACCCCATCTCTATAAAAAAATAAAATAATAATAATAATTGTTTTAATGGGGGAGTGAACAAGGTAGGGTGGGAACACCGGGAGGAGGGGATTGCCACAGAGCAGTCAGGGAGGTTGTCCTGGAGGAGGCAGAGCTTGCGTGGGGGCTCACAGAGGATCACCTTTTGCCAGGTGAAGCTGGGGGCTAGTGGAATGAAGCATGTTGCAACTCCCTAAGTCTAGGATTCTCTAGTTGTGCACTTGAGGTGAAGATGAGGCTCTTCCTGTTGGCTGGAGTCTCAGCAGAGGCTCTAGAAGCTGAGGGGCCCAAGCACCTCACATCCTCCATGGGGAGTTAGACCATCTTGCAGCACAAGCAGAGGGTGCCCTCCCAGGCCTGCCCCACCAAGCCCACCCAACACCCACCCATGTTAAAGCCTTTTTTTGGAGAAAATTGTTATTTTGCTCTGAGCTTCCCTCCCTTCTTTAAACCAAGTGCGGAGGGCTTCAAGACGTTGGGGGACATGGGAACCTGAATTGTCCTCACATATCACAGAGTCTAAAGGCAGTGTGTGGTGGTGGAATGGGGAGAGCCAGGGCCACCCTGGGAATGGCTCATGCTGCCAGGCTAGGCAAAGGATATCTGATTTTTCCAGTGGACCGGATGAGGGCCTGTGGAGGGAGCTGGAGGCGGGTGGGGTGAGGACCTCCCAACAGAGGGTACTGCTGGAACTGATGTCTGAGGGGAGAGGTTGCAAACCAGAGGGGGCATTGTTCCTTTGGGTGGGGGTGGCAGGGGTGGGGGGGATCTAGATGAGAGGTCCCCAGGGGAGGAGGTTCACTGAAAAACCTCCTGGAGAATCCTGTGAGTTAGAGTAGAATTTGGACATCTACCATGTCTCAGAGGGTCCCCAGGCCAGGTTACAACTGTATCAGGCAAGGAGGGCCTGATCTGCTCTCTCTCCCACTCTATAGACAGATGGTCATGGAGATGCTGGGTGAGGTGGCTCACACCTGTAATCCCAGCATTTTGGGAGGCCAAGGCGGGTGGATCACCTGAGGTCAGGAGTTCGAGACCAGCCTGGTCAACATGGTGAAAACCTGTCTCTACTAAAAATACAAAAAATTAGCTGGGTGTGGTGGTGGGCACCTGTAATCCCAGCTTCTCAGGAGGCTGAGGCAGGAGAATCACTTGAACCCAGGAGTCGGAGGCTGCAGTGAGCTGAGATCGCGCCACTGCACTGAGGGAGACCAGAGGCAGTCGCTGCCCTCTCTGAGTCTCTAGTTTCTGAGGCAAGCCCACCCCCAGAGAAGAGTCTTATTCTACATTGGATGAGATTTTGCAGTTTTAATATTACTTTTTGGTTTTATTACTTTGAACTATACTTTAAAAAAATTAATGATGGACAATTTCAAACATACCCAAAATTAGAGAGATGAGTCTAATGACCCCATCACGTACCCATCATTCAGCCTCAGCAATAGTGGGTCATACCAATCCTGTTTCCTCTGTGCCCCAACCTACTTCTCCCAGTGTAATTTGGAATCAAATCTTCGAGAAAGAAAAGAATGACTTCCTCCTTGCTTCTGAAAAATTAAAAATAAGAAGAGCCACTGCCCTCCACTGTTTGATTAGAACACTAAGGTTAGGGCATAAACCCGAGATTAAAGCTGGCAGGATCCATGGAACCATCCCAAGGACGGTGGGGTTGGTATATGTGTCCTTCACCATCCAGCTCCCACCACTCTGAACAGTGCTCGGCACATAGTAAGTGCTCAACAGATCATTCTGGTGCTTCTCCTCCACTTGCTCCTCTGTAGCCTTCCCAGGCAGCGGCTTTTCCTCTGTCAGGCATGAGCTGGGGCGGATACTCAGCTCTTCATCCGAGGCTGCAGGCTGGTTCTGCCCACAGCAATCCCATCCCAGGCTTGGCCAAGAGGAGAATTACTTTGCAGAATACAAGACATAATGAGGAAAAGCATCTACTTCAGTGCTCTGTAATGGTAGCCACTGGTTATCATAAAAGCAGTGGTGGCCAGGCGTGGTGGCTCACGCCTGTAATCCTAGCACTTTGGGAGGCCGAGGCGGGTGGATCACTTGAGGTCAGGAGTTCGAGACCACCCTGGGCAACTGGTGAAACCCTGTCTCTATTAAAAATACAAAAATTAGCCGGGTGTTGTGGAACACACCTGTAATCCCAGCTACTTGGGAGGCTAAGGCAGGATAATTGGTTGAATCCAGGAGTTGGAGGTTGCAGTGAGCTGTGATTGCACCACTGTACTCCTGCCTGGGTGACAGAGGGAGACTGTCTCAAAAAAAAAATTAAAAAAATAAATAAAAGTGGGAAGGAGACATCCAGAGAAAAGTTTGGGGGCAGGAGGGTGGCATATGGGCAGACATTTTCGGAACTTCACCGTCCTGTGTGGAAGGTGGCATAGAAGGGGTGAGAACAGAGGCAGCAAGATAGTGAGGAGACAGGAGCCACAATCGGAGAAGGATGAAGGTTTGACCCACCTGGGAAGGGAACCCCCAGCACGTGGCAGAGGGAGGAGCTGAGAATCCTTAGAGGCACATCTCTAAGGTGCCAGAGGTCCCACTCCGCCTGCCTTTGAGCTCCGGATCCTGAATGCCCCCAGGGAGGCTTTGTAAAGATCCTTCCTAGGACTGGCTACATTTTGCAGGACCCATTGCCAAATGAAAATGCAGGGCTCCTAGTAAAAAAGATTACTAAGAATTTCAAGATGGCGACAGCAGAGTACTGAAATAAGAACAGGGTTCTTTGCACAGGGCTGCTGATACAGAAAGAGAACATAGGACATCCAGTTAAAGTTGAATTTCACATAAACAATGAATTTTTTATTTTTATTTTTTAGTTTGTCTGTCTTGTGCAATACTTGCAATAACATGTTTCTGTTGATCTGAAATTCAAATTTAACTGGGAATCCTGTATTGTACCTGGCAACTCCACCAGGTGGGTCCTGTTTCCTCCCTTAACTGGAGCTCCTGGGAGTGGTTCAGGCTTAGGGTTCTTCCAGGATAATGGTTTTCAAACTTCAGCCTGCATCAGAAACATCTGGAGGGCTTGGTAAAATCCAGATTGCTTCCCCCCAGCCAGAGTTTCTGATTCATGCCTAGAGTACAGCCCAAGAATTTTCATTTCTGACAGGTACCAAGGTGATGCTGATACAATTGGTCCTGGGACCACACTCTGAGAACCACTGCTGGGGTACATCACCCTAGGAAGCCCCTCAAAGAGATAGAAAATCATAGTGACCCAAAACGGACACCAGAGGGCAGAAGCGCCCACTGGTCAGGCTATAGGACCTGCCCACTGGCCTGGGGCTGGGCTTACACCTTTGCTGAACATTTGTTCTGTGCCTGACCACGTCCAGGGCCCTGGAGCAGACAAAGAAAGACGTGGGTCAGCATTAGTCTCTGCCCTGAGGGGCTCAGGGTGTGGAAAGGGAGACAGATGTACGAAGTGAGAATTACAATTGGTGCTGAGATGGGGGAAGCACAGGCTGTGGGAGCCCAGGGGAGGCTGGGGGTGGTCAGGGCCCGCTTCCTGTAGGAGCCTGAACAGAGGGTAGGAGCCATCCATACCGGGAGAAGGGGAGGAGGGGCTTTCTGGGCATAAGAATACACAAGTACAAGGGCGCACACTGGACAGTGCCAGGGACTGCTTGAGGAGGAGTGCAGAGGTAGAGGACAGAATCGGTGGGCGGGTAGCCTGGTGAGGCTGGGGCTTGGCAGATCCTGAGGGTCTCAGGGAGCCCCAGGAGGGTTTTAACTAGATGGTGTGTTAGAATGAAGAGTGTCTGGGAAGAGATACCAGAGGCAGGGAGGCCTAGTGAGCAGGAGGGTGCAGTGGTCAAGGGAGGAGGTGACCAGGGGATGCAAGGGTGGCCCAGTCTCTCTCATCTGTTCCTTCATTCCTCCATTCATTGCACGTGTGTATGGAGCAACTTCTCTGAGCCAGGCCCTGGGTTGGGTGCTGGCTGCCGGCTGCTGGGACTTGGCATTGATGAAGACAGTTCCTGGCTTATGTGGAGAGCTCACATTTTAACTGAGAAGACCACCATCCAACAGCCAACCTCACAGTGAGCCAGCTAGTTACAGTTGTGGTCCCTGAGGGATGGGTACCAGAGATATCAAGGGAGCCACATGGCAGGGTCTGGGCAGAGTTGGGGTTAGGGTGGGGGTAGGAGGCATCTCTCAAGAGAGACCCTGACCTGGGCATCCTGACCTAGCGAACAGATGCCTCATTCAGCCCTACCCTGGTGCCTCCGTGCCGCAGCCCAGAGCTAACAATATGGCCATTGACAGCTCCTGCCACTGCCTGAGGTCTAGCTTTGCTGCCCCCATCCATCCTTAGCCACACAATCCTGGCCTTCAGTGGGGAAGAAAGAGCAGGATTATACTCAGGTACTAGGGACTGGGCCCACCCCTCCACCAGAGTCAGCCTGGCCCCAGCCCAGGTGAGTGCCCAGCCAGGCACCTTCCTCAAATGTCCAGTGCTCTTGCTCTAAGCATGTGAAGAGTCCGGCAGCTAGAAGCAGAAGGATGCAGGAGATGACCTGAAATGCCAAGGGGATGCCGTAGACTCGCAGGGCTCCTGGACGCACACTGTAGAACATTTGTCCATAGAGATGGGATTGGCCTCACGAATGACATAGATGCAAATCAAGCTAACTGGAGCATTACTTCTAGAAGGCTGACCTTCTTGCTATTCCTAGAGCATGCCTAGTTCATTCTAACTGTGGGGCCTTTGCCCATGCAGCTCCCTCTGCTTGGGATCCCCTCCTCCCACCATAAAGGTCTCCCTCCTCCTTTGGTCGGAGGAAGAATGGCTCCCCAAAGACATCCATGTCCGAATTCCTGGAACCTGTGAGTGCATTACCTTGCATGGGACAAGGGACTTTGCACATGAGATTAAATTACAGATCTTGAGATAGGGAGACTTTACTGGTGGCCCAGTGTCATCAGGGAGGTCCATCTCAAGAGGGAGGCAGAGGGGTCAGAGTCAGAGAAACAGATGTGATGAGGGAAGGAGAAAGCAGAGAGAGAGGGAGATTGGCGCTGCCACACTGCTGGCTTTGAAGGTAGAGGCAGGGGCCACAAGTCAAGGAATGCGGGTGGCTTCTAGAAGCTGGAAAGAGCAAGGAAGCAGATTCATCCCCAGAGTCTTTAGAAGGAGTTGCTAGCCCATTTAAGTCTTCTGACCTCAAAACCATAAAAGAATAAATTTATATCATTTGAAGCCACTAAGTGTGTGGTACTAGATACAGCAGCCACCGGAAATGATTACAGCTTCTTATTCAGATTTCAGGCTGCCTGGTGTAAAGTAGTCTTACCCACAACACCTGTTTTCATTTCTTGCTAGCCCTCATTATTACTGGAAATGATCACATTTCTTTCTTAGTTTATTGCGTGTCTCCACTCGCCAGCACACCAGGCTCCTGGAGGGCAAAGATCTGGTTTTGCCCACTTTTTTATCCCAGTACCTAGAACAGTGCCTAGTAAATTGTGGGTTCTCAATAAATCTTTGCTACGTGAGACTGGGAACGGTAGCTCACGCCTATAATTCCAGCACTTTGGGAGGCTGAGGCAGGCAGATCACCTGAGGTCAGGAGTTCGAGACCATCCAGGCCAACATGGTGAAACCCTGTCTCTACTAAAAATACAAAAATTAGCCGGGCGTGGTGGTGCATACCTGGAATCCCAGCTACTTGGGAGGCTGAGGCAGGAGAATCGCTTGAACCCGGGAGCCAGAGGTTGCAGTGAGCCAAGATCCCAACCGCTGCACTCCAGAGTGAGACTGTGTCTCAACAACAACAAATCTTTGCTGGGCACGGTGGCTCACGCCTGTAATCCCAGCACTTTGGGAGGCTGAGGCGGATGGATCACGAGGTCAGGAGTTCAAGACCAGCCTGGCCAAGATGGTGAAACCCCATCTCTACTAAAAATACAAAAATTAGCTGGGTGTGGTGGTCAGCGCTTGTAATCCCAGCTACTCGGAAGGCTGAGAATTGCTTGAATCTGGGAGGCAGAGGTTGCAGTGAGCCGAGATCATGCCACTGCACTCCAGCCTGGGCGACAGAGCGAGACTCTATCTCAAAAAAAAACTTTGTTGCATGAAAGGAAGAATGAAGAAGTAAAGGACTTCCTCTGACTCTCTCTTATGTGCACTGAGGGCAGGGAAGGGGGGTGCCTTGGCTGGTGGAGGGAGGCCTCAGAACCATGAGAATGGAGTGAGGCCTGGAGGGCTGCAGAGATCTGTGGGAACTGCAGAATTTGGGCACATGCTGTCCAGTTTACAGGCCACTTCCAACCCAGGGTCTTTTTGTTGTTGTTGTTCCTCGGAACTACCTGGAAGAGGAAGACAGGCTTGAAAGGAACCATGGCTCTCACTTTGCAGGTGGGCATCTAGGTTCTGGATGGTGGTTTGAGGGTTAGGGAGACACTGCCTCTCCAGCAAGGGTCAGTGGGACCTGAGAGGGGCCTGAAGGCCCTGCCTGCTCCCCAGAGCCTTCCCGGCACCTCATGTGCCAGTTCTCCTTGGCACTTGGGCTGCCAGCCTTTGCCCCTGCTCTTCCCCCTGCCAGGGTGTCTTTCCTCTCCTTGCCTTCTTCCAGGGCTGGGACTAGGGTGAGACAAGTGAAAACTAAAAGGAGCACCAGAAATCTCAGTAATCAGGATTAATCATATTTTCATGTAATTATTGTTATTATTATTATTTTTGAGATGGAGTCTCACTTTGTCGCCCAGGCTAGAGTACAGTGGCGTGATCTTGGCTCACTGCAAGCTCCGCCTCCTGGGTTCATGCCATTCTCCTGCCTCAGCCTCCCCAGTAGCTGGGACTACAAACACCCGCCACCATGCCTGGCTAATTTTTTGTATTTTTAGTAGAGACGGGGTTTCGCCGTGTTAGCCAGGATGGTCTCTATCTCCTGACCTCATGATCTGCCCTCCTCGGCCTCCCAAAGTGCTGGGATTACAGGCATGAGCCACCATGCCCGGCCTCTTGTAATATTTTTTAAAAATCAAAACAAATGCAAAAAATCCATGATGAACAAAATATCACATTTTAAATAAGGACTTTTTTATTTTTCCTTTTGTCTCAGGCTCCAATATGGCTTGACACAGTCCATGCTACTAATCCTGTCTGAGACTGGCAATGTAATTTGTGAGGCCTTTTCTTCAAAAATTATTATTATTTGTTGCCCAGGCTGGAGTGCAGTGGTGTGACCTCGGCTCACTGCAACCTCCACTTCCTGGGTTCAAGCAATTCTCCTGCCTCAGCCTCCCGAATAGCTGGGATTACAGGCACATGCCACCATGCCCAGCTATTTTTTTGTATTTTTAGTAAAGATGGGGTTTCACCATGTTGGCCAGGCTGGTCTCGAACTCCTGACCTCAAATGATCCACCTGCCTCGGCCTCCCAAAGTGCTGGGATTACAGGCATGAGTTACCGCGCCCAGCCTCAAAAATTATTAAGAATTGCAGCGGCAATTAGCCGGGTGTGGTGGCGTGGCTCCTGTAATCCCAGCTACTCGGGAGGCTGAGGCAGGAGAATCGCTTGAACCCAGGAGTCGGAGGTTGCAGTGTGCATTCCAGCCTGGGCAACAGAGTGAGACTCTGTCTCAAAAAAAAAAAAAAATTGCAGCGGCTGGGTAGTGGCTCAAGCCTGTAATCCTGGCACTTAGAGAGGCCGACGTGGAAGGATCGCTTAAGCCCAGGAGTTCAAGACCAGCCTGGGCAATAGAGAGACCCTGTCACTACAAAAAATACAAAAATAAGGCCAGGCACGGTGGCTCATGCCTGTTATCCCAGCACTTTGGGAGGCTGAGGCAGGTGGATCACAAGGTCAGGAGATCGAGACCATCCTGGCTAACATGGTGAAACCCTGTCTCTACTAAAAATACACAAAAAAATTAGCCAGGCGTGGTGGCAGGCACCTGTAGTCCCAGCTACTGGGGAGGCTGAGGCAGGAGAATGGCATGAACCCGGGAGGCGGAGCTTGCAGTGAGCTGAGATCACGCCACTGCACTCCAGCCTGGGCGACTGAGCAAGACTCCGTCTCAAAAAAAAAAAAAATAAATAAAAAATAAAAATAAAAAAAGAATTGCAGAATGTCAGTAGTAACCATCAAATCACTTGGGAGGGTCTGTGAGACTGCACAGGCTGTACACCCATGAGGTTGGCCCTGATCCTGTTTTTATTTAAAATTGTGATATTTTGTTACTCATAGAATTTTTGCATTGATTTAGATTTTTTGAAATATTGCATGAAACATGATTTACTTTGATGACTGAGGTTTTCGGTGCTCTCATTAATTGTGCCCCCAAGGCAAGTGCCTCACTTGCCTCACCCTATTCCCAGTCTTCTCTGCTTGGTGTGCACTTCTCAACCTTAGGTAGCCTCCTCCAAGAAGTCTTCCCTGACCCCTGATCCCACACTGGATTGGTACTTCTGGGCTCCTTCTGGCTGGGCTACAGTCCCAGAGCTCCTCTGCTTCCTCCCCTCCGTCCCATTCCTGAGCACCTGGTGTGAGTCCCATTGTTTAAGGGAGTAGATTTGGTTTGCTTCTGTGTTCCAGAAGAGGGCCTGGCTCGGAACAGTTGCTCAGGAAAAGTGGGTTTTGAGAGAAAATGAGTGGTCTGCCAGTGCTTGGAATTTTATGTCAACACGATGTCTTTGGGTCAAGCCCTTCTGTCTCCAGAAGTTCCTTGGTAAAACCTCTATGGGGTAATCCTTGGGCAAGACTCTATCTCTGAAAATGCCCAGTGGTGGCAGAGCCAGCTCTGTGGGCACTAGACCTCCTCATCCCCCGCCCCACCACCCATGGGCACCATGGCAGAGCCAGCCTCACCTTAGGTGGCAGGGCAGAAACCTGGCATGGGTGTGGGGCTGGGCCAGTCCTGTGGACCTGTGATGCTGGCCTGTTGTTGACCCGCTTGCTCCTGCACAAACCGTGCCAAGCTCCATCTTCAGGCCAAGCCCTGTAGTTCCTCACCTCAGGGACTCACAGCCTTGCTCCAATAACCTGGGTCCCTGCCTTGTTCGGGGGACCAGACTTGGTGTCTAGATTTGTGTCCGGGACAGAACCTTTCTAGTACTCAGCACCACCATCGTTAGTCTTCTAGGTACCCTGTGTCAGGGAGCTGGAGGAAGATGCCTATGAATTCCTGAGCCTCAGCATATGCTCTGATCAGTCCTTTACCCCAACTATGTCCCAGGACTCCCTCAAGCCTGGCCAGTGTTTATCCAGCTCTCCCTTCTTCATTGTTCTAACAATTTAAAGCCTCTGCCTGGGGCCTGGGCAGGGTTAACAAAGTAATCAACTTTAGGCAGTGCCCAAAATGTGAGTGGCTCCCAGAGTCCTTGGCGACACTGACGCCAGCACAAACCTTCTGACACCCTTGCAGGTATGGCCCAGTGGCTGCTGTGGACAGAATCCCAGGCCCCAAGCAAGGAGAGCTAGCTTCAAACCCAGCTCTATAATCTCTGCTTGTTTGGGGCTCAGTTTCATCATCTGCAAAATGGGGAGAAAATGCCTACCTCATAGCAGGGTGATGGGAATTAATGGAAAATGCAGGAGCTCCTGGCACACCACAGGCACTGGGAAATGCTAGCTCCCTTTCTCCTGTGCTTGCTTTTGGTGTGAAGACCAGTCAGCTGTGCTCCCTGGGGACTCCCTTCCCGCTCCAGCTCCCAGCCTCTGAGTTCTTTTTCACAACTCTCTGTGCCAACTCAAGAGATGGGGAAACTGAGGCTCAGAGGGATCAGGGACTTGCTGAAAGTCAGGTGTAGAGTCAGAGGCTGAGCACAGGCTGGAATCTAGGAGCTGGGGCTCGGCCAGAGGTCTGGGCTTGGCAGGTGGCCAGCTCCTCCCCTCCCGTGTTTCCCCATCTGGCCCTGGGAATGCTGAGCCTGTGAAGCACAGCTGTATATATAGCATCAGCTATGGGCTCCTCCCCCATCACACACACATGGGCACACAGACACACACAGACCCAGCCAACAGCGCTGGGTGCTTCCATGAAAGGCGTGTTTCCCTCCTGAGTCAGAGCAGACCCCGAACAGACAGCCTTTGGGCCTGGCTGGGCTGCAGTCCCAGAGCTCTAGGCGGCCCTGAGAGCCAGCCCCCTCCCTGCTGGAACCTCTGGGCAGCAGCCAGCACAGCTGCATCCCCTCAGCAAGGCCTGCAACGATAGGCCCACGTTGCATCAGCTCGGCCTGTCTCTGGGCCTGCTCCGGCCCCAACAGCCAATGGGGCCCGGCCGAGTGTACAGACCCCAGCACTGGTCCAGCCCACCCCACCACCATCACCGTGCGGCCGCCTGGTCCTCCTTCGCTCTGGGCTAGGAGGAGGGCACCGCTGCTCCATCGCCTGTGGCATGGCCCTCTCTCTGTGCCCCTGCCCCCACCAGTGGCTCTGCCAGCTCAGCCTTGGTTTCCCTTCCGGGAGGTAGCAGGGTCACCCCTTGGCCTGGCGTGGGCCCATTTCTCCACAGCCTCTGTTCTCCTCAGGCTCTGTGCTTGCTCTGATCCGCATCTTTCACCTGTGGCATCTTTCAGTTACTCTCCTATAACCATGATTCACAAATTGTCATCTTTGGACAGGCCTTCTCTCCTGACAGAATTACGGACATTACAGCCTCCTGATGTCTCCAGTCTATGGAGCCCACCAGCTTCCCCCAGAGCTCACTGCCTTCCCCCAGAGTCTCCATTGCAGGAAAGGGACCATTTGCCACTTGTTCACCAGGCCAGACACCAGAGAGTCCTCCTTCCCCCTTCTCCCAGGCCCTCCGTGCCCAACCCACCGCCACTGGGCCCTCTCCAGCCCGAGGCCCCTGCCTGGTCTGGGCACCAGCATCTCTCTCCAGGTTACCGAGCCATTCTCTCCTCTGGCCTCCCTCTCTCGCTCTCCATGCAGCAGGCAGAGAATGCAAAAACGCAGGGTGACCTGTCACCAACTTCCACAGCTTTAGTCACACGTACCCCCCTCCCATGGTGGCCTCTGTGGGGTCTCGTGCCTACCCTCCCCTGGCTGCGTCCCATGAAATCTTGCCAGGATTTGGCTCTTTAGCCTGAGGCCTAAAGCCAGCAGGTCTGGGCTGGTGGGAAATGCCAGACCTGGCCAGAGGAGCCACAGCCCCAGCCTCCCACCTTCCCCAGGGTTGCAGCGCAGTATCTCTGAGCCCCAGGCTCAGCACCACCACTTCCCCAGCCACCCTCGGACAAGCCCCCTTCAGGCTGGAGCTTGATACCCTTCTGGGTGTTTCTTTTCTATTCACTTGGTTGATTTTTTTTTTTTTTTGGCTGACTATAAAAGTAATATATGCTATTGAAAACAATTCAGAAAAGCAGAGAAAAGAAAATAAAGATATATATATTCTATCTCCAAAGATAAACACTATTAAACGATGTAAGAGTATTTCTTTCTAGCCTTTCTCTATGAATATTTTATATACCTATGTATTTTGTATTAATACATATACTATACATTCATTCAATAAAAAACCCATGCTGGGCGCAGTGGCTCACACCTGTCATCCCAGCAGTTTGGGAGGCCAAGGCGGGAGGATCGCTTGAGCCTTTGGAGTCCAAGACCAGCCTGGGCAACATGGGGAGACCCTGTCTCTACAAAATTAAAACATTAGCCACGGTTGGTGGCGTACACCTGTGGTCCCAGCTACTTGGGAGGATGGCTTGAGCCCATGACATCTAGGCTGCAGTGAGCCATGTTTGCACCACTGCACTCCAGCCTGGGCGACAGAGTGAGATTCTGTTTCTAAATAAATAAAAAATAAATAACCCCAAATCTTTTAATAGCAGAAACTTTTAAAAAATTAAGTGAAAATCACCCCAAAACCAGCATTAACTTTTTGGTGAAATGTGAACATTCTTCCAGATATCTGCAGCTCTCCCGTGGAATTTTCATCAACAGGCTGTTTCATAAACGGCTTTATTTTTTATCCAACAATCCACCAAGCGATCTTTCTGTGCCTGGGGATTACAACAAGCTTTCCCCTTTTTGACATCTGCAAATACTTCATCCCTTATTGACCTTCTCTCCAATTTTTTGTTATTACAGACAAGGCTCTGAAGAACATCCTTCTGCATATATCTATGCTCATATTTTTAAACATCATTTCCTTAAGTGAAATTTCTAAAAATTGATTTTTTTCCAAAAGAACATGAATAATTTCAAATTGTGAAAATGTGTAAATAGGTAATGTACGCTCTGCACGCTGCTCTTCCACTCTAACACCAAATTCAGTATCAGGACATAAGAACTTCCTGGCTTTTTGTTTTTTTCCAGCTTCATGGTATTCTCAACCCCTATGGCTGGACAATTAGGTTGTTTCTGATTTTTGCTATTATAAATAGTGTTGCAGGGAATTATTCAATAACATATTTTTATTTAAAAGTGCCAACCACCTTCTAGAAAGCGTGTGCCAATTTTTCCTCCTGCCAGGAGTGTGTACAAATACTTTTACCTGTTTAAAATTAAATCCTTCAAACTCTTCCAGACTCAGCCCATATCCCATGTTACAGATGAGGAAATTGAGGTGCAGAGAGGTGCAGTGACTTTCCAAGGTCACCAGGGACAGATCCCAACACAAACTTTCTGACTCCCAGGCTGGGCTTCTCCTGCTTTGCCAGACTACTATCCTCTGCCTGTGCCTCCCCAGGGAAGTCCCCACTCCAGTCACAGCCCTTTGTTAGCGTCGTGTGTATGTGCAAGGTGAGGTGTGACTGGAACTGATGGGACAGCGCTCAGAGGACAGAGCAGGAATGGTCAGAGGACAGGGAAGGAATGGTCAGAGTGGCGTCTACGGGTTGTGTAAGATTTGACCAGTTGGTGAAGATGTGAGCAGAGGTGTGGAGTGGAGAGCCTAACATCACTTAGTGTTCACAAAGTCCTCTGCTATTCATTATTTTATCTGTGTGTCTCATCATCCTGCAGACTATCAGTCCTATTTTACAGAGGGGTAATTTAAATCATGGGTACATAGCCAAGAAGTGGCAGACCTGGGGCAGGATCCCAGGTCTCCTAACCCCCAAGTGAGGGCATTTCACACTCCATAGCACAGCAGGGCTGAACTGGGCTGAAGCAGATTAGAGGTGGTTTGGCAGGGTGTAGGGGGTGGTCAGAGCTCAGGAGTCCCTTTTCTGAGTGTCAGGGATGCTAAGACAAGGGAGGACAGCCCTGTAGCCCACCTGGGCATCACTGTTATTACAGGCTCAGCAGCACCTAAGGGAGAGGAGAACAAGACGGGAAGGGAAAGGCAGGGCTGTAGTTAACACACATCCTCCATCCCACCAGCCCTTCAGGCCTGGTCTTGCAGGCACTGGAGCTGGTTCCATGGGTTGCCAGAGGAAGCCTGAGAGAGGGAGGCTGGGAGAGGGGGCGGGGAACCTGATCCTGTGTATATGTCAATACCCAACAAAAACTTGTGTAGGGGGGTGGGGTGCATTTGGGTTACTGGAGTTACACAGACATGTGTGTACATGGATTGTGTGAAGGGGCTGCTCAAGTGCCGTGTGTGCACCATGTATGTGGGTGCACATACGCCTGTGTATATAGCGAGTCAGTGGGCTTGTGTCTCCTGGGTATTGTGCCAGGCATGTGGGTGAAGGCGCTGGAGTTCCTATGTGGCTTCGCTCAGCACCAGGATTGCAGACGGGTAGGGGCGGGCCTGCTCTGGGAGGAGGAGGGGAGGAATCATGTGCCCACCCACCCCCACATGGACCGGCTGCCCACCCTCCAACGTGGCAGCACGCAGGACAGCCCTTTTTGGATGGAAGGCCCCACGCTCCAAGAGAGAGAATCCAAGATTACAGAAATCGTGTTTTCCTGACTCATGCCTTGGGCTGAGAGCACATTCTTGGCTCCTGGACAGCATCTCAAAGAAGAGCTGCCTATAGCAGCCCTGGCTCCCTGAGGGAGGGGGCCGACCCTGGACTGGCTGTCGGAGCTTTCTGGGCTCCAATTTTATACCAATGTAAAAAGAAGGGGATTAAACTTCCTTCCGATTAACGTTCTATAATTAAAAGTGAGACACTAATGACGGTGCCCAGCACAGGCCTGGCAGCGGCAAAATGGCCCATAAATGTCACTTCCTTCTCGTCCACTCCCTGCCTTCCCGTGGATATGGCATAAACAGACCTGATTCAAAACCCAGCTCTGACTCTGGCTTGTTGTGTGCCCTTAACCCTGTTGCTTAGTCTCCCTGATCCTCAGTTTCTTCATGCTGAAAATTGGAACATTCTTCCTTACCTGAAAGGAATAAATATGATAATAAATGTGAATGTGTTGCACACTTAAATGACATGCAAGTTTTTGTCCTAGGATTCTATGGGGTGAAGACTGAGTGAATCTAGCCACTGGGGCCAAAGAAAGCTGTTTCCACAGCACCTGGCAGAACTGGGCCTACATACCCCCCTGGGTCATTAGAGGGTACTGTGGGAGAAAGAGGGCTGGGAGTCCAGGGCTTAGGCTCCAGCCCAGCCCCACCTCTGATATGCTGTGTGACCTTGGGTAAATTCCTGCCCTCTCTGGGCTTCCGTTGTCCTCTCTGTATAGTGTGGATGCAGTTGGACTTGATGGTTTTCTACTTTCTGCTGTCCACACCTCTCGGGACCTAGGGATCTAGAGGATTTCCAGCCAGCCTCCACGTGCCAGGCACCAGGACCACTTCCTTCAGTGAAGCGAGGCACTGGAGGAGTCCAGAGACAAAATGCTTGAGAGTTTCTCTGCTTATCAGACTCTTCTCCCCCACCCCCTAAAAGAGTGCTTTTTCCGGAAAGCTCTGCCTGGAATGTGGGGGAAGGGCCACAGTCAGTCTGGGCTGGGCTCAGAGCTAAGAATATTGTGGCAAAGGCTCTTGACTTTTTTTTTTTTTGCTGATCTTGGAAATTTAAAGGAGCCGTTGCTTTCCCTTCTTCAGGGAGGCTGTGCTAGGGGCACAGCAGCCTCAGGCAGCCACTTCTCATCCCCTGGCCAGCCATGCTTACCCAGTGCCTCTTCCATACTGTCCCCTTGCTGGAGCTGGGGACTCACAGTGACAAGGAAAAGGCCCTGCCCTTCCAAAGTCTCCAGTGATGGTTCACTGACAATACAGGGTGATAACAGAGATAATGCAGCAGTGGGATAGGTCACAGAGGAGGCTTCTGACCCGGTGTGAGATTAGTGGGGGTCGGATGGGGGTTGGGCCTTCAGACCCAGCCCTCCTTAGGCCTCAGCTTTGCTGTCTGTAAGGGCAGGTCCTCTCTTCAGTGACCACTCATGATACTGGGTCTATTTAACAGCATGAGCTTTGGTTTATCCCTCAAAATGGGACAGTCACAGCACTCTCAGTCTCCCCCTCAGGTGTTGGTGAAGCCTAAAAGAGCTAAGAGATGTAAGAGAGTAGAGGAAGGGAGTCTCACTGGGATTGTGACATCTGAACCTGCTGAAAACCCAGGCGACCCTCTCTGTTTTGCCAGCATTGATGGGCACTCTTTGTTTCTGCTCTGCCCTGCCCTCAGCTCACTGACCAAGTCACAAGGAAGCCTGAGGGCCAATGTGGGGGTGGGAGTAGAGAGTGGGGTCTGGCCTGGGACCCGGGAGGTCTCCTTGGATAAACAAGAATTTATCTTTTTTTTTTGAGATGGAGTCTCGCTCTGTCACCCATGCTGGAGTGCAGTGGCATGATCTCGGCTCACTGCAAACTCCACCTCCCAGGTTCAAGAGATTCTCCCGCCTCAGCCTCCTGAGTAGCTGGGATTACAGGCACATGACACCACAGCTGGCTAATTTTCATATTTTTATTAGAGATGGGGTTTCACCATTTTGGCCACGCTGATCTTGAACTGCTGACCTCAGGTGATCCACCCACCTCGGCCTTCCAAAGTGCTGGGATTACAGGCATGAGCCACCGCGCCCAGCCTAGAATTTATCTTTAAAAGCAATATACAGTTGAGGCAGGAGGAAGCACATGAGAACCACGACAGCCACCCCAAAGAGATGGACACCATGCCAAGGCTGGAAGCTTTTGTTAATAATCAGACCTGTCCTAAAAAAGAATGCGGGGCTGCCTCTGAAGGAGGTAAGCTCTCTCTTCTTAGAGGTGCCTCGGTGCTTGCCTTTTTGGGATACTGAGAAGAGGGCTTCTGCCTGGGGCTGCAGACAGGAACCCCTGACCTCTGAGATGCCTTGCAGCTCAGAGTCTTTAATACATTTATTCCAGAATCCTTCGACTCTGAGATTTTAACATGTTAAGATTCCTTAGCTGGATTCAAAGACTCCTTGGGGGCTTTGAGTGGAAGTAATCTCTGATTCCTTGACCCTGAATCACAGAGTCTGAAGCTTTTGGGATCTGAGATTTCCCACAGTCCTTGTACTCAAAAGACTCTGAGCTGCAGAAGCCTACCCAGACAGAGAGGTTTGTCACCACCACCAGGCTTCCCCACAACCACTAACAGAGGGCAGGGACCCAGGTGATTGACTCATTTGCTGGGTACTGGGATTTTTTTGCTCCCCAGGATCCAGGCAAGCACCTAGAAGAAAGAAGATACTCAATGCATTCATTCATGACTGAATGAATGAAGAGTCCCTACCCTGTCCCTTCCTCTCCATACTGCGTCCATCCAATAGCTATCATTAAACTACTAAAGAGGACTTTTCGGAGGGTAGGGAGCCTCGGCTGATCAGAAATTGAGCCACTGTCGCCCAGATTATTTAGGGTTTCCTAAATAATCTGCCTCACTGAATCACTGAATTCCCTACTAACAGGTACATACCCCACAGATGGACATCGCACAGGGCAAGGACTTTGTTCAGCTCTCAGCTGTGTCCTCAGCACCTAGAACAGTAATGAATACCCTAGCTTAACTTGGAGGTCAAGGAGCTATCAGTTTGCGAGGGTGGGGTAGGAATTGACAGTGAGACCTGAGGCCTGTGGGAGGGGACCCAAAGAGGGAGGGGATGCAATAGGGAGGGGGCCAGGGGTGACAAGGATTGAGGAAGGGAGAGAGGGGGGAAAAAAAGCAAGGGATGCCTTAGAACCACATTTCACAGCCAAGGGAACAGAGGCCCAGAAAGGGAAAGTAACCTGCTTAGGGTCACACAGCACCTTGCTCAGTGGAGAGCCAGGTTTTCCTTCCTGTGCACTCCTCCAAGCCCAGCCAGACCACCTGAAGTTCCCCAGGCATCTCTGCCTCTATTACTCCACGACTTGAACTTTCCGGGTGCCGGGCAGGTACCGGGTCTGGTCTGCTCCCTCTCCCTCTGGCCATCGCTGAGGTTGAGGTTTTTTGAATGTACAAGTATGGAGAAGGGCACTGCCTTCAGAAGCCTGAACGTCTCCCCTGAGAGGGAGGGGGTGCACAGGACTCAATTGTTTCAGCTTGAAAATGGGGGAGAGCGGGGAGAAGGGGAGATGGCTCTGCTTGGGGCAGAGCCCCTGCGGGGAAAGGGGCGCCTGAAAGGACGTGCGATTCGGAGTGGGCTAGCTTATGCAGAGAGCCTGGGGGTGGGAGGAAGCTCGCACTCTGAAGGACACGCTGATCCCCGTGGGGACTCCCGGCGCCCCGCAGCCCGGGCCGCCGAGGGAGGCAGTAGGACCCAGGGGCCGGGAGGCGCCGGCAGAGGGAGGGGCCGGGGGCCGGGGAGGTTTTGAGGGAGGTCTTTGGCTTTTTTTGGCGGAGCTGGGGCGCCCTCCGGAAGCGTTTCCAACTTTCCAGAAGTTTCTCGGGACGGGCAGGAGGGGGTGGGGACTGCCATATATAGATCCCGGGAGCAGGGGAGCGGGCTAAGAGTAGAATCGTGTCGCGGCTCGAGAGCGAGAGTCACGTCCCGGCGCTAGCCCAGCCCGACCCAGGTGAGGGGCGGGAGACGCCTGCGTGCGTGCGGCCCGGGGGAGCGCCGAGCAATCTGGGGGTGCGCGAGGGAGTAAGAGGGGCGAGGGGACCCTGCGAAGCGTTGGGTGCCGAGCCAGAGCCTACAAATTGGAGTCCTCGGCACTTTGGGGGCCGCTGGAGGGTTTGGAATCGAGAGCCCAGGGCTAGCCAGTGATGGTGCCAGCTGAGGGCTAGGGCGGAGATCGGAGCCGGGTTGGGAGTCCGTGCACTCGGAGGACTGGGAAAAAGTGCAGGGACCCCTAAAAGGTGGTGGTGGCAGATACGAGACTAGGTGCTGTGTAAAGGGGGCTGGGGGCAGAGAGCAGAGCCTCTGCGGAAAGAAACAGAGGAGGAAGGAGATGGGTCTGGTGCCTCTTCCCGCAAGGGTAGGGAGGATAGGCCGGCCTCGCAGTTCCAGGTCACTTCCGTTCTGGGGTTGAGGCTCAGGGGCAGCGGTGATTGGTGGCCCAGCCTCCTCACAGGCTTGCTGAGGGAATTTGAGCTTCCGGTGGTGGGAAAGGAGGTGAAATCGTCTCGACTCCTGGGGTCCGTGTGCTCTGGTAGAAGTGGGCGACAGTGGCTCAATTTCTGATCAGCAGCTTGCAGCCTAGATGATGGCAGCCAAAGGAAAGACTTGGCCAGCGAGGCTCCCTACCACTCCGAAAAAAGAGAGTGGGGGTCAGCAGGGTCTGCTCTGCTCTGGGGATTAAGGGGCTGACTAGAAGGATTTGAGTCTTTCCTTCTGTCCACTGCCACAGGGTTCTTGGAGTAACTGCAGGGTTTAAACTGCAGGGTCTAACTTCCAGAGGCTGGGGTTCCCTGCCCCCCAGCTTAGAGACATTCCTGAGGTGGCTGAAGAGCAGGAAGGAGAATGAATGCACTTCCAGACTGGCCCAGAGTCTCAGCCCCTCCTCTTCCTTGTTTCCCGCTGGTCCCTCTGGGCTGTACGGCCCGGATGGAGGCCTGAGGAAAATGAGGGGGCTTTGGTTCTCCGGAATTCCGGCCGGGGCCACACCCTCCTGTCTTCAGATGGTTCATGTACCCATCCCCCCTTCCCGTCCTCTCCTTTGTCTCCTCTGTCACCGGGACTCCCAGCAGAGATTTTTTTTTTGTACTGGCTGTGTAACAGGACACCGCATGCAGCCCTCAGGAGGGGCTCTGTGCTTCTGTGAGGAAGGACCCCTGTGCTGGGAAGGCAGACCCCTGTTTATCCCGAGGGACCTGGGGTGACCCCCTGCCCTGGCCTTGTTTCTCCCATTTTACAGTGAGGTGGTCGATCTCCAAGGTCCCTGTAGATTGGGGACTGGTTGTGCCCTCTGCGCCAGGGGCCTCCTCACCATCTCTCCTTTGCCGGCTCCCGCCCTCTTCACTCTTCTGTTTTCTTTCAGAATGAAAAAGGCAGGCATTGACCTCCCTCTGAGGCAGTTTCCAGGTACTTTAGACCTCTCAAGTGTTTGGGACCCTCTGGTGGGGTCCCATCATCTCCTCCCCTTCCCTTCCAGACCCTGCTCAGTCCAGCTAGCTGTGGGCACAGCCCTGGCTAGGTGATCTTGTATTTTCTTTGTGGGACTGTAACTCAGCTAACCTTGGCCTGAGGGCTGGCATTTCTCTGTGGCAAGATGGGCTGGGCTGTGGGAGGCTGGCCTGCTTGCAGTAACTTGCCTTCCCCCATTCCTGCTGCTGGGTTCAGTGGGGCTGCCCTTCTCCCCAGTAGCGCATTTCCCTTCAGAGATTCATGTGCGGATGGGAAGGGAACTAAGGCCAAGAAGGCTCCTGGAGTCCCCTGGCAAATATGTGGCACCCCCTGGGACCTGAGTCAGGCCTGCTTCCCAGGCTGGAAGCCCCCCTCTGCCGGCCGGTGGAGATAGTTCAGCCTCCTGCCTGCCACGTCACCACCAGGAGCAGGCGCTAAGCTGCTGCGGGCCTAGCGGGCTGCCTGAGGAATCCCAAACCAGTTATTTGGAGCTTGCTTGAGAAGCCCCTCCCAGTCCTTTGAGGTTCTGGCTGGTGGGGGTGGGGGCTGTCAAGATGGTACCTGCCACGTGGCATGGCTGGGAGTGGGCTCTTCAGCTGCCTCCTCAGGGAAGGAAGGCTGTTGGCCTCTGCTGTGGTCTGAGCTCCAGCATCACTGGTCTGGATCAGAGGTGGCTTTTGAGTAGGGTGGCCATATGCCTATTGTCCTGGCATAATAATTAGTAGTGCCCATTTTACTCTTATAAGTGTCCTTGTTTGTGCAATAAATTATATGGTTGCTCTGCCTTTGAGGCTCCAGTTCTGGCAGGGAAGGAGCCAGAGCTGGGAGGGAGGTGTCTTGGGGTTTATTCTAGGCCCCAAGATATCCCCTTCATTTTAGGGTGAGACTCAGATCTCCCCGCTCCTTCCAGACATTTTTAGATCTCTGGGCCTTCCCTCCTCTCCCCACCTCCCTCCCCTTGGACCCTTTGCTTATCTTATACTGCACCTTCAAGGCTCCGAGGAGGGAGGCAGTCCCGGGAGATGGGGAGCCTGTCCAGGTTTTTGGGATGGCAGCAGTAGAATCTTCCCAGAAATACAGTGGTCCCCAGGCAGCCAGAGTCCTGAGGGTCTTCCACCAGGATTTCAAATGTTCGGTCTTCTTCAAGGATGACTACAAGTTGGGATCTACCAGAGCAGTGGGATCGCAGCCTCCACCAGGATTCCTTCTATCCTTCCCTTTGCCCTGTCATCTCTCCTGTGCTGTTGCATGATGTAGAGGAGGATAATGGCCCGAAGGGAGAGAGGGAGTGTGGAAGTATCCCAGGAACAGAGACTGTCCAAATTGGAGGCCCCAGAGAGGGAACTGGGGCTTGTCCTTGGGGCCACTGCTACTGCTGGGGCTTGGGGAGGAGGCCTGAGGGCAACCCTGAAGCCGTGGAGCAGATGGCCTGTGTGGCAGTGGCTGTCAGATTGGAGGGCAGAATGGAATCTGATGTGGCTCCAGCTTCTTTGAAGGCTGAGTGCACATCTGGCCAGCTGCTGGTGATGGGGAAGGGGGTCACTGCTCTATTGAGCTATGTGTGACTCACCCTTTTCCCTAGTATCCTGTCCTTGTGCTATGTCAGGAAGCCTCCTCCCCAGCCCCACCGAGTCTTCAAAGGAGTTGGTCCCCCAGGAGCTTTTGTCCTGGGGATTTCCCATCCGCACTGGGAGCACTGTGGGTAGATGGGCATTCCAAGTTCCTGCCCAGACAGAAGCCATGGGCATGGAGACCTGGACCTTTCAGCTTGGAAAAGGGAGACTGAGGCTGAGTGGACACAGGACACACACACACACACTCTCAGGGTCACCCTTGGGGCAGCAAAGTGGAGCATCTTGGCTCCCCATTTAATGAGTGACCCAACTGGTGACTCATTAACATCCCAGAGCAGAATGAAAGGCATGGGGGCGGGGCAGCCCTCCGGCTCTGTCCCTCATCCCTTGCCCAGGCATCTGGGTTTCCTGCAGATTCTCAGCTCAGCTGCTGCTTTTTCTCACTGGAAAAGGGCTCCCAGGGCTATGTGAGATCAGGGCTGACCACTCTATAAACTGATGAGGACCCCAGGTCTGGCCAAGTGACCCTGTTTTACCTTCGTTCAGGAAGAGCTGAGGCCTACTGTGTACTAGGCACGGGAGATATAGTGGCAACCAGATTGGCTAGCTTTTCTGTCCTGGAGGCCACAGCCTACTTAGGAGCAGAAATAGTTATGAAATAAACACACAAATAAGTGGAAGTGTTGGCTGGCCGATGCAGGAAATCAATAAGGTGGTCTGGTGGTGACTTGCTGGGAATGCTTCTTTGAGTAGGGAGGTAACAGAGGCCTCTGAGAGGCTGGCAGCTCTGAGTCAAGTCTGGGATTCCTGGACTGTGGGCTCTCTTGCCCCCATCTCCAGGGGACTTGTGGCAGCCAGAGAGCTGAGGGTGGTTGTTGGGGAGGAAGGCCTTGGGCTTCAAGACCACCCTGTCTGTGCAATCCTCACAGGCCCACCGTGGTGCACGCAAACCACTTCCTGGCCATGCGCTCCCTCCTGCTTCTCAGCGCCTTCTGCCTCCTGGAGGCGGCCCTGGCCGCCGAGGTGAAGAAACCTGCAGCCGCAGCAGCTCCTGGCACTGCGGAGAAGTTGAGCCCCAAGGCGGCCACGCTTGCCGAGCGCAGCGCCGGCCTGGCCTTCAGCTTGTACCAGGCCATGGCCAAGGACCAGGCAGTGGAGAACATCCTGGTGTCACCCGTGGTGGTGGCCTCGTCGCTAGGGCTCGTGTCGCTGGGCGGCAAGGCGACCACGGCGTCGCAGGCCAAGGCAGTGCTGAGCGCCGAGCAGCTGCGCGACGAGGAGGTGCACGCCGGCCTGGGCGAGCTGCTGCGCTCACTCAGCAACTCCACGGCGCGCAACGTGACCTGGAAGCTGGGCAGCCGACTGTACGGACCCAGCTCAGTGAGCTTCGCTGATGACTTCGTGCGCAGCAGCAAGCAGCACTACAACTGCGAGCACTCCAAGATCAACTTCCGCGACAAGCGCAGCGCGCTGCAGTCCATCAACGAGTGGGCCGCGCAGACCACCGACGGCAAGCTGCCCGAGGTCACCAAGGACGTGGAGCGCACGGACGGCGCCCTGCTAGTCAACGCCATGTTCTTCAAGCGTGAGTCGGGGGCGCGTTCAGGGGTCCTCCTCCTCCTCCCAGGACCCCCTGCAAGAGTTAGGACGACATTCCGTGCGCTCCATTCTTCACTGCCTCTCATTTATGCTGTGACAACCCAGGGAGGCAGGACTGTCACTCAGCTTTTTGTACAGACTGGAAACTAGATTCAGAGACAGGTAGCAGCGTGTAAAGGAATGGTTCAGGGAGCGGAGGCCCCAGAGGGACTCCATGGAATGTATTCCGACCGAATTTCGTCAAAGTGCTCGTCCTTGTGTATCTTGGAATGAATAACATTTAATAATCCATTCTGCCTCAGTAGTGAGCTAGAGAAAGAACTCAAATCCTTTTTTTAAAATTATTTTTATTTTGAGATGGAGTCTCACTCTGTCACCCAGGCTGGAGTGCAATGGCACGATCTCAGCTCACTGCAGCCTTGGCCTCCGGGCTTCAAGCAATTCTCCTGCCTCAGCCTCCTGAGTAGCTGGGGTTACAGGTGCCTACCACCACACCCAGCTAATTTTTGTATTTTTACTAGAGACGGGGTTTTGCCATGTTGGCCAGGCTGGTCTCAAACTTTTGGTCTCAAGTGATCTGCCCGCCTCGGCCTCCCAAAGTGCTGGGATTACAGGTGCGAGCCACCATGTGCGGCCAAGACCCAGAATCCTTAAAGCAACCTTGGGGGCAGGCAGTGTTACCTTCATTTCACAGTGAGGAAACTGAGGCTCAGCAAGGAGGAAGCAGAGCCAGGCCTCAGGCCCAGATGCCTCTGTCTTCAGTTGAAGATTAGATGTAGGGTTAATAAATATTTTTGAGTACCTCCATAGACAACACTATTCTCACAGTTTGCTGTGAGAATGAAGTAACCCTCGTTTTACAAATGAGGCCAAGCTAGGAGAGCTGAGGTCTCCCCGAGTCAGTGGCTGAGCTTGGATTGGAACACAGGTCTGGCTGTGAGCAAGGGCAGGGTTCAGGCCACTCTCAGACATTTTTTGTTGTTATTTTCTGGTCATGGAGACAGAACTTGCAGAGGAAAACGAAGGGTGGGCTGAGCACAGTAGCTCATGCCTGTAATCCTAGCACTTTGGGAGGCCAAGGTGGGTGGATCACATGAGCCCAGGAATTTGAGACCAGCCTGGGTAAGATGGCGAAACCCCATGTCTACAAAAAATTAGCCAGGCGTGGTGGCGCATGCTGGTAGTCCCAGCTACTCTGGAGGCTGAGGTGGGAGGATCGCTGGAGCCTGGGAATTCAAGACTGCAGTGTGTCATGATTGTACCACTGCACTCCAGCTGTAGGATGGAGTGGGACGGACCTTGTCTCAAAAAGAAAAAGATAAAAAAAAAATTAAGGGTGGTCATGGGGCACTCCCTGCCCAGGGCACAGCTGTCCCCCAGGTACCAGGGAGGGTAGAAAGCCCACCTCAGAGCATGTTTCCAAAATATCTGACAAGTGCTAGAGCCGGGGGTGGCCATAGAGGTGGCTGACCTGAGGGCGGAATTAATTCTCTATCATATGGGAGCAGCAGGCACTGACTGTAGGGAACCGCATCCTCAGATGGCATGTCCTGGGGCCAAGACCCCTTCCCAAAGCTGGGAACATAGACTCTGTGGGCTGGGTGCTCTATAGCTGGGCCCTGAAGAATGGAGCAAAGACCTGTGGCAAGGATAAATCAAGGTCTGCAGCCGGGGGTGGCTGTGGGCTGTGATTGTGTTTGGGGGCGGCCATGTGTCTCTGACCCTGTGTTTTGCCCCAACTACAGCACACTGGGATGAGAAATTCCACCACAAGATGGTGGACAACCGTGGCTTCATGGTGACTCGGTCCTATACCGTGGGTGTCATGATGATGCACCGGACAGGTAGGTGCTGTGAGGAGCAGGGTGTCAAGGTGGGTGGGGGTCCAAGGGTAGTTGGTCTGACCCACCCCTGCACACAGGGTGCCCAGTGTCCTTTCCGCTCCTCTCCCAGGCCTCTACAACTACTACGACGACGAGAAGGAAAAGCTGCAAATCGTGGAGATGCCCCTGGCCCACAAGCTCTCCAGCCTCATCATCCTCATGCCCCATCACGTGGAGCCTCTCGAGCGCCTTGAAAAGCTGCTAACCAAAGAGCAGCTGAAGATCTGGATGGGGAAGATGCAGAAGAAGGCTGTTGCCATCTCCTTGCCCAAGGGTGTGGTGGAGGTGACCCATGACCTGCAGGTAAGGGGTGGCCCAGCCTAGGGGCCTGCAGGCCTTGGAGCCAGGGGGAGGTGCTTGGGGGACCCACTCACCAATTCAGCAGGTCTGTCCCAAGACCCCCTGGATGTCCAGGCAGTGCTGGGCTCTGTGATGGGGGAAGCTGGGGCAGGAGGTGTGGGCCATGCCCTTGGGAAGATGATGATAATACCAGCAGCTAAATATAACGGAACATTCCTGTATGCTAGGCGTTCTTCTAAGCACTTTATATGTATTATTATTATTTTTTTTTTGAGATGGAGTCTCACTCTGTTGCCCAGGCTGGAGTGCAATGGTGCCATCTCGACTCACTGCAACCTCCACTTCCTGGGTTCAAGCGATTCTCCTGCCTCAGCCTCCCGAGTAGCTGGGATTACAGGCATGTGCCACCACCCCCAGCTAATTTTTGTATTTTTAATAGAGACGGGATTTCACCATGTTGGCCAGGCTGGTCTCAAACTCCTGACATCAAGTGATCCTCCTGCCTCAGCCTCCCAAAGTGCTGGGATTACAGGTGTGAGCCACCGTGCCCAGCCTTTATACGTATTAAACTCTTTTAATCCTCAAAACGACTTTATTAGGTAGGACTATAAGTTTCATCTTAGAGATGAGGAAACTGAGGCTCAGAAAGGTTAAGTAACCTGTGCAAAGTCACACAGCTAGTAATTCAGACATCTTGCACCAGAGCTAACCCTCGGTCACTGCACTGCCTCTGAGGTCTGAAGTGCCCCCAGTTATAGATTGTTTAAGCTAGAGGATTATCTACCATCCAATAATCAGACTGGTAGCTATGGGTCATCTAGGATGGCCAGAAACTTAACACACATTCTCAAGATTCTCCCTTGCAACCACCCTGGGTAGTGGGCAGAGGCTCAGAGAGAAGCAATGACTCCCTAAGGTTCCCCAGGCTCATAAGTGGTGGAGTTGCAATTAGACCTCAAGGTAAAAACATAATAGCCGCCTTTTTGTCAATCGAGAGATATTTTTGACTTACCCAAAAAAGGAAACTTTCGTGTCATTCTTTCCTTGGATGCCACAAATGGTTCTCACCTGCAGAATCGATCCAGACTTGCTGCCCAGAGAGCTTGGAGAGATAAAGCTGGAGATGAAGTGGGGCTTAGGCTCCAAACCAGGGACAAGTGGAGCTCGTACTGGTCTGTGCTGTAGACCCTGGGAGTTCCTGGAGAGGGGTCACTGTCTCTCTCCTGGTCCTGGCCCTGATCCTTCCCCAGCCCCTTCTCCAGTGGCTGTTGTCCCACCCCCTTCTCCCCTTGTTCCTCTGGTGTCTTCCTGGAACCCTCAGTGGAGACCCCACCCCCCAGATATGGGGTAGATTGAGTTAGGAAATTTGAGGCGGATGACGTGTGCAAGGTCATCCGGGTGGGAAGAGCTGGGCCTACCTCGAATGCCTGTCTCATGACCCCCTGACTCTCAGGACCTCAGGCCTAGTTCCTGTGTGGCCTTGCCAGGGAGGTGGATGTTATCCTGAAGAATCCTGGACCCGGATGCTGCCATTCACTCAGCCCACAGCCATTTACTGTCCTCTCTCCTGCATTGAGAGCCAGGGAGAGCGCTGGACATGGGCCCCGCCCTCAGGGAGCTCCAAGCCAGGTGGGAGAGACAGGCAGCACCAGACTGATAACAGGAAGGTCCAGGGAGGCACCACTCATCCTGTGGGCTCGGGAAGGCTTCCTGAAAGAAGTGGTTTCTAAAGAGCCCTAATGGGAGACAGGATGGCCATCCAGGATATAAGCTGTTCTGTGAGGCTGTCTGGAGAGTGGGGTGGGGCGTGCCAAGGGATGTGGCTGGAGGCTGCCACGTAGGCACAGGTCATATGTTAAAGAGCTTATGGTTGGCTTCCAAGAGCTGTGCAGGGCCATGGAAAGATGTTTGTGTGTGTGTGTGTGTGTATGTGTGTATATGTGTTTTAACTTTTTACTATCGAACATTGGAAAAATAAAAGTAGATTAGTGTAATGAAACCTCAAGTGTCTGTCGCCCAGCTTCAAGCATTATCAGCTCATGGCCAATAGTGATCCATTTATACCCACTAATTCCCCCCTGCATCTGATTATTCTGAAGCAAATTCCAGGCATCCTATCACTCTGGACAGGTTTTCAGCCCCAGAGTGATGTGGACATAGTTGTCCTTAGATCAGTCTTTCTCAAACTTGAGTATGCTAAGAAAGCACTTGGGGAGTTTGTGAAAAGGAATCCATGCCCACTCCCAGAGATTCTGATTCAGGGGGTCTGGGCTGGGGTCAGGACATGAGCATTTGAGATAAGCTCCTGGGTGGTGCCCATGCTGTCTGTCCCTGAACTGCAGCTGGGCAGTGCCGGGATACGTTCTCACTTGTTTTTCTGAGTCTCAGCTTCCTCATCTGTGAAGTGGCAATTAGAAGCCCTTGTAGGGTTGCAGTGAGAATTGAGAAAGCTGTGATTTGAAGTGCCAGTGCCATGCCTGGCATACAGAAGGTGACCAGGGGGTGGTTCTCTCCTCTCTGAGGAGCGGTCAGGGTAGTATGGGGTGGAGGGTTTGAGGGTGGAGGAGCCTGGCAGCCATGGCCTCACCTGGCACACCTCCTTGTTCCCACAGAAACACCTGGCTGGGCTGGGCCTGACTGAGGCCATTGACAAGAACAAGGCCGACTTGTCACGCATGTCAGGCAAGAAGGACCTGTACCTGGCCAGCGTGTTCCACGCCACCGCCTTTGAGTTGGACACAGATGGCAACCCCTTTGACCAGGACATCTACGGGCGCGAGGAGCTGCGCAGCCCCAAGCTGTTCTACGCCGACCACCCCTTCATCTTCCTAGTGCGGGACACCCAAAGCGGCTCCCTGCTATTCATTGGGCGCCTGGTCCGGCCTAAGGGTGACAAGATGCGAGACGAGTTATAGGGCCTCAGGGTGCACACAGGATGGCAGGAGGCATCCAAAGGCTCCTGAGACACATGGGTGCTATTGGGGTTGGGGGGGAGGTGAGGTACCAGCCTTGGATACTCCATGGGGTGGGGGTGGAAAAACAGACCGGGGTTCCCGTGTGCCTGAGCGGACCTTCCCAGCTAGAATTCACTCCACTTGGACATGGGCCCCAGATACCATGATGCTGAGCCCGGAAACTCCACATCCTGTGGGACCTGGGCCATAGTCATTCTGCCTGCCCTGAAAGTCCCAGATCAAGCCTGCCTCAATCAGTATTCATATTTATAGCCAGGTACCTTCTCACCTGTGAGACCAAATTGAGCTAGGGGGGTCAGCCAGCCCTCTTCTGACACTAAAACACCTCAGCTGCCTCCCCAGCTCTATCCCAACCTCTCCCAACTATAAAACTAGGTGCTGCAGCCCCTGGGACCAGGCACCCCCAGAATGACCTGGCCGCAGTGAGGCGGATTGAGAAGGAGCTCCCAGGAGGGGCTTCTGGGCAGACTCTGGTCAAGAAGCATCGTGTCTGGCGTTGTGGGGATGAACTTTTTGTTTTGTTTCTTCCTTTTTTAGTTCTTCAAAGATAGGGAGGGAAGGGGGAACATGAGCCTTTGTTGCTATCAATCCAAGAACTTATTTGTACATTTTTTTTTTCAATAAAACTTTTCCAATGACATTTTGTTGGAGCGTGGAAGAAGATTGGATCAGGAGATTCTTACACCATTCTTCCCAGGGGACAAGGTCTCCTGTTAAGGCAGACTCGCTACTGATGGCTCATATCAGGCCCTGGAATGCTGGCAGATCGCTGGCAGATCACTGTGCAGACAGCGCCAAGTGGCAGGTGCATTCCGTGCTGACCCGGGAAATGGTTCTGGCTCTGGCAGCCCTGGAGAAGTAGCAGCTGCAGGACCTGAATGAGAGCACTGGACCTGGAGCCAGTCTTCAGCCTCTTCGCCTTTCTTTCTTTACCCTTTTTTTAAGATGTGAATCTTGCTATATTGCCCAGGCTGGACTCAAACTCCTGGGTTCCAGCGAACCTCCTTCCTCAGCCTCCTGAGTAGCTGGGACTACAGGCAGGGCTATGGGCATGAGCCACTATGCCCAGCTCCCCTAGCCTTTCCTTGCACGCTGACCTCATGCTACATCCAGGGCTACAGGTACAAACTCAGGCACACATTTAGTAAGTTGCCTGGCTTTGGGCTGGGCTTTGGAAGGAGATTGTGGGGATCCTTGCCCTTAGGTGGCCCGAAGTGTTGGATTTGTAGCAGGGGAGGAGGAGGCACCCAACACGGTCCTTTTTGACACAGTCCTCCGGTTGGATGCCTCATGGTCCTTAGGGCTCCTGACACCGTACCTTAGGGAGAGAGAGGGATGCACGGAACAGAGCCAGTGGCCAGGGAGGCAGAGGAGCAGAGGATATTGGGCTGGAGGCCCATTTCTGCTGCCTGCTGGCCTTTTAACCTAGGACAGGTCATTTTTCTCTCTGGGCACGTCCAGCTTTCCTCTGCCAAAGATTGTGACCTGGGGGTTGTTGGTTCAGGAAGGGACCCCTTACCTGGCTGAGCAATCCAGCAGTAGCCACCAAGATGTACATGGGTCTGCAGAAGGGCCAGCTGATTCACTCCCATCATTGCCACGACAGAGTTTCAGCAAGACTGCTCAGAGTCCCAGGGCCATCCTGTGCTTCGGCTCAATCATTCAGATCTCTATCCTCAAGGGGCTTTGTCTAGAGGTGGAGACTTAGGGATAGGGTACTCAGTGCTCACTGTGTTCCAGGCACCTGGATCATTCTGTTCCAGGTGTGCCACGCTTGTCCCCCTGCCTCAGGGACTTTGCACTAGCTGTCCTTTCTGCCTGGCAGGCGGTTCTTGTAGATGTTTGCAGGGTTGCTTTTTGTCATCCAGGATTCAGCGTAAACGTCTGCTCAGAGAGGCCTTCCCTGACCACCCTACACAAGCAGTCCCTCTCCCACCTCAGTTTCTCTACCATGATTTCTCACTTTACTGACTCCTTAGCACTATGAAATTACCCACTTAAGACTTCCCTGCCTGCCTCCCCTCTTAGAATGGAAGCTCCATGAAGAGAGGGTCCATGGCTGTTTGTCTATTGCAGCAAATCCTGCACCTAGCTTTAGCATCATGCACATATCGAGGAAGGCTCCCAGGAGGAGGTGATATGGGGGCTGCTTTAAAGGGTGAGTAGGCATTTCTGGATCAGAATAATGCTTTGAGTGCAACCAGCTGGTACGCCTTTGTGTTTTGCTCTTCCTATGTGCCAAATACTTAATATGTACAATTTTATCCAAGCTTCCTAACAGCTTGGCTAGTTAGGTAGGGATTGTCCCCATCTTACAGGTGAGATAACAGGCTGAGCAGTTAAGTGAGCTGCCTGAGGCCCTACAGTCAGTGGGGGCCGAGCTGGGACTAGATCCTAGTCGGTTGGGTAGTTGCTTCGCCACATAGGAAGGGCAGGAGAGGCCCCTAACACAGTGCCTGGAACCCAGCACTGAGCACAGATTCTAGTAATGAAGGCATGTTAACTTGCATACGATCTGTATCCATCTCTCTTAATCCTTGCAATAGCCCCGTTAGGTGGGAAGTCATCCTAACTTTACAAGGTGTAGCTCAGAGAAGGCAGAGACTGGGCTGGAACCCAGGCCTCCTGGCCCTGAAGTTCAGCCTGTGACAGCTCCCCCACCAAGTGGGAATGGGCAGTAAAATAAGCCAGGCCCGGGTGTGGGGCCACCGAGAGGACCCAAAGGGGGTCTTGAGGCCACGCTCCTCCATCCTGACTCAGGTGGGGAGGGTGGTAAGAGGTCTGTGCTGTTGCATCTCAAACACCCGTCCGTGAGGACTGGAGTTGCTGGTGTGTGAGTGGCAGTGCAGGTGGCAGAGGTGGGTGAGTTAGGGGTGGGGTGGGGTCTAGAGGTTGGTCCAGCCAGTGTTGCTGCCCCCCAGTGCCCCATCACTGCCCTGTGTGGAGCTTTCCTGCTGCCTGGAGGCCATTGGAGGGATTACCCTGTTATTCTCACCCTGGTGCTTGTTAAAGTCTTGGGAGATAATAAGCCTGTTGGATTGTGCGGGTCCCAGATGTGGATGCGGATTAGCCTTCTCCTGAGTGCCTACTGTGTGCCTGGCACTGCCATGTATGATTTCATTTACTTTTCAGACTTCCCTCCAGAGTAGCTATTACTGCTCCATGTTATGGACAAGAAAACTGGGGCTCAGAGAGGGGAAGTGACCAGCTCAAGGCCACCCAGCAGGACAGTGACAGAGCTTGGCTCACATGGGAACCCAGGTTTCCTGGCTGTAGAGGAAGGAGAAGTTACTGACGTGTGTGAGCTCCATGCTCCACAGTTTGCAGGGGGCGGTCACCCATCTTTTCCCCAGTCCCTGCAGCACGGGGCTTGTTGTCCTGACACTCCAGCTGTGACCTCTGCGACAGCATGCCCTTGTCTGCCTGTGTCCTGCTGCATCCCCGCACTTAACACAATGCCCGGCACACAGGAGGCGCCTAATAAATGCACCTTCTAAGGAAGCAGTCTAGTGGGAGCTGTGGTGTTTAGCAGCAGAGGCGTTGGAGCCTGACAGACCTGACGGGCGTCCCAGCTCTGCCACTTCCTAGCAGTGTGACCATGGGTCAGTTACTTACCTTCTCTGAGCTTCAGTTTCCTCAGTAGTAAGGTGGAAATGATAACAGTACTTACCTCATAAGGTTGTGGTGAAAGTTAAATGAGGTAATCCATGGTACTTGGCAAATACATAGCCAATAAACATTATTAGTAGTTACTAATAAGAGAAGGTAGTGATTCAAAATCATACAGCAGAGCTGGGATTTGAGCCTACCTCTCTGCAACTGTAAAAAGCCTGACCCCTTCCATTATGCCACAGTGCCTTGGGTTCAGGCTGGGCTGAAGTGTCAGGGGAGACTCCTGGAAGAAGGGGCTGGAGCTGGACGACAAGAAGGAAAGAAGCATTCCAGATGTGAAGAACAGCTGGAACAGAGGTGCAGCAGTTGCGATGGGCAGGGTGATCGTGGAACACAGGGAGGGGGGTGGTGAGGAGGGCTGAAGTGGGAGATGGAGGATTGAACTGCTACATGATGGGAACCCCCTGGATAAGGCACTCAGAGGGTCAGTGAGCATTATTAGAGGCAGGACAGATGGCCCTCGCCACTCAATCCCTCTGAATTTCCCAATCCTCTGTCCCGCCACTCCCGCTAACTCTACAGCCCCTCTCAGTTCTCACCATCTCCCCTTCCCATTTGCCCATGCTGTCTCCTCTGCCTGGTCCCAGGCCCCTCCCATCTCTGCCTGTTGAGCCCCCTCATCCTTAGAGGCCTATTTCAAAGGATACTATAACCCCCAGGGAACCTTCCAGGCCCCTAGACAGAAGCATGACAGCATGCACAGCAGCATCCCTTCAGGTGCCCTGGAGACACACCATCCTTCATGCATCTTGCTGCCGTCTTCCGTTTTCTCAAGTGTGACTTTTCTCAGTCTGCTCAGCCCCACCACGTGGTCGTCTCCAGTGCCCCATCCCTCGGGGCGCACCCAGTTCACACTGACCCGCCTGGCTGCTCCAGCAAGAATGAGGAAGTGGCTTTGTATTGAAAAGACCCACGCTGAGAAGTGGACAGCTCTTTTCCTTTCTTTTTTTCCATGTCATTTCTCCATTTACCCATTCTTGGTGTAAGCAGAGGTCCCAAGCTCAGCAGGGGAAACTCCAGGCAGAGGAGAGTGCACTGAGCCACATTTTCTGACTTCCTTTTTTTTTTTTTGAGACTCACTCTGTTGCCAGGCTAGAGTGTAGTGGCATAATCTCGGCTCACTACGACCTCCGCCTCCCAGGTTCAAGAGATTCTCCTGCCTCAGCTTCCCAAGTAGCTGGGACTACAGGCACGCACCACCACACCCAGCTAATTTTTGTATTTTTAGTAGAGAGGGCGTTTCACTATATTGGCCAGGATGGTCTCAATCTCTTGACCTCGTGATTCACCCGCCTGGGCCTCTCAAAGTGCTGGGATTACAGGTGTGAGCCACCGCACCCAGCCTTCTGATTTCTTAAGACATGAATTTGAGGCTGCCGTTGCCAAATTACGTAGTCAATTTATCAGTTGAATTCATAGGACTGCTCTGTCTCAGGTGAAACTTAGGGCACTGACCTCGATGAGAATGAGACAGTGTCATATGGGAAGATATGGACAATTTAGAGGCCCCCCCCCGCCCCCGCCCCCGCCCCCGCCCCAACAACATCTACTCCACCGCGCCTCCTAGTGGCAGAAGCAGTCCTTGCTCCTCTACCTGCGGAGGCTCCTGCTGCCTTGCCCGAAGATCTTGCAATGACCTTGCCTGGAAGTTATCCTGCAGCGTTTTAGTTATTTATTGCTGAGTAACAGGCCACTCCACATGTAGTGACTTAATTGGGTTTGCTCAGATGACTGCAATCACTGGATGCTGGGCTCAGCTGGGATAGTTGGAATGGCTGATGCTGGGCCTCTCTGTCTACAGCATCCTCCTTCCCAGTTTCTTCATGGCACGGTGACCTCAGGATTCCGGGAGAATGGAGGCAGGAGCTAAGCATCTGAGGCCTGGGCTCTGCAACTTGCATTATGTCACTTATAATACATTCTCCTGGTTAAAGCTAGTCATCAGGCCAACCCAGATTCAAAGCGTGAAAACTAGACTCCTCTTCTGGAGCATAATATGGTGGGCATCTGTCACCTGAGGAGAGGCCAGTTCTCTTCATGCCCCACTCACGTTGTCTCCAGCCCCATCATGGATAGATCCTTGCCTGCCTAATTCCTGAGTCAAGTCTGGGAGGAGGCAGCACACACATCAAAAGAATTGCAAGATTTTGCTAACTTATATCAGCAAAAATCTGGATAGCGTATATCAGAATGTTTTCTGTGGGTGCTAATCCAGGGACGGAGGAATATGACTTTCACCGGGCTGAATTTATTAATATAGGTACATTTAGCTGAGATTCTAGATTCAATGTGCCAGTGTGAGCAGCTAGGAGTGGTTTTGTTTGCTTAACTGGTTGACTGACTCCTGGATTCAATCAAGGCCTGTGCTCATTGAAATTGAGATGCCAGAAGTTCCTCGTTTTAATATAGAAGATGCAATCCAAAGACCAAGGGAGGGAGGAATGTTGAGGTGACTGTTCCCTGTGTGGCCCACTCCCTCTCCTTGGCTAAGCTCCACATGCCTAACTTCCTCTTGTACAGAAAGACCCCCTTCACCAAGGCACCCAGAAACACATGAGTGAGGGAAGCATCTCTGAAGCATGTTGCAGCACTTGCTCTCTGTGGGCTCGGCATACTGGTGGGAGATGCTGCCATGAAAATGGACTCCATGATTTCAGTGGAAATGATAGGACCCCAGGGGAGCAGAGGGCGAGCAGCACTCGACCACCCAGGACATCAGACCTCAGGTGGCAATAAGCATGTTCTGACCATAGATGTCTTCAGCAAAGGCTGATCAATCAAGGACCAAATAAGACCAAGGAGACCAAACAGATGGGCAGCTCTTAAGGTCCTCCTTAATCTCTCTTTCTCTTTTTTTTTTTAGATGGGAGTGCAGTGATGCGATCTCGGATCGCTGCAACCTCCACCTCCTGGGTTCAAGTGATTCTGCTGCCTCAGCCTCCCTAGTAGCTGGGATTACAGGCATGCACCACTACACCCAGCAAATTTTTGTATTATTAGTAGAGACAGGATTTCACCATGTTGGCCAGGCTGGTCTTGAACTCCTGACCTCAGGTGATCCACCCACCTTGGCCTCCCAAAGTGCTGGGATTACAGGTGTGAGCCACCGCACCTGGCCCTCCTTAATCTCTATAACAGAAACAGGAAATCAAAACAACCAACAAACAAACACAAACCCTCTAGAGCTGGCAAGTGGAAGCTTGACTTGAGCCACTAAGAACAAGATCTCAACCTCTCACCCAAAGTCCCTAGAATGAAAGAGAGGCCAGTACCCTTCAGAAAAGCCCCTTGAATAGCACCAGAGATACATACTGTAAATCATTCCTTCAGCCTTCTGCAAACGGTCCTGGGCCATTTGCCAGAAAACTGTGCTCTGTGGAAAGAAAATACTCAAATTTTTCAGGGATTAGTGGATGTTAAGTCTATTTAATGTTAATTCCTGAGGACCCAGAAAGCTGCTGTGTAGAGGCTCAGGTTGGTCAGGTAATAATTGGAGTTTTGACCCAAGTGCAGTGGGACCCTGAACCCATTCTGCAATTATTATTATTTTTTTTTTACTTTCATGATATATAATTGGAATTACAGGTAGAATTCATACATGAGCCTCCAGACCTGTGGAATAAGCGTAATTATGGCAAAATGATCAAGTGGAAACCCCTCAATCTCCTCCTTCTTACCAAAATAATACACCAATAATAAATTCTGGGGAGTAACAGGAACTTGTGCCACCATCAAAGACTTGAAAGATGCAAAGGTGGTTTCTGTCACATTTCATTTAACTCATCTATTTGGTCTGTGCAGAAGGCACGGGTCTTGGAGAATGACAGGTCATTACTGTAAGCTTACTCAGGTGGTGAGTTCAGTTGCAGATGCTATTATTCCAGGTGTGGTCTTTTTATGGGAATTATAATTGTTTTTTTGTCACAATGTAAAACTATCTGATGAGTTATGTTTTCTTGTCCTCTACAGACAGTCCCCTTAGCAGTTTTCTTTCTGTTGGCAGGGATAGCAGTACACCTTTCTCATCTTGTCTTGAAACTCCTCAAGTCTCTGATTTTCTATGTAGATTTTGATCATCCTCCCATATCACAGGCCATTATATTTGTCCACTACATTGATTATACTATGTTGCTAGGATTGGGAGAAGGAGAAGCAGTGGGTACTTCAGATGCATCAATAAGACATAAGTGTGCCTAAGAATGGAAGTAAGTTTCATGAGAACATAGGGGCCTGCCAACCACGTGAAGTTCCTGGGTGTTCAGTGATCTGGATCCCTGCAAAATGAAAGACAACTTGCTGGGCTTTCTGCCTCTTACTGCTAATAAGCACAACACTTCTTGGGCTTCTATGTATTCTGGAAGCAAAATATATTGGTGTGTTTCTCTGATCCTTATAAGGTTATTGAGTAACCTATAAGGCTGCAGGGTTGGAGTGGGGTCCAGAGAAAAGGAAAGTTTCCAGGTGGTCCAGAATGAAAGGCAAGCAGCTCTGCCACATGGCCCTGATAGCCCAGCCGATCCCAAGATGGCTCAAGTGTCTGCGGCAGATGGGATGGTATTTGAACCCATGGCAAACTCTGATAGAAGAATCAAAATGGAGTATCTACAATTTAGGAGTGAAGCCTGGTGCTCCTTAGCAAGCAGTTTTCCTCCTTTTGGGGAAGGACTCTTGGCTCACTGCTGGCTGGGCTTAGCTGACAGTGGTCTCAGTGTGGGAGGCACCAAGGGATTGTGAAAGTAATTAATGACTGTAACACACAGTGTGTTCTTTTCTCAGGGATACTTGGGTTATATGTGCTCAGTGGTTGCTAAATGAGATGTCAGTAAATTATGCATCAGGTATGAAAACACACTTGACTTCTCTCCTTTCTTATCCCCCTTATCCGAAATCGGGCTTCTGTTTCTTCTACTCTAGAGAGTCTACAATTGCCAAAGTCAGTGATCTCTTTATTGCTACTTTAAAAAAAACTAATTTCAGCCGGATGCAGTGGCTCATGCCTGTAATCCCAGCACTTTGGGAAGCCGAGGCGGGCAGATCGCGAGGTCAAGAGATCGAGACCATCCTGGCCAACATGGTGAAACCCCATCTCTACTAAAAATACAAAAAATTAGCTGGGCATGGTGGCATGCGCCTGTAGTCCCAGCTACTCGGGAGGCTGAGGCAGGAAAATCACTTGAACCTGGGGGGCGGAGGTTGCAGTGAGCCGAGATCACACCACTGCACTCCAGCCTGGCAACAGAGTGAGACTCCATCTCAAAACAACAACAACAACAAAAAAAACTAATTTCGCGCCTATGAAAAAAATTCCAACATACATGACAATTAAATAATAGTACACATAGCTGGGCACGGTGGCTCACGCCTGTAATCCCAGCACTTTGGGAGGCTGAGGCGGGCAGATCCTGAGGTCAGGAGTTCAAGACCAGCCTGACCAACATGGTGAAATCCTGTTTCTGCTAAAAATACAAAAATTAGCTAGGCGTGGTGGTGTGCGCCTGTAGTCCCAGCTACTCGGGAGGCTGAGACAGGAGAATCACTTGAACCTGGGAAGCGGAGGTTGCAGTGAGCGGAGATTTCACTACCACACTCCAGCCTGGCCGACAGAGTGAGACTCCATCTCAAAATAAATAAATAATAGTACCCATCACAAAACTTCAATATGTAACGACATTTTGCCCATTTTGTTCAACAGATTCTAAATCCATATTGCAGGGAAGCCGTTATGGTCTCTAACCCTGTTAACTCTTCATCCTTGATGTCTTCCCCAAGGTGACATTCCTTTCTAGTTTTCTTCTGACTCCTCTGCTGCTTTAGGGCAGCCTCCACTTGGGGGCTCCTTCTTTTGCCTGTCCCCTGAATGTGGGTGTTTCCCAGCGCTCTGACCTGACCCCATCCGTCTCTCGCTTTCCACACTCCTGCTGGGTAAACTCACCCTCTCTCATAGCCTTTTTACCTTCTGTGGGTTGGCGAGGCTCACATTTCAATGAGGTCTGCATCTCCGCCTTCAGCTCAGACCCTTTTCCCAGTCTCAGACCACCATGTCCAGAAGTCTGGACACCAAATTGAGTCCATCCTCCTGCCAAAACAAGCTGTTTCCTGGATTCCCATTAATCCACACAACAATAGAGATCTACTCATATTTATTAGATACCAATTTTTATGTAAGAAAAAAATGTAAGATTCTGGAACAAGCCAAAGAAATTACTGCTACATGAAAAAGATGGACAATAACAAGTGTTGGTAAGGATGTGGAGAAACTGGAACCCTCCTACACTGTGGGTGGGAATGTAAAACAGTGAAGCCCTGGCCCACCCAGAACCAGAATAAACGCCGTAGAGGATTTTTCCCCTTTTCCCCCCACTTCAAGAGATGGGCTCTTGAGCACAGTAGAATGATCAGAGCTCACTGCAGCCTTGAGCTCCTGGGTTCAAGCCTCAGCCTCCGAAATAGCTGGAACTACAGGCATGCACCACCACACCCAGCAGAGGATGTTGAACTGATGGCCCAAGGTGGAGAGGGAGTGAAAGTGCAGGTGCTTTGATGGATGAGGGATGGAGTGGCTTCCCTCCGGGAATGAAGGTGTGCAGAAAGGGCCACGCGCCTGCGGGCTGGGTTGCAGGGCCTCTGAGGGATGGGCTCAGATGTGGAAGCTATAGGAATGCCTGGGCAAACTGGGCAGAAATACCACAACCTGGGCAGGCTTTGGGAGGTCCCCAGCCAAGCCCTAGGGAGAGGGAGAGGGGCTGCCAGCCCCCCGGCTTGGGCTCAGGGAAGCCATAGTGATTCTTCTCAGGATGGCCTGAACCTCCTGGAATTGTGATAAGCCCCAAAGACAGGATGAGGCTCCAGGAAAATGACTAATATCAGATTTCCTGTCAACCGTGGCAACGAGAGAAGGGGGCTCCCAGTCTATTTAATTAGATTTACCAAAATAAAGACGTGGCATTTCTTACACCTGAGTGCCATGCTGTGATGCATAGACTGAATTACAAATTGTGAGATGGGTGAGGTAAGAGGGGGTGGCCATAGAGATAGTGAAAAGTGGGCAAATTTGCTATTTAGCAGGAAGGCCAGGCAGGTCTTACTGATAGTTTGGAAGCTGAGGGTCGGAGACTGGTACTGAAAAGGATTTCCCGGTTTCTGGCTGAGAACTGGGTCAACCCGAGTGCATTCCCACCCACTTCCTCTAGACCATCCATCCACTCAGCGGCACAGACTCCCGAAAGTGTCGCTCCAGTCCGAGTTGGCTCCTGTCCCTTGTCCACATAGACCGTCTCCCCGCTCCCCCAATATGGCACAAGGTGCCTAGGCCGTGTGGGGCGTCGGCAGGTATCACGGGTGGGGTCCATTGTGTGAGGACTAACATCGCGGCCTTTCCCCAGACCAGCCACCGGGGACTCCAGAGAGGCCTCGGCCCAGCTCCCGGAAAGGGTCTCCCAGCCAGGCCTTCTAGCGGCCCAAAGCGGGTAGGCAGAGCGCAGATACCGGGGCCTCTTTCGCCCACCCTCGCCAGGGCACTATCCTTCCCACCGGCCCGATCCCGCGTCCCGAGGTCTCGCGGGGCCAGGCTGCACGGGCGGCGGAGCCCGGAGCCCGGGGCGGGGCCGGAGATGAGCCTGCAGGCGGGGGGCTGTGCGAGTGCGCGGGGACGGGGGCTGCTGTTTCCGAGCCGAGAGCCCTGGTAGCGGGGCTCTGTGGGCGGAGACGCCCTCCCGAGCCTGGGCATCTTCGGAGTGGGACTCTCGGGTCGGAGTTCCGCCGCCGGCCCATCCAGTTTCAGCGGGTCGCCTTTGCCTCTGGGCCGGGTGGGGAGCCTCCCATTCCAGAGACCCCCCGACTCCCTGCCCCTCGCGGCGTAGGGGCGCCCTTTCTGCGGCGCCGCGGGGCCGTCCTCTCCCCTCCCCGGGCGGCTGCAGCAGGGGCGCGGGAGCCCGCGGACTGCGGGGTTGCGGTCGCCCCTGCTTTGTGAGTTCCCGCAGCTGGGAGGAAGAAGGAGAGGAGGGAGGAGGGAGAGGTGGGGAAGGGGACGCCGCGGGAGACTGGGAAGTGGCTGCCGCAGGGAGGAGCTAGGCCTCGAGTGAAGCCTGCTTGTAAGAAGGGCCAGGAGAGTCGGGTGCGCCCCCGCCCTCCCTGCCCCACCCCAAGATGGGGACCCAGAGCCCCTCCTCCCGCACTGGGCCTTCTTTCTGGGTAGTGGAGGGCTGGACTGGACTGAGCTGGGAAGGCCTGCAGCTCAGAGGCGCTGCTCTGTGCGTCAGGACCGGCTTGCAAATGAAGATGTTGAGGGGCTGGCTCTGGGCTCATAGCAGAAACTGCCAGATCTAGCGGCCACCCCTCAGTCCTCATCTGCGCCGGCCCTCCCAGCTTTCGACCCGGCCTCACTGTCTCCTGATTGAATCACTCCGGGCACCACAGTTCCCTGGTTCCTCCTTACAGCTCCGGGCCAGCCCCTCTGAACTTTTTCTGGGCGATTCTCTCTGACCTCTTAAGTCCGCAACGCTTGGAACAGGACCCACATCTCTTTCCATTCTGACACTCTCTGAGGGAGCGCAGCGTCCTTCATGTGGGGCTTGTGACCATCCTCCCCCCAGCCCCAGGGCAGCTGACTACCAGGCCCTGTTTCCAGACGTCTCTTCAGAGGTCAAGCCTTGGTAGCCAGTGGCCTGGACATCTGCCCCCGGGTGTCTCGGAGGCCCTCAGGGAAACCTTGTTCTGCTTCTCAGAGATGGCGCCACGGTTCGCTTGGCCTGTGGAAACGTGTGTGTCATGGGACCTGGTGTGTGGGTCAGAGGAAGGACTGGGAGGAGGAGGAAGGTGTCCACATGCGATTTTTTTTTTTGAGACAGAGTCTCGCTCTATCGCCCGGGCTGGAGTGCAGTGGCTAGATCTCAGCTCACTGCAATCTCTGCCTCCCAGGTTCAAGCGATTCTCGTGCCTTAGCCTCCCAAGTAGCTGGGATTACAGGTGCCTGCCACTACACCCAGCTAATTTTGGTATATTTAGTAGAGACAGGGTTTCACCATGTTGGTCAGGCTGCTCTTGAACTCCTGACCTCAAATAATCCACCCACCTCGGCCTCCCAAAGTCCTGGGATTACAGCCGTGAGCCATCGAGCCCGACCTTCACACGCAATTCTTTAGCCTCAATGTGGCCTTGTCTTATCTTCAGGTTTCTGACTATTGGAGCTCATATGGCAGCAAGCTCTGAGGGCTACTTTTGTGTTGGGCCAAAAAAAGCCAACCTCACTGTGAAGAAACGTCTCTCTCTCTCTTTCTCTGTGTGTGTGTGTGTGTGTGTTTGTGTGTGTATAGACAAAACCCTAGTGCTGTTGGGAACGGGGTGAGGAGGCAGGCTTGGGGCCAGTTGGATGGGGAAGGCTTGCTTAGAAAACTAGACTATTTGGGTGTCCTCCATACTGTATTTCCTCTGATGATTTTCCTGTAAGAACTGAGCTGAGCTCCTTTGAAAGGGATAGCAGTATTCCTTGGGAGCCAGCTTTGGTGGGGGCAACTGGTGGAGCCTCCACCCTAGCTTCTTGGGGGCTCTGGGCTTTGAAAGGGAGGCTGTAATATGGCCTTGCGGCCCCTGCCAGTGGCATCCCGGCCGGACCCATCTTTGACTGAGGCTGAGCCCCAGGCCCGCTGGCAGCTCCCAGCCGTCCTCCCCACAGCCTGGCTGTGGCTGTTCCTCGGCCTGCCAGCCCCACAATCACAGCCCACAGGACGCACCCCCACTCCCTCCCTGATTTCCTGGAATTCAGAAAATGGATCACCCCTGCCTCGTCCTAGTTTTCCACCCCAGAGACCTGCCATACCCTTGGTCAAGTCCTCATGCAAACCAGATTCCTTTCATTCAAGGACTTTCAGAGGGAGCGTTACCCGGTCCTCAGCCACACCCATGCCGCCCTGTCTGCCCTGTCTGGACTGCCTAGACTCCATCAGAACTCCACAGCCACTTTCTCTGGAAAGCCTTCCTGGCTGCTCTTGCCAGGTGTTCTCTCTTCACTGGCCTCTCAAAGCCAGGTCTTGACTTGTCCTAGGGCCTCATCCCATACCATGTTTTATTGTCATAATATTCTTTCCCATAGTGACCCCAGTGCTCAGCACTGAGCCTGGCACAAAGTGCATGCTAAGGACAAGCTTGCTGCACGGAGAAATGAATGGGGACTTCAGATATACATACACACACACACACATATATATATACACGTATATATATATATATATATATATATACGTGTATATATATATATACGTGTATATATATATATACACACACACATACATACATACACATACACACGCTTTTTTTTTTTGAGACCGAGTCTCGCTCTGTCGCCCAGGCTGGAGCCAGGCTAGAGTGCAGTGGCACAATCTCGGCTCATTGCAACCTCTGCCTCCCAGGTTCAAGTGATTCTCCTGCCTCAGCCTCCTGAGTAGCTGGGTTTACAGGTGCCTGCCACCGCACCCAGCTAATTTTTTTATTTTTAGTAGAGACAGGGTTTTTACCATGTTGGCCAGGCTGGTCTCGAACTCCTGACCTCAGGTGATCCACCCACCTAAGCCTCCCGAAGTGCTGGGATTACAGGCGTGAGCCACTGTGCCTGGCTCTAGGTATATTCTTTAGAAGCTCTCAGTTGAGCTGTCATGGATATTGAATGAGGATTAGCAGGTGTTAGGTTATACAGTGTCCTGAGACTTATGATCAGAGCCTGGTTTCCTCAAGAAGTTTGACCCCTGGATGAGCTTTAAGGCTGAGCTCTTGGCAAACAACTGTCATCCAGAATTCCCCTGTGCCAGGTGGGTCCCTGCTCCTGTTTCATCTGCAGGCTTCAACTCAGCTACCCAGGGCTCAGCCTGCTGGGATTTGGCACCTCTTGTGAGGCTGTCATGGTATCTGACCCTTGCCTTATCCTGCCCACCTCCGTGATGGGGTCCTGTTTCCATCTAGCATCGCCTACCCACTCCCATCTCATGCTGACAACTCACAGGAACTGGTGCTTCTCAGACCCCTCTGGTCCAGACGGGTGAATGCAGAGCCTGACAGGCCCACCTATACACATGTATGCACCCCTGCCCAACAGAGACAGAGAGAAACATTGCTGAGCCAGAGGGACCATTTTTATTAGATTCCAGCAAGACTACTGTACATGTTTCATGCAGATTAAATATGTGTCTTCACTGCCCCTGGGAGGGGAGCACTCTCACTGTCAGCTCCTTCATTGGTGTGTCAAGGGGTGAGTGTCAAGGGGAGCTCTCAATGTATTCCGTATGGGGGGCAGTTGGGATCATGACTCGGGGTAGAGGTGAGACAGTAGGTAGCTGAGGGTCCCTGGGACCTTGAGTCTTCAGAGGTTCAGGGACTGCAGGACCTTGGTCCTTTGCTGGTACTGGCACCAGAGGATCTTGATCCTTCAGAGGCACTGGGACTATAGGAACTTGATTCTTCAGAGGTTCAGGGACTATACGACCTTGATTCTTTGGAGGCTGTAGGACTGTGGGGCCTTGATCCTTAACTAGTACTGGGAGAATGGGGTCTTGATTCTTCACGGACTCGGGGACCACAGGACCTTGATTCTTTACAGGTGCCACAACTGCAGAATCGTGAACCTTTGCATGCTCTGGGACTACAACATCTTGATCCTTGACTGGCCCTGAGACCACTAAACCTTGATTCTTTACAGGCTCAGAGACCATGGAACCTTGATTCTTTATGGGTGCTGTGGCCATGGCACTTTCATCCTTCGGATGCTCTGGGACCATGGGATCTTGATCCTTGATAGGTGCTGAGACCATGGGACCTTCATCCTTGACAGGTGCTGGGACTATGGGACCTTCACCCTTGACAGGTGCTGGGACTATGGGACCTTGATCCTTGACAGGTGCTGAGACCATGGGACCTTGATCCTTGACAGATGCTGAGACCATGGGACCTTCATCCTTGACAGGTGCTGGGACCATAGGAGCTTGATTCTTCACAGGCTCAGGAATCCTAGGACCTTGATCCTTTAGAGACTCTGGTACCACAGAGCCTTGATCCTTAACTTTTGCTGGAACCATAGGACTTTGATTCTTTGGAGGAACTGGGACCGAGGGACCTTGGTCCTTGACTGGTGCTGAGATAACAGGGCTTTCATTCTTTAAAGGCTCAGGGACCGTGTGATCTTGATCCTTGACTGGTAATGGGATCATGGGACCTAGATCCTTTGGAGGCCCTGGGACCACAGAACCTTGCTTCTTCAGAGGCTCTTGCACCATAGGACCTTGACCTTTCAGAAGGCCTGGGACCACAGAACCTTGATCCTTGTCTGGCTCTGTGGCTACAGGACCTTGAGTCTTACTTGAATCACTGACGGGTTGAGCCAGGCTCCTGCAAAGGAGAGAGAGGTGATCACTGTGAGAGTAGAGCTCAGGCAGGGACAGGGCAGAGTACAGATTGCCTAATAAGTCTTGGCCTAGTGGAGCCTGGGCCGGGCAGCTCTTGCTGGAGAGCCAGGAGAATATGATTTCTGTGTTCTTAGTACAGAATGTGGGCGGGGGTGAGGGAGGGGGGTGAGGTGAAGGCTCAGGAATCAGTCATTCAATGTGCTTGCCAATTGATTATAACCTGCACGTGGCACAGGGGGTGGCACGCTGGTGACAATGGCAGTACTGTAGCTGGACTCGGAGTCATCCAGTAGGCATCCCAGCAGCCCGTCCACCCCACATTCCATCCAGGTCCCTACTTTTTCTTCTAGGATCGTTGGGCCCATCCTGGGAGCCCCATCTCAGCTGCCCACCAGATGCCCCCACAGGCCAGGGTGCTCTTTTCTTGTTCTCAGGGCCTTCAAAGTTCTTTTGCCTCCCTGACTCCCTGACCCCCTTGTTAAGTGCTGGCTGCAAGAAGGGGCAAGGGGTCCATGGCATACCAGGAAAGGAAGCAGTGGGAATGCCCCTCTCTCCCTCTCCTGCAAGGGGAAAAGTATTTTATCACTGACATTGTATAGAATGAGCAGCATATAGTGATAATAAAAAGCAGGCCAGCTATTAGTTTTTTGTTATTTGTTTTTGTAGAGACGGGGCCTCACTATGTCACCTAGGCTGTTCTCCAGCTCCTGACCTCAAGTGATCCTCCCACCTCAGCCTCCTGAATAGCTGGACTACAGGCAGCTTTTAGCTTTATTGCTTTAAATTCTCCATAGACAGTGCGCCCTGTGATTGCATGCACCACTCCCACTACCCCCAACCTTTGCTAGGTGACTCAATGGGACTCCGCTTTCAGGTAGGGATGAGGCCCTGATCCCCTAACTCCATTCCCACTTCTGGCTCTCTCTGCTCTCCTGAGACCTTTGCCCTCACCAACTTCCAGGCTCTTGGGCTTATTTCCCTATAGCCAAGAGTCCCAGTCTTTCATCAGAATCCTCAGGCACTGTTCCCTCGCCTCACTGTGGCCGTCTGCCTCATCCCCTGGCCCACCCACACTGTGGAGAGCGTGTGACAACACTAACACTCAAAGGCAAGCATTGCCACACTTAGACCCGGCCAGCCTGGAGCCCTCTGGTTTAGAGTGCACACTCCTTCCTTGCAGGCCATGTTGGAAGTCGAGAGAGTGGCATTGCTCAGCAAGCATCACAGGCCCTTGCACGCCTACAACACATCCAGCTTTCCGAATGGCTCCCTTTTATAGCTCATTTCAGCAACAGAGCAGCCCTGTGAAGCACACAGGAAGGATTTTCTTACCCTTACTTGTCTGATGAAGAAAATGAGGTCATGAGAGGACAAGTGATGGGGAAAGTGAGGGGACCCCCACGGACTAGCATCTGGATCCTTCCGCTCCTGGATCCTGTGCTCTTTCCCTTAGTGTGCCTGGCACATAGTAGGTGCTCAATGCAAGGTGACTATTACTATTACTCTATTTATTGGGTATAATGATATTTACTCAGAAATCTATAATGATTAGAGGTCAGCACCTAGAGCACCTTGTACTATGGTATTATTGGGTAGTATTATGGTTGTTTTTCTGTTTACTTAGAAGTAAAATTATGTGTATTTGGACTGCTTTTATTCTTCTGTGTTGTCCTGATGCAGAAGCTTTTTACTGTATTTAGCATCCTGAGCCACCCAGGGACTGGTATTTCTCAGCAGAGTCCACACAGCACAGGCAACCTCTCCATCTAGTTCCCCTGGCTGTCCCTGAGCATCACAGTGGAAGGGGCCAGGGCAGCTCTCTGGCTCAGCATGATATGGAACACAGCTGCTCTGGCCAGATAGACACAGTTGGCTGCTATCAGTAGGACCTTAGTGTTTGAGAAGAGAGCCAGGCAAGGCTGTGAGAAGCATGTGGAATCCAAAAATGGCATTAAAATACCTCCAGTCACTGGTGGCTGGTCAGAGAGGAAAAAAGAAAAACCGAATTCAGAACAGAGCCAAGCAGGAAATTGATTAGGTGTATTCTCTTAGATTGTGAAGCGACCTGGGTGGTGTCCTCCCAACAGGGTGAGGAAGCTGAGAAGGGACAAAAGAAAAAAAAGGGAGCTTAACTCCATCTCAGGGGCTTGGGCTGCAGAACCTATCCCAAGGGTAGGACATGGGCCTGGAGTCTCCTGCTGGCCTGGAGGTCACAAAGAAGGCCAGCCCTGCAGCCTGGGCCAGGAAGTACATTTCCTTGGATATCTACAGCATTGGCTCCTGTGCCACCTACCAAATTTCTGTTTAATGGGCTCTTCTGTTTAATGAGCCAGTTGTGAGCTAGCCTCAACTTTGCATGGATACATAACCCCATATTGCTTAGGTTAGAAAACTTTTTTCTTTAGTGGGTATCTTTAATCATGGGAAGGTTATAATTAAGATTAAAATGATGAATTAAATCAAGTCCCCAATATTACTTTTTTAATATTAAGTTTAAGAAAAACCCTGTAATCCCAGCACTTTGGGAGGCCGAGGCGGGCAGATCACTTGTGGTCAGGAGTTCGAGATCAGCCTGGCTAACATGGTGAAACCCCATCTCTACTAAAAATACAAAAATTAGCTGGGTGTGGTGGCAGGTGCCTGTAGTCCCAGCTACTCAGGAGGTTGAGGTGGGAGAATCGTTTTAGCCCAGGAGGTGGAGGTGGCAGTGAGCTGAGATCACACCACTGCACTCTAACCTGGGTGACACAGTGAGACACTGGCTCCAGGAAAAAAAAAAAGAAAAAAGTTTAGGAAAAATGTGCATAGATTTAGTTCAAAGGTATTTGTAATGTTTAAGATAATTTAGCGTATTAGAATGTCTAACAGATTAGCTTTGTAATCCCAATATAAAATGTGTAACGGAATAATTAAATTAGATGTATAACCTAAAGCTGAAAGATATGACAGTTTTACACATTTTTAAACAACGATGGAACTTTTATGACAAGCCAATGGTCACCATATTTTTAATCTTAATTTATTTAAAATTATTCATAATTTAATTTATATTTAGGGTAATTGAATTAAGCTATAACATCCTCCTTAAAAGAGATTGTTACATTTTACTAATTTTATTTTTGTTACTTTTTATTAAGCATTCATCTTTAAAATCCAAGCAGCCTGGACAGTTTTTCTATGCACGAAACTGCACGCAAGGGCACCGTGAAATCCTCACTGACACTGACTGGTCCTCACATGGTTCCAGTTGCCTGCCAGTCTCCCATCTGTAAAGTGCCCCACCTCCTCCGTGAGGCTGGTATGAATGAGGCAAAGCCACCCCCTCAGGGTGGAAGCTGGTTCGTGGCTTGGGGAGCAGAAGCAGGCTGCATTCAGCCCACTCAGGCCACAGGCCAGCTGTCCTTGGGCATGGCCCAACCTGCACAACCAAATCTGGTGCCCTGGGTCAGCAGCATATGTTCTCAAGACAGCATATGCCACGGGCGCCTTCTCCCAGCCTGTGCACCCCGAAAGCACTAACCTCTCAGAAAGTACAATGACCTGCTGGGCTGACCTTGGTTTCTGTGCTGCTTATTGCCTGAAAGGTCTTGGGCAATTGTTTAACCACCATAGACCTCAGTTTCCCCACCTATCAAGTGGGGATAACGATATAAATGTCAGGGATTATTACAACAGAAAATTTTGCTAGGTGGGCGTCTGGAATAACAATTCTTGATATTTTCAGAGTGCTTGGATAGTGCACAAATAAGTCCACTTCTGTAATAACTGTGATAGCAGTTTACTAAAATGCTCATGCGTCTGTTGCCTTATGTCATTCAACCCTCACAGCAGTCCTGGGGGAACCCCATTTTCCCTGCATCATCCTCTCATGCTGTTTTGCACACTGCCAGCCCGGGCTGTCTGTTTCTGCTTCACCCACTTTTCTTTGTCAAGGCCCTGCCTGTCCTTGAAGGCTCCGCTCAGCTCCCACCTCCTCCCTGGTCTTCCTGCCTGTGTCTCTCCAGATTAGTTTCGTTTGCATCCCTGCTGCAGCACCGTCTCACAGTCTCTCTCTCCGCTTTCTCACATATCCCCACTGCAGGCCAGGCTCCCCCTGCTAGACAGAGAGCTCCCTGAAGACAGGGGCCAACCTCCTTGCCTGCAGCCCCAATGCCCAGCACAGTATCTGAAACAAAGAAGGCAAAATGGAAAGATTTAAAAGTTATTGTTGCTGAAAGCTGGTTCATCCTCTATTCCTTAGCCCCTGCCAGAAACTCAGATTCATCCTTGATACCTCCCTCTCCCTCAAAACCCTCACCCCATCCATCAGGTCCCATTGATTTCAGCTCCTAACATTTATCTCTTGAATATTCCCACTTCTTTCCCTCCCTCCCTTCCCCTACCACCTGCTATGCCATCATCTACCTGGACCACTGTCACAGCCTCCTGACTGCTGTCCCCTGTTCCATGTATTCTTGCTCTCCTCCAACCCATTCTTCATACAGAAATCAGAATGATCTTTTAAGAGAGCAAACCCTATCTTGTCCCTTCTTTGCTCACAACCTTTCAATACCTTCTCCTTGTACCAAGAACAAAGAAGAAAATGTGTTACACAGCCCCACCTAGCTGGCCAATCTACCCACTTCCTTACCCCTTCACCCCTCTCCTTCCTGCCTTTCCTGGCTTTCTGTGCCCAGCATTCTGTTCCTTCGGCACGCCCTGCTCCTTCCCATTTTACAGCTTTTGCACATGCAGCTGTCTGCTCCTGGAATATTCTCTTGTTCCCTCTTCACCTGGCTAGTGTTTACTCAGCTGTCATCTCTCAGCTCACTGAAGCACTGCCCTGGGAAGGCTTCCCTGACCCCACAGTCATGGCCAGCCCCCTGCTACAGGCTCTCCTAGTCCCTGGCACTTGCTTTCCTCTCTTATCTCAGCTAATTCCTTGTATTCTTTTGGATTAATGTTTCTCCCACTAGACTGAAGTGTCCAGAGGGCAGGGACCATGTCAGTTTTGCACATCATTGTATCCTCTGTACCTTAAATGAACAGTACCTGAGCCCAGGTGGGTTCTGACTTAATACTTGAGTGAATGAATAAACAACAGACTGTTCTGTGCCAGGCTCTGTCCTATTTGCAAAACTTAATGTTCCAAGGTTATATGAGACATCTTGTCTTAGACACTTCATTTTCTATCCTTCTTCCTGTTTCCATGGAGACAAGGTAATGCCTCCTGAGTGCACACACACTGACATTGGATCCATACTTTCCAGAGTCTAGCAGCAGGATTACTGAGCCCTGTCCTCCACTGGATGGTGAAAGGACTTCACTCCCTCCCACTGATTCCTGCCCTTGCACACAATTCCAGTCCTATAGTCCATCCACGTGGTTTTTTTCTTCCCAGATTGTCTCCTGTTGCACCATCAAAGCAGCCAACAGCTGTGGCAATGCTCCTGGCATAGGGCATAATTCAGAGAGTGGGGAGCCTATGGACCCTGTCCTTGAATCTCCTGCCTTCCAGGGAAAGTGTGGGAGTGTGGGGCAGTGTGGAAAAGCCTTGAGGAAGAAAGACACTGAGCAATAACTATGGGCCAGGCTTGGTGCCAGACGTTTTAAGATCTATTATTTCTCATGATGTAAAAAGCAACCTGCTATAGAGACAGTGCACTGACTGGGCTTGAGGCCCAGAGAGCTGGGTTTGAATGTGAATTCAACCCCCTCCTAGCCATAGGATGGCACTGGGGCACACATCTCCAGGCCTCAGTTTCCTTATCTACAAAAGGAAGATTAGAAGGTCCACCTTCTAGGGAGGATTAGCTTATGTGAATGCTCATGGCATGGCCCCTGGAATACAAGTGATGTTTAGCAAATGTTAATTCCAAAGCGGGGCTTGCTGATCTGGTCCATTTGTCTTGCTCCACAGATGGAAACTTGACCCAGAATGGACAAGTGATTCTCCAGGTCCAGGACTAAAACATGGGCCTCTCAACATCTCAGCAGGCAGGTGGAAGAGATGGAGCAAACTCACTTGGAGCAAAGATGGGCAGGAGGGGAACAGCGAAGCCCAGGCCAACGGCACCACAGGGCCCCTGGCAGAACATGGACAGAGACAGTGTGATTCCAGGGCTCTGTTCCCTTGCTGCTGCCTCCATGGGCCCCGTACATGTGCTCATGATTCTTAGACACAAACAAAGCTCCCAACACAGTGATGGAAATGCAGCTGCCAAGGGGGATTGCCAAGGAAACCATCTTTGAAAGGCTCATTATTCTTATGAAGAATCTGCAGGAGACAGGAGTTCTCAAAACAACTCTCGCTCCGCCTCTATCCTCAACCGGACTCTGTGGGAGTGTCTCTTTTAGTAATTATCCTGTTCTTTGGTAATTATCTGCCTCTCCTGCTAGCCTGTGGGACTGTGTTTTCTTCATCTTTGCATCATGAGTATCTAGCACAGGGTCTGGCTCATTGTAGTACCTGGCAGATATTGGTGGGAAAAACACATGGCTGGTGTAGCTTCTTCTCTTTATTCACTTTTAATTTTTTTCTCTTTTATCCATTCACTGAACAAATCTACTGAGACCCTGCTCTGTGTCAGGCCCTCACTGGGGACACAGAAGTGAATGAGAGCCAAGCCCTGACTTGGGGGAAGGAGCTCCTAGAGTGAGGCAGGAGACAGACCTGTAAACACACACCACAAACATGACGCCACCACCTGGGTACAGGCACCACCTCCAAGCTGGGCCCTAAGCCTTATCGGCCTGTGTCTCTTCAAACCAGAGAGGCTCAAAGATCTTATTAGGGGCCAAGCTGTCACTTTGTTGGAGAAGTCTTCCCTCTCTATTCCATAAAAGCAAAACTCCAGAAGCCAAATCAAAGGTGCCCAGGGCTGGAAGGATAGACTGCTGGGCCATGGGTCTCCTGAGCCTCTGCTGCAATCTCCCTGGCAGGTGGCTGCCCAGCCGCTGCTCGCACTGCCTGGGGTGGGCTGCACATGCCCGGTGAGGCAGCCTCCTCCTCAGTGGCCACTGGTTAGACCTGAGCAGAAGCTTGCATTGCAGTCAGCTCCACTCCTTCCTATCTCTGCACTGATCCCTGTTTTGCACTCCAGGGCCACCCTTTTAGTGAATGCCCTGCTGGCTGCCCCAGGACAGTCTTTCAGGTATTTGAAGGGGGCAGCAACTGGGTCTGTATCCCTGGCTTCTCCAAGTAACACAAGCCCCACAACAGTTCAGACTTGGTTCCCAGAGCCCTCACATTCCAACTGCCCTCCTTACAATGTGTCTCAGTTGGCTCTGTCCCTTGGACAGTGTAACTCCAGAACTAAAGGCCACATTGTAGGTTGGTCTCCACACAGGACACACCTCCTCTGCCCTGGAGTCTATACCTCCAATGATCAGCCCAAGCAGCTCTAGCTTTATCAGTGCTGGCTGCCCAAACACCACCCCTCGCCATCCACTTAGCAACCTCTACTCCGTAACTGAAGAATCTTCCTCAGTGAAAAAACCTCTGAGCCTCTACTTCCTTTTTCTGTGTTCCCACAGTGCCCCCACCCCCACCCCCACCTTGGCAGCAGCCCTATCAGATCAGCTTCAATAGTTTTGTATCTGCCTCTCTAGACTGGGCACTTTCAGGCCAGGGACCATGCCTGCTTCATCTCTCTTTCCCTCTCTCCCTCCCCTCCTCTCCTCTCTCTCTTCCCTGCCTCTTGCCTCCTTCCGTACTTCCACAAACATTTACTAAATGCCTACTATGTGCCAGGCCATAGGGATCACTAGCATAGGGCTGGCACATGGTAGGAGGCCTACTTTCTCAATGAGGAGTTTTAAAATAGCTCATACAAGATCAAATTCTAACAACCGCATTTACATGACATGAAAATGTTTTCCTATTTTTAACTTAGCACCTTTTTTGGCCCTCCAAATGATAACATCTCTTTAAGGTTTCTGAGATAACTTTACATACAAGGCATTTGATTCTCACAACAATGGTGTCAGCCAGGCAGACAGAAAGCCCTCTCCTCACCTTCCAGAAGCGAAAACGCGGTGCAGAAAGCTGAAGTAAGTTGCCCAAAGTCACACAGTGAGTTCGGGCAAAGTCAGGACCTTAATGGAGGAGCTCTTTCCTCTCTATAGTATCCCTCCTTGTGGAATATACAGATATAGAGATTCCAAATTTGTCTGTAGATGCCTGGACTGGGCTCGGCTTGAGATGACTCTGACTGGCTCTGGCTGGAGCCAATGACTTCTGCAGGTTCCAGCTCAGAGCTCCCAACTGCATCTCCTTAGAGAGTTGCCCCTCTGGGCCCAGGCCCCCAACAACCTGGCTGGCTACTCCCACTGCACAGCTCCCCCTACCCACCAGGTTTACTTCCTAGCATTCAGCCGACCCTGAAAAAGAAGACCTTAGCCCCAGAAAGCAGTGGCATCCTGCCTAAGAGTGCCCATCCACATTCACACCTGGAAGCCCTACCTGTGCAGCTGCCAATCAGTCTACCAGCCCAGGGCCACACTGAGTCCGCCAGATGTGGCTCATCACACAGAAACACCAGCTAGGACCACAGTTAGGAGAAATGCTGCCTCCACAAGACTTAATTCTGGGTCAGGGGTGGAGGGAGTGAACTGTGTAGATCAAACTCAGCTTCTCTGACCTTCTTGTGACTCATTTTCCATAGACGAGAGTATGGAGAGTCATTGAACGTTTCAGAGCAAGCGAGGGACAGAGGAGGAGGCTGCTGTTTCAGGCGATGCACATCTCTGCAACAGGAATCCTACAGATAGTCCCAAGTGCTGGACAAGGAATGGGTTTTAGGGTCACCCAAACCTGGGTTCACATCCTGGCTCACCACTTACAAGTTGTGTGACTTTGTTCCTTAATCACCGAGTTCTGATTTGTTTATCTGTAAATGGGAGTGACACCTGCAGACTCTAACCTTACTGTGAGGATTAAATGAGACGAAGTGTGTAAAGGCCAAGTAAAGGTTCATTCCCTCCCCCTAGGCTGTGGCAACTCTGCATTTTACAAAAGTCGAATCAAGATCTGGGGCCAGCCCCTAGTTCAGGTCTTTCCCTGCCACTCTGGGTTCCCTCCAGGCAGACATGTTCTTCTGAAATACAGGGAAATGGTTGCACTTAGGTGGGTAAGTGGCTAGGTGGTTATGTTTTCTTTGTGGTTATTTACCTATTTATTTTTGCCAATGTTAAATACTTTTTCTAGATTTGGCCTGCTAGGGAGAACTAAATAAATTTCCAATTGTATGAGAAATATTTTTAAAGGCATTCTCGATTGTTTTAGCACCAAGAAGGCAAAGTCAAAGGCACAGCAGATTGTCCCAGTGGGCTGCCAGGAATCTAATAATTCTGCTAATGACCCTTTTTAAAATGTAAAGTGTTGGACTAAGGCAGCGCTCAATTCTTGTCTAACACTATGCTCCTGGGAACTTGCAAATCATCATTGTCTTCCCCCAACCCCCATCTAAAGCAAAGGATCGGATCTTGAGCAATTAATCAAAATTGGTTTCCTGCATCCAGAGGGGATCACTCCAAATGAATGTGGAATTGCAGAGATGGATCTGCACCAGCTGATTTATAGGGTGTGCTTAGAGAGCAGGGGCCAGATGAAAGGCTGGGGGACGGGAAGAGGCAGCAAGAGCCAACACTAGATGGCGTTAATCTCAGGCCATTGTGTGGCAGGAGTGGATTCACCTTGTGTAGCTCCAGCTGCCATACTGTTAGGGACCAGGGGCAGTAATTAACTGGGAAGCTGTGGTCAGCAAAACTACCCATAACATGAGCTATTGGCGAGGGCATTGCACACTCCAGTTTGCAGAGGACTTTTGCATGCCTCCCCATGGGGCCCTCACCGCAGGCCTGGGAATCAGGTATCCCTTGCTTTCAGAGCTCTTGCCACCTGCTATCCTGAACTCTGAAAACAAACAGGTCGAAATAAATAAAATTATCCCTTGCTGGCCAAATTCTTGCTTCCTGAATTGGGAACCAAATATATTCGAAGAGTGATCGATATTTGTATTATTGTTATCTATTGGAGGCTTAAAGAAATTAAGAGACTCAGTTAAGGTCACACAGCTAGTAAATAGTAGAGCTTGGATTTAGAACCAGGCCTGTTGGTTATAATCCTTGCTTGGAATTAGACATGCCTGTGAAATGTGTGGTGGTGGGGAGGGTCCTGTCACCCTAGAGTTAGGAGCCCTGAACTGAGCAGGGAGTGAGATTGGCCAACCTCTTAGATTACCCTGTAACCAAGGGCCCATGATTTTATGCAATCAAGACTGTTTAGAAAAAGTGGCTATCTAAAGTACAGAGGTATGCAGGCCTGAACAGAGGCCAGCCAGTATAAAACCAGCCATTGACTGCTCTCTGGTCTGCAGTTGCTGTGACCTCTCACAAAACTGCCCCTTTCATGGGAGCAGAGACAGTTAATAGTCAGAGAAGAGCCTTGTGGAAGCACCATGGTGAATGTGGAGGCAGACAGTGAATCTCATCATTCATTCACTCACTCATTTTTCATTCAATGAGCACTTTAGAAGACACTGTCTATGGTAGGCTTTGGGCCAGAAGCTAGGGCTACAAAGGTGAACAGAGATCTGGCCCTTGCCCTGGGGGAGCACGGTCTGGTAAGGGGGATACACACATGAGCGGATGACACAGTACATGTGGCAAGTTCCATCATGAAGACACACAGGGAGCAGCTTACCCAGCTTGGGAGGTGCGGGAAAGGCTTCCTGGAGCTGTCCCCTGAGCAGAGTCTTGAAGGATGAGTTAGCCAGGTGGAGAAGCAGGAGAAGGGCATTCCAGGCAGGTGGACAGCAAGGGTAAAGGCATGGAGGTGAGAAGCAGCATGGTGCACCGAGGGAACAAGAAGCTTCTGCACCACGAGGAGCCCACGGATGGTTTAAAGCACGGGGTGACGTGGTCAGATTTGCATAAAGATCCCTCTAGCAGCTTAAACCAGTAGCAAGCAGTGGCAGTAACTTTTAAAGCTCAGCATCTGAAGCTCTCTTGGCCCCAGATAAGAGTTCTGGGGCCATCTGTCGAGATCACTATATACAATGCCAGGTTAACAAGTAATTGAGGCCCATTACATGAGGACAAGGGACAGAAATTTAAGCTCAATTCCACTGGCTGAAATAAAATGCTCAAAATGGCAGTCTCAGATCCAATACTTATATACTGCAGATAATAATGGATACCAGTTTTATCTTGGTACCTCCAGGACTGAGTATATTTTTTGTGAATGAAGAATCTGCTGGACAATTCTGCATTTAGTAACCTACATTGCAGTCACCCAGGCAAGCTAGTACCAGAAGGAGAAAAACTGTGTATTGGCTGTGATAATTGGTCAGTATAGCCAGGACGTCTGAGCCAGATGTATATAGATCTGACCCCATTCTTATTTTCCCTCAGTTTGTATCCGGGTCCCAAGATTTAAAGAGGGTACTAGGCAAGCTTGCTGGAGGACCTGGAATGGCCCAGCCAGAGTGTGGCACTGTGGGGTATGGGCTTAGTTTTTATTGGGGGGTCCCACTTGTCTGAAACCTGATTCTTTTCAGGCCAGCTGAGCCTCCTTCAGGTGAGAGGGATAGACAGCAGGCTATGGAGCTGGAAGCCTGGATTCCAGTGCTTTCTCCATCTTCTAAGCCTGACCAAGCTGGCAGGTGTCCCCTCCTCTTTGAGCTTCCCTTTCTCCTCTGTTACATGGGGCCAACACCTGCCCCATAACATTGGGAGGGTTCAGTGGAATGGCACAGAAAGAAACGCTTCATAAGCAACGCATACATATAAATTGTTAGAATATTACCATTTAGGTCTGTGGACTCAAGGTAATTCAATAGCTGTAATTCTTTAAAAGCAATCTTCTTAAGAATGTTTGCCTCAATCAACTTCGTGTATTACTAACAGCTAAGTATATATCTGTCAGAAAGTGGACAAGTACTTTCAAGTACTCTAAAGGGAGGGGAAGGGCGTGAAGTGACATGTTTAGTGTCCTCCAGGGGTTCCCTACAGCCCTCATGTCATTTCATCCTCATTCTGCTCCTCTGAGGGGGGGTATTAGTGTCCCCATTTTCAGAGGAGGACACTAATGCTCCAGGAGGTTAGTGAGAGACACAGCGTTGCACGGCAGCACTGGTTTCCACTCACGAACTTTGTAAATGCCTAAGTGCACTGTCCATGTTAACCAGTATTCATAGGGTAAATAACAAAATACATAATGGTGTTAATTCTAGTTCTCCCTGTTGTAGGAATTCTAGGATGGTCTAGGTGTTATGAGGATATATGCATCAAATGGCAGTGGGGTGGAAGTAGGGGTTGAAACACATGCCCGGTTCTGTGAGAGTGGAGTTTGGGCTCCCTTTGTTTGAAACAGCTGTCTTTCCTGTTCCAGTGGCCTTGGCTGCCCTAGCCGCTTTCCTAACCCTGCTGGTCTCAGGTGGTGCTAGGGGTGAAGCCTTGCTTTAACGCAGATGGTTCACAGGTTATATCCTGAAAGAAACTTCTGTACCTATGGTCCTGAAAATGTGAACTGCTTTGAGACATTTTAGCAGTAAAAGGAGCCTTAAACCACAGTGACACACTAAAGGAGTCCATAGCCTTTGTGAAATGGGACTTGACGCTCCTCAAATCTATGAGAAGTGAGAAGCAGGTTGTAAATTCTTAAACCCTAGTGAAACAAAAGAGGGAAGAATTTCATGAAGAACACAAAAACTCTAAGGAAGAATTGAAATACATTTATAGCTAACTTAGCAACAATGACCTATTTTGAAAATAGGGGGCTGGTTTGAATTTTGTTTGTTTGCTGTTTCAGGGAGGTAATGTGAGTGATGGGTTATAGATTTGCCTCCTGGGGCTCTGGGCAGCAGAGGGGAGCATGGTGGGAACCACAGGCGGAAGAGCCCCTGGGGGAGCCCTGAGCACGTGGGCAGCACTGACAAAGCTGGCAAGGCCCCTGCCTTCCTGCCTT